>NC_000001.11:177427011-177730041 GCF_000001405.40 Homo sapiens | reverse complement strand
AAAATCTTTTTTTTGTCTTTAAAAATTGTTTTAGGCTTTTATTTGTTTTATCAACGTTTTCAAGTATATTAACAGCTGTTTCTTCTCTTAATTCCTTCCTTCCTTCCTTCCTTCCTTCCTTCCTTCCTTTCTTTATTGGAAGGGCATGTAATTTTTCTCTTGTGTGAAAATCAGTCTTGTCAGA
Organism: Homo sapiens; assembly: GCF_000001405.40. Classification (NCBI taxonomy): domain Eukaryota; kingdom Metazoa; phylum Chordata; class Mammalia; order Primates; family Hominidae; genus Homo; species Homo sapiens. The sequence goes on along the minus strand of NC_000001.11, from coordinate 177,729,857 downwards.
TGCCTTTGTATTTTATTTTTAGTAGGAAGCAAACAAAACACCTCTTGAGTTGTTAACCTTCTGTTACTGTTGCTATGTTCTTTATTTCATTGGTTTCTGCCCTTACTGTTAATATTTCCCTACTTTCTATTTCTTTGTGCTTGCTTTAAGACTCTTTTCCCCCAATTTATTTAGTTGCATGCTCAGATAATTTATTTCTATCTTTTCCATTTCCTGATAATTTATTTAGAACTGTGTAACTTTTTCCTCTAGGCATGGCTTTACTAATCTCTCATAGATTTTGTGGTATTTTAATTATTCAGTCTTGAATATTTCTAAATTTCCTCTATTATTTCCTGTTTAACCCAAGAACTGTTTAATAAAATGTGGTTTCATTTCCAAATATGCTATTTAAATAATCTTTTTGTAGATAATCTCTAATTCTATTTGCTAATTGTTGAAGAACATAGTCTGTTTGATATTGTTCTTTAGTAATTTATTGAGATTGCATTAATGATCCAATATGTGGTCTAGTTTTGTTAATGAGGATGAGCTAAAAATTACATTCTCTATTGGGGCATATTTACCATGTGTATTCTTTATATACTTGCTAGAGTTTGTTAATTATGTTATTTAGGATTTTGATATCTCTGCTATTTTCTTATGCTTGATATATTCATTTCTAATAAATCTACCAAAACCAAACATTTTTATTAATATCTTTCTTCCTGCAATTTAGATAACTGTTGCTTTGTATACTTGAAGCTATATTAGATGCAAGTATGTTTATGTTGGCTCTACCATCCGGTTTTTTTGTTTCCCCTTTTATGAATAGTTGATGTTCTTATTTGTTCCTTTTCACTTTTTTAAGCTTTAAAACCGATCTTAGGTATTAAGATCACTACCAAGCTTTCATTTGGTTCATGTTTCACTAGTATATCTTTTCCATCCTATTATTTCTAAACTTTCTCTGTGTTTTTAAGTATGTATCTTGTAATCAATATATTGTTAGATTAAAACAATTAGAAAGTTTTTATCTTCTAATTAATGAGTTTGATTATTTTATATTCAAATTACTATTATGTTAGAACTTAGTTCTATTACCTCTTTTTATTTTTTTTCCATTTACTATATTTTTCTTTTTTAAATGTTTTATTCCTGCTTTTCCTTGGATATATTCATATTCCTCTGATTCTAATATTAATTTTGTGGTGGTTGCCCTTAAGAGTCGTATTTGTATTTATTTATGATTTTTAAAATCAGCCTTTCTTCTTCCTTCTCTCCCTCCTGTCCTTCCTTCTTCCTCTCTTTTTCTAACTCTCTGTTCTAACAAAACAAATATACTGGCAAACTCTTCTCTCTCTTCGTATCTTCACTTCTCTACTTCTGACCATGTTGATTTTTCCTAGAGTTTTAGTTTTTGATTATTATGGATGTTTTTCCCTTTCTCTTCTCTTAGCTTTTCTTTTCTTTCTTTTTTTTCTTTTTGCCTTTTTCTTTTCTTTTTTTTTTTATTATAGTTTAAGTTCTGGGATACACGTGCAGAATGTGAAGGTTTGTTACATACGTATGTATACATGTGCCATGGTGGTTGCTGCACCCATCAACCCGTCATCTAGATTTTAAGCCCTGTATGCATTAGGTATTTGTCCTAATGCTATCCCTCCCCTTGCCCCCGACCCCCCCGAGCAGGCTCTGGTGTGTGATGTTCCCCTCCCTGTGTCCATGTGTTCTCATTGTTCAACTCCCACTTATGAGTGAGAACATGTGGTGTTTGGTTTTCTGTTCCTGTGTTAGTTTGCTGAGAATGATGGTTTCCAGCTTCATCCATGTCCCTGCAAAGGACATGAACTCATTCTTTTTTATGGCTGCATAGTTTTCCATGGTATATATTTGCCACAATTTCTTTATCCAGTCTATCACTGATCTGCATTTGGGTTGGTTCCATGTCTTTGCTATTGTAAATAGTGCTGCAATAAACATATGTGTGCACGTGTCTTTATAGTAGAATGATTTATAATCCTTTGGGTATATAGTAATGGGATTGCTGGGTCAAATGATATTTCTGGTTCTAGATCCTTGAGGAATTGCCTCACTGTCTTCCACAATGATTGAATTAATTGACACTTCTCAAACGCTTTCTCTTTTCATAAAAAAATCGTACTAGAATACTTTATCAACTTTGACTTCCATATCACTTGCAGTATCTCCTAGATTTATTTCTCTTACTATTTGAGTACTTCTTCCAAATGTGTCTTTGCTGTGGGTCTTTTTTATTTTTTATTTTGGCAAGCCCTCTAGGGCATTATATAAGTTAGAATATTTTATTATGTCCTCACATTTAAATGACAATTTAATATACTTAATTCTAGGTTCAAAGTTCTTTTCCTTCAATGCTTTAAAAATATTACTTCATTGTTGTCTTTCTTCAAATGTTGCCATTGAAAAGTCTAATGTCAATATGATTCTTGTTCTTACTAAATGATTTCTTCATTCTAGAAGCTTTAAAATTTATTTATTTTTTTATCGGTTATACCTACAGTTCTATATGTGGCATCAAGGTGTGTGTGTGTGTTTGTGTGTTTTATGCTTATCTCTTCTGTTTAATACTATGTGGAGGTTCTTTTGATCTTAGGTTAATTAATAATTCTGAGAACTTTCTGCCCATATGTTTTCACATCTTTCTCTTACTTTTTCTATCACATTTGAGGATTCCTGTTATCTGATGGTGGCACTTTTTTTAATCCTCCTTACTCTCAGTTCTTAATTTTATATTTTCTATCTCTTTATTCTTTTCTGTGGTTTTTTCTTTTTTTTTTTTTTTTTACCTGAGACAGGGTCTCACTCTGTCACCCAGGCTGGAGTGCAGAGTACAGTGATCATAGCTCACTGCAGTCTCGAACTCCTGGGCTCAAGCAATCCTCCCACCACAGCCTCCTGAGTGCTGGGACTGCAGGTGTGCACCAACACACTCAGCTAATTTTTAATTTTTAAAAAATTTTAGTAGAGTCAGGGGTGTCTCCCTTTTGCCCTGGCTAGTCTCAAATGCCAGGCCTCAAGTGATCCTGCTACCTTGGCCTTCCACAATACTGGGATTACAGTGAGACACTGAGCCCAACCTCCTGTGGCATTCTTTTATCTTAACTTTTATTTTAAGTTCAGGTGTACAAGTGCATATTTGTTATATAGGTAAACTTGTGTCATGGGAGTTTGTTGTTGTACAGATTATCTGATCACGCAGGTATTTAGCCTAGTACCCGTTAGTTATTTTTCCTGATCCTCTCCTTCCTTCCACCCTCCACCTTCTGAAAGACCCCAGTGTGTGTTTTCCTGTATGTCCATGTGTTCTCATAATTTAGGTCCCACTTATAGGTGAGAACATGTGGTATCTGGTTTTCTGTTCTGTGTTAGTTTGCTAAGGATAGTGGCCTCCAGCTCCATCCATGTCCTTGTAAAGGACATGATTTCATGCTTTTTAATGGCTGCATAGTATTCCATGGTGTATACAAACCACATTTTCTTTATGCAGTCTATTATTCTTTATATAGCCTATAAAGATTTCTTTATACAGCCTATCATTTAGGTTGATTCCATGTCTTTGCTATTGTGAATAGTGCTGCAGTGAACATATGCATGCATGTGTCTTTGTAATAGAATGATTTATATTCCTTCAGGTATATACCCATTAATGGGATTGCTGAGTTGAATGGTATTTCTGTCTTTAGGTCTTTGAGGAATCTCCACACTGTCTTCTCCAATGGCTGAACTAACTTACAATCCCACCAACAATATATAAACATTACTTTTTCTCCACAATTTCGCCAGCATCTGTAGTTTTTAATAATAGCCATCTGACTGGTAATAGATGGTATCTCATTGTGGTTTTGATTTGCATTTCTCTAATGATCAGTGATGTTGAGATTTTTTTCTTATGCTTGTTGGCCCCGTGTATATCTTCTTTTGAAAAGCATCTCTTCATGCCCTTTGCCCCCTTTTTGATGGGTTTGTTTTTTTTTCTTGTAAATTTGTTTAAGTTCTTTGTAAATTCTGGATGTTAGACCTTTGTCAGATAGGTAGATTGCAAAAATTTTCTCCCATTCTTTAGGTTGTCTGTTCGCTCTGATAATTTCTTTTGCTGTGCAGAAACTATTTAGTTTAATTAGATTCCATTTGTCAATTTTAGCCTTTGTTGCATTGCTTTTGGCGTCTTTGTCATGAAATCTTTGCCCATGCCTATGAATGGTGTTCCCTAGGTTGTCTTCCAGGGTTTTCACAGTTTTGGGTTTTACATTTAGTTCTTTATCCATCTTGAGTTAATTTTTGTATATGGTGTAAAGAAGGGGTCCAGTTTCAATCTTCTGCATATAGCTAGCCAGTTGTCCTTGCACCATTGTTGAACAGGGAATCCTTTCCCCATTGCTTGTTTTTGTCAGGCTTGTTGAAGATCAGATAGCTATAGGTGTGTGGTCTTATTTCTGGGTCCTCTATTGTGTTCCATTGGTCTGCGTGTCTGTTTTTGTGCCAGTATCATGCTGTTTTGTTTACTGCAGCCCTGTAGTATAGTTTGAAGTTAGGTAGTGTGATGCCTCTAGCTTTGTGCTTTTTGCTTAATATTGCTTTGGCTATTTGAGCTCCTTTATAATTCCATGTGAATTATAAAATAGTTTTCTCTACTTCTGTGAAGAATGTCAATGGTAGTTAAATAGGAATAGCATTGAATCTACAATTTGCTTTTCAGTATGGCCATTTTCACAATATTGATTCTTCCTATCTAAGCATGGAATTTTTTTTGTGTGTCATCTGTGATTTTTTTGCACGATGTTTTGTAGGTCTCCCTAAAGAGCCCTTTCATCTCCCTTGTTAGTTTCATTCCTAGGTATTTTATTCTTTTGGTGGCAATTGTGCATGGGAGTTCATTCCTGGTTTGGCTCTCGGCTTGACTGTTGTTGGTGTATGGGAATGCTAGTGATTTTTGCACATTGATTTTGTATTCTGAGACTTTGCTGAAGTTATTTATCAGCTTAAGAAGGTTTTGAGCTGAGTCTATGAAGTTTTCTAGATATAGGATCATGTCATCTGCAAACAGTGATAGTTTGACTTCCTCTCTTTCTATTTGGATGCCCTTTATTACTTTCTCTTGCCTGATTTCCCTGGCCAGAACTTCCAATACTATGTTGAATAGGAGTGGTGAGAGAGGGCATCCTTGTATTATGCCAGTTTTCAAGGGGAATGCTTCCAGCATTTGACCATTCAGTATGATATTGGCTGTGGGTTTGTCATATATGGCTGTTATTATTTTGAGGTATGTTCCTCCATACCCAATTTAATGAGAGCGTTTAATATGAAGGAGTGTTGAATTTTATAAAAAGCCTTTTTTGCTTCTATTTAGATAATCATGTGGTTTTTGTCTTTCATTCTGTTTATGTGATGAATCATATTTATTGATTTGTTGAACACACTTGCATCCTGGAGATGAAGCCTACTTGATCGTGGTGAATTAGCTTTTGATGTGCTGCTGGATTCAGTTTGCAAGTAGGGCTTTTTGAGAGAATTTCTTAGTCTTTATTTCTAATTTGATTGTTTTGTGGTCCAAGAGACTGTTTGTTATGATTTCAGTTCTCTTATATTTGCTGTGGAATGTTTTACTTCCAATTATGTGATTGATTTTAGAGTAAATGCCATGTTGTGTCAATGAGAAGAATGTATATTCTATTGTTTTTGAGTGGAGAGTTCTATCAGGTCCATTTGATCAGGTCATGAATATCTTTGTTAATTTTCTGTCTCAAAGATCTGTCTAATATTGTCAGTGGGGTGTTAAAGTCTCTCACTGTTATTGTGTGGGAGTCTGTATCTTTGAAGGTCTTAAAAAACTTGCTTTATGAATCTGGGTACATATATATTTAGGATAGTTAGATCTTCTTGTTGAATTGAACCCTTTACCATTATGTAATGCCCTTGTCTCTTATGATCTTATTGGTTTAAAGTCTATTTTGTCAGAAACTAGGATTGCAACCCTTGCTTTTTTCTGTCCCCCATTTGCTTGGTAGATTTTCCTCCATCCCTTTATTTTGAGTTTGTGTGTGTCACTGCATGTGAGATAGGTCTCTTGAAGACAGCATATCAATGGGTCTTGGTTCTTTATCAAGCTTGCAACTCTGTGTCTTTAAATTGGGGCATTTAGCCCACCTACATTTAAGGTTAGTATTAATATATGTGATTTTGATCCTGCCTTCATGATGTTAGCTGGTTATTTTAAAGACTTTTTTATGCAGTTGCTTTATAGTGTCACTGGTCTGTGTACTTTAGTGTGTTTTTGTAGTGGCTGGTAACAATTTTCCCTTTCCATATTTAGTGCTTCCTTCAGGGGCTCTTGTAAGGCACATCTTGTGGTAACAAATTCCCTCAGTATTTGCTTGTCAAAAAATTGTCTTATTTCTCCTTCACTTATGAAGCTTAGTTTGGCCAGATATGAAATTCTGAGTTGGAATTTCTTTTCTTTAAGAATGTTGAATATTGGCCCCCAATCTCTTCTGGCTTGTAAGATTTCAGCTGAGAGGTCCTTTGTTAGTCTAATGGGCTTCCCTTTATAGGTGACCTGGCTTTTCTCTGTAGCTGCCTTTAAAATTTTTTCTTTCATTTCCACCTCTGAGAATCTGATGATTATGTATCTTGGAGATGATCTTCTCATGGAGTATCTTACTGGGGTTCTCTCTTTGCATTTTCTGAATTTGAATGTTAGCCTCTCCAGCTAGGCTGGGGAAGTTCTCATGGATGATATCCTGAAATATGTTTTCCAAATTGGTTTTATTCTCCCCATCTCTTTCAGGTATACCAGTCACAGATTCAGTCTCTTTACATAATCCCATATTTCTTGGAGGTTTTGTTCACTCTGTTTTATTCTTTTTTCTCTACTCTTATCTGTTTGTCTTATTTCAGAAAGGCAGTCTTCTGCTCTGAGATTCTTTCCACTCTTGGTCTATTCTGTTGTTAAAACTCGGGATTGCATTATAAAATTCTTGTCATCTGTTTTTCAGCTTTATTGGGTCAGTTACATTCTCTGTACTGGCCATTTTGCCTGTCATCTCTTGCAATGTTTTATCATAATTTTTAGCTTCCTTGCACTGGGTTACAACACAGTCCTTTAGCTCAGTGAACTTCATTTCTATTCATATTCTGAATTCTATTTCTGTCATTTCAGCCATCTCAGCCTCAGCCCAGTTCTGAACCCTTGCTGGAGAGGTGATGTGGTCATTTGGAGGAAAGAGGGCACTCTGGCTTTTTGAATTTTCAGTGTTCTTATGCTGATTCTTTCTCATCTCTGTAGGCTTATCTGCCTTCAGTCTTTGAGGTTGCTAACCTTTGGATATTTTATTTAACAGTCTGGCCATTTTTCTGTCAGGCTACTGTGGTATGCCAGGGGTCTGCTCCAATCTCTAGTTGCCTCAGAATTTTTAGTACCTGGAGGAATCACCAATGAAGGCTGCAAAACAGGAAAGATGGCAGTCTGCCTCTTCCTCTGAGAGCTCCATCCCAAGGAGGTATGGACTTCTTTCTGGCCTGAAAAAACCTGTAGGAGGTGGCTGATGACCCCAGGAGGGTCCCACCCAATCAGGAGGAATGAGATTGGGGACCCACATATAAAAGTAGTCTGGCCAAGTTTTTATATAGCAGCTTTGCTGTACTCAGGGTCTACTTCAGCCCCTGGTCACTTTGGATACTCTGAAGCCCAAAGGTTGGAACAGCTAAGTCACCCAAACAGCAAAGATGGTGGCCTGCCCCTCCTTCTGGGAGCTCTGTCTCAGGTAGGCCTGAAATCTCTGTCAGCTGGAGGACATTGATGGGGGTAGCCAGAGACCCTGGTTGGGAGGCTCCACCTGGTGATGAGGAATGGGTTCAGGGACTCACTTAAAAAAGTAGTCTGGCAATGTTTTTGTGGGGCTTCTCTGCTGTCTGGGGTACCACTTCTACCCCTGGTTGGCTTGGATTCTCCATAGCCTGAAGGCTGGAACTGTTAAGTTGCCCAGACAGCAAAGATGGTGGCCCACTGCTCATTCTCAGAGTTCTGTGCCAGGGAGTTTTCAAATTTTTGTAGGCCAGAGAATACCAAAGGGTGTGGCAGGAGGCCCTAGTTAGGAGGTTCTGCCCAGTGAGGAGAAACAGCATCGGGGACCTGCTTAAAGAAGCAGTATGGCCACACTTTTGTGGAGCAGCTGTGCTGTGCTGGGGTATGAAATAAAGTGTGAAGACAAGATTAGAGAAAAAAGCAAAAAAAGGAATGAACAAAGCCTCCAAGAAATATGGGGCTATGTGAAAAGACCAAACCTATGTTTCATTGGCGTACCTGAAAGTGATGGGGAGAATGGAAACAAGTTGTAAAACACTCTGCAGGATATTATCCAGGAGAACTTCCCCAATGTAGCAAGACAGGCCAACATTCAAATTCAGGAAACATAGAGAACGTCATAAAGATACTCCTTGAGAAGAGCAACCCAAAGACACATAATCGTCGGATTCACCAAGGTTGAAATGAAGGAAAAAATGTTAAGGGCAGCCAGAAAGAAAGGTCGGGTTACCCACAAAGGGAAGCCCATTAGACTAACAGTGGATTTCTCTGCAGAAAGCCTACAAGCCAGAAGGCAGCGGGGGCCAATATTCAACATTCTTAAAGAAAAGGATTTTCAACCCAGAATTTCATATTCAGCCAAACTAAGCTTCATAAGTGAAGAGAAATAAAATCCTTACAGACAAGCAAATGCTGAGGGATTTTGTCACTACCAGGCCTGCCTTACAAGAGCTCCTGAAGGAAGCACTAAATATGGAAAGGAAAAACCAATACCAGCCACTGCAAAAACATACCAAAATGTAAAGACCATTAACACTATGAAGAAACTGCATCAACTAATGGGCAAAATAACCAGCTAGCATCATAATGACAGGATTGAATTCCACATAACAATATTAAACTTAAATGTAAATGGGCTAAATGCCCCAATTAAAATACACAGACTGGCAAATTGGATAAAGAGTCAAGATCCATCAGTGTGCTATATTTAGGAGACCCATCTCATGTGCAAAGACACACATTGGCTCAAAATAAAGGGATGGAGGAAGATCTACCAAGAAAATGGAAAGCAAAAAAAAAAGCAGGAGTTGCAATCCTAGTCTCTGATAAAACAGACTTTAAACCAATAAAGATCAAAAAAGAAAAGAAGGCCATTACGTAATGGTAAAGGGATCAATGCAACAAGAAGAGCTATGCTAAATATATATGCAGCCAATACAGTAGCACCCAGATTCATAAAGCAAGTTTGTAGAGATGTACAAAGAGACTTAGAGTCCCACACAATAATAGTGGGAGACTTTAACACCCCACTGTCAATATTAGATCAATGAGACAGAAAATCAACAAGGATATTCAGGACTTGAACTCAGCTCTGGACCAAGCAGAACTAATAGACATCTACAGAACCCTCCACCCTGAATCAATAGAACATACATTCTTCTCAGCATCACATAGCACTTCTTCTAAAATTGACCACATAATTGGAGGTCAAACTCCTCAACAAATGCAAAAGAATGGAAATCATTAACAGTCTATCAGACCACAATGCAATCAAATTAGAACTCAGGATTAAGAAACTCACTGAAAACTTTACAACTACATGGAAACTGAACAACCTGCTCCTGGAAGACTACTGGGTAAATAACGAAATTAGGGCAGAAATGAATTTCTTTGAAACCAATGAGAACAAAGACACAATGTACCAGAATCTCTGGGACACAGGTAAAGAAGTGTTTAGAGGGAAACTTATAGCACTAAATGCCCATGGGAGAAAGCAGGAAAAATCTAAAATCAACCTCCTAACATCACAATTAAGAGAACTAGAGAAGCAAGAGCAAACAAACTTAAAAGCTAGCAGAAGCCAAGAAGTAACTTAAGATCAGAGCAGAACTGAAGGGGACAGAGACACTAAAAACCCTTCAAAAAATCAATGAATCCAGGAGCTGGTTTTTTGAAAAGATTAACAAAATAGATAGACCACTAGCCATAATAATAAAGAAGAAAAGGGAGAAGAGTAAAACAGACACAATAAAAAATGATAAAGGGGAGATTACCACTGATCCCACAGAAATACAAAATACCATCAGAGAATACTATAAACACCTCTACATAAACTAGAAAATCTAGAAAAAAAATGGATAAATTCCTGGACACATACACCTTCCTGAGACTAAACCAGGAAGAAGTCAAATCCCTGAATAGAGCAATAACAGGTTCTAAAGTTGAGGCAGTAATTAATAGCCTACCAACCAAAAAAATCCCAGGACCAGATGGAGTCACAGCCGAATTCTACCAGAGGTACAAAGAGGAGCTGGTACCATTCCTTCTGAAACTATTCCAAACAACAGAAAAAGAGGTACTCCTCCCTAATTCATTTTATGACCCCAGCATCATCCTGATACCAAAACCTGGCAGAGACACAACAAAAAAAGAAAATATCCCTGATGAACATCAATGCAAAAGTCCTGAATAAAATACTAGCAAACCGGCCAGGCATGGTGGCTCAAGCCTGTAATCCCAGCACTTTGGGAGGCCAAGGGGGGTGGATTACCTGAGGTCAGGAGTTTGAGACCAGCCTGGCCAATACAGTGAAACCCCGTCTCTACTAAAAAAAATACAAAAATTTGCTGGGCCTGGTGGTGGGCACATGTAATCCCAGCTACTCACTCAGGAAGCTGAGGCAGGAAAATTGCTTGAACTCAGGAGGTGGAGGTTGCAGTGAACCGAGATCCGCACCACTGCGCTACAGCCTGGGCAAGAGAGCGAGACTTCATCTCAAAAAAAAAAAAAAAAAAAATACTGGCAACCGAATCCAGCAGCACATTAAAAAGCTTATCCACCACAGTCAAGTCAGCTTCATCCCTGGGATGCAAGGCTGGTTCAACATATGCAAATCAATGAATGTAATCCATCGCATAAACAGAACCAATGACAAAAACCAGTGATTATCGCTATAGATCCTGTGGCATTCTTAATCTGATCTTTCAGCTCATCAGTTTCCCATTCAGCTGGATCCATCCTATTATTTACCCTATTTTTTAAAATTTCCATTATTAAATTTTTATTTCTAATACTTTATCATGTTTGTTTTTCTTTCATTTTTCTTGTTTTGTATTGATAGTATATTTATCCTCAAACGTATATTTGTTACACTTATTCTAAGTTCTTGATCTTTCTGTTCCAATAATTGTGCTTTATATATTTTATGTCATCAAGTTCATTATTTTTCTTTGGAGGTAGTTTTATTCTTCAGGTACTTAAGTATTTGACTGTGAGCTTTGATTTTCTTAAGGATATCAGCTACTCTGTTTGGTAATGAGGAGACACTGGTCAAACAGTAGTCTGTTGGTCCTGGCAAGTTGAAGGAGACTGAAGAGGGTATCTCTTAGGATGGAAAGCCCCAAGTGCCACAAATTCACAGTCAATTCTGTTTGCTATCATCCCTTCCCTTCCCCCACCGTCAATAGGAGTTTTAGGGGAGAGTTTCTTTTTAAGTTATTATTTCATATTTCATGGATTTCATGTCTTCCTCTGTCATTTTCTCCAAGCTCAGTTTGGGGAACCAGCAGTCTGTGTTAGTTCACCATTTTGTCCAAAACTGAAAACTCTTTGGTTTTGATCATCACCTCCTTATTTTGTGAGCAGGGTAGAGACTCAAATATCCTCTCCTTAAAGTCCTGATGAATGGCAACATAAGTAATGATCCTTTCAAATATAAAGGTCACAATAGTTGATTTTTAAAAAATTGTATTTGAAATATGAAACAGCTGTCTCCAAGAAAAGAGAGCAAAGCTTTGTTTTTTCCTTTTTGGACTCTGAGATAGCAGTGTGGTCTGCTTTGGAGCTTAGGATCAGTAACAAAAAAAAAACAAAGCCAGAGAAATACCACATTAGTGTTTTGTACATTAAGAACTATGCATTCATTTTTACTTAATTTAACAAAAAGAACAGTGAAATAAAAATAAAAAATATAGGAAAAGGTATACAAAACCTAATTTCAAAACATAAAATAAGGTTGCCAGATAAAATATAGTGTGCCCAGTTAAATTTGAATTTCAGATAAGCAACAAATAATTGTTTAGTATAATTATGTCCCAAGCAATATTTTTGTTTTCCTTCCAGGGCACATATGCCCCCATGTAGCTTTTTCCCTGGAGTAAGGCAGTTTGATCTTTAGATAAATCTGGCTTCAAAGCCCACCTCCATCTCTATTTTTTTTTTAATTTTTTATCTTGTGATTTCTTCTTTTTTTATTATTATACTTTAAGTTCTGGGATACATACACAGAGCATGCAGATTTGTTACACAGGTACACATGTGCCATGGTGGTTTGCTGCACCCATCAACCCATCATCTAGGTTTTAAGCCCCACATGCATTAGGTATTTGTCCTAATGCTATCCCTCCTCTTGCCCCCTGCCCCCCAATAGGCCCTGTGTGTGATATTCCCCTCCCTGTGTCCATGTGTTCTCATTGTTCAACTCCCACTTATGAGTGAGAATCTGTGTTGTTTGGTTTTCTGTTCCTGTGTTAGTTTGCTGAGAATGATGGTTTCCAGCTTCATCCATGTCCCTGCAAAGGACATGAACTCATTCTTTTTTATGGCTGCATAGTATTCCATGGTTTATATGTGCCACATTTTCTTTATCCAGTCTATCATTGATAAGCATTTGGGTTGGTTCCAAGCCTTTGCTATTGCAAATAGTGCTGTGATAAACATACGTGTGCATGTGTCTTTAAAGTAGAATGATTTATAATCCTTTGGGTATATACCCAGTAATGGGATTGCTGGGTCAAATGGTATTTCTGGTTCTAGATCCATGAGGAATCACCACACTGTCTTCCACAATGGTTGAATTAATTTACATTCCCACCAACAGTGTAAAAGCATTCCTATTTCTCTGCATCCTCTCTAGTATCTGTTTTTTCCTGACTTTATAATGATCGTCATTCTAACTGGCGTGAGATGGTATCTCATTACGGTTTTGATTTGCGTTTCTCTAATGACCAGTGATGATGAACTTCTTTTTTCATATGTTTGTTGGATGCATAAATGTCTTCTTCTGAGACATGTCTATTCATATCCTTTGTCCACTCTTTGATGGGGTTGTTTTTTTCTTGTAAATTTGTTTAAGTTCCTTGTAGATTCTTTATATTAGATCTTTATCAGACAGATAGATTGCAAACATTTTCTCCCATTCTATAGGTTGCCTGTTCACTCTGATGATAGTTTCTTTTGCTGTGCAGAAGCTCTTTAGTTTAATTAGATCCCATTTGTCAATTTTGGCTTTTGTTTCAATTGCTTTCGGTGTTTTAGTCATGAAGTCTTTGACCATGCCTATGTCCTGAATGGTATTGCCTAGATTTTCTTCTAGGGTTTTTACAGTTTTAGGTCTAACATTTAAGTCTTTAATCCATCTTGAGTTAATTTTTGTATAAGGTGTAAGGAAGGGGTCCAGTTTCAATTTTCTGCACATGGCTAGCCAGCTTTCCCAGCACCATTTATTAAATAGGGATCCCTTCCCCATTTCTTGTTTTGTCAGATTTGTCTAAGATCAGATGGTTGTAGATGTGTGGTGTTATTTCTGAGTACTCTATTCTGTTCCATTGGTCTATATATCTGTTTTGGTACCATTACCATGCTGTTTTGGTCACTGTAGCCTTGTAGTATAGTTTTAAATCAGGTAGCATGATGCCTCCAGCTTTGTTCTTTTTGTTTACGATTGTCTTGGCTATACAGGCTCTTTTTTGGTTCCGTATGAAATTTAAAGTAGTTTTTTCTAGTTCTGTGAAGAAAGTCAATGGTAGCTTGATGGGAAGAGCATTGAATCTATAAATTACTTTGGGCTGTATGGCCATTTTCACAATATTGATTCTTCCTATCCATGAGCATGGGATGTTTTTCCATTTGTTTGTGTCCTCTCTTATTTCCTTGAGCAGTGGTTTGCAGTTCTCCTTGAAGAGGTCCTTCACCTCCCTTGAAAGTCATATTCCTAGGTATTTTATTTTCTTTGTAGCAATTGTGAATGGGAGTTCACTCATGATTTGTGTCTCTATTATTGGTGTATAGGAATGCTTGTGATTTCTGCATATTGAGTTTGTATCCTGAGACTTTGCTGAAGTTGCTTATGAGCTTAAGGAGATTTTGGGCTGAGACAATGGAGTTTTCTAAATATACAATCATGTCATCTGCAAACAGAGACAATTCGACTTCCTCTCTTCCTATTTGAATACCCTTTCTTTCTTTCTCTTGCCCAATTTCCCTGGCCGGAACTTCCAATACTATGTTGAATAGGAGAGGTGAGAGAGGGCATCCTTGTCTTGCCAGTTTTCAAAGGGAATGCTTCCAGCTTTTGCCCATTCAGCATGATATTGGCTATGGTTTTGTCATAAATAGCTCTTATTATTTTGAGATATATTCCATCAATACCCAGTTTATTGAGAGTTTTTAGCATGAAAGGGTGTTGAATTTTATTGAAGACCCTTTCTGCCTCTATTGAGATAATCATGCAGTTTTTGTCGTTGGTTCTGTTTATGTGATGGATTACATTTATTGATTTGTGTATGTGGAACCAGCCTTGCATCCTAGGGATGAAGCTGACTTGATCCTGGTGGATAAGCTTTCTGATGTGCTGCTGGATTCAGTTTGCCAGTATTTTATTGAGGATTTTCTCATTGATGTTCATCAGGGATATTGGCCTGAAATTTTCTTTTTCTGTTGTGTCTCTGCTAGGTTTTGGTATCAGGATGATGCTGGCCTCATAAATTGAATTAGGGAGGAGTCCCTCTTTTTGTGTTGTTTGGAATAGTTTCAGAAGGAATGGTACCAGCTCCTCTTTCTACCTCTGGTAGAATTCAGCTGTGACTCCATCTGGTCCTGGGCACTTTTTGGTTGGTAGGCTATTAATTACTGCCTCAATTTCAGAACTTGTTATTGCTCTATTCAGGGATTCGACTTCTTCCTGGTTTAGTCTCGGGAAGGTGTATGTGTCCAGGAATTTATCCATTTCTTCTAGATTTTCTAGTTTATTTATGTAGAGGTGTTCATAGTATTCTCTGATGGTATTTTCTATTTCTGAGGGATCAGTGGTGATCTCCCCTTTATCATTTTTTATTGTGTCTATTTTATTCTTCACCCTTTTCTTCTTTATTAGTATGGCTCATGGTCTATCTATTTTGTTAATCTTTTCAAAAAACCAGCTCCTGGATTCATTGATTTTTTTTAAGGGTTTTCAGTGTCTCTATCCCCTTCAATTCTGCTCTAATCTTAGTTATTTCTTGTCTTCTGCTAGCTTGTGAGTTTGTTTGCTCTTGCTTCTCTAGTTCTTTTAATTGTGATTTTAGGGTGTCTGTTTTGGATCTTTTCTACTTTCTGATGTGGGCATTTAGTGCTATAAATTTCCCTCTAAACACTTCTTTAGCTGTGTCCCAGAGATTCTGGTACCTTGGGTCTTTATTCTCATTGGTTTCAAATAACTTATTTTTGCCCTAATTTCATAATTTACCCAGTAGTCATTCAGGAGCAGGTGCCCACCTCCATCTCTAGCTGGGTGACCTAAGCAATAAATCTGAACCCCAACTTCCTTCTTTATGAAATGGGAATAAATCTACATACCTTGTAGGTTGTTGCTAGAACCAATTGTGATAAGGTGTGTAAATGCCTAGAACAGTGCAGGACACCTAAGAGGTGCTGATAACATTATTTATCTTTCCTAATTCAAAGGAAAAATTACCATTATCTCAAAACTAATATCAATAACTGAAAGTTTTTTCTGTTAAAAAATTAGTATCAGCCTATGTATTTACTGATCTGCTATAAAATGTTACAGCACATAGAAAACAGAAACTGGCACATATGTAAGACATCTGAAGAATAATTAGTCTGTGCTATTATGTAAGTTTTATGAATAAACATTTTTGGGGAGTCCAGGTGTTTTGATATATTTAAAGCATAAGTGTCTTCAGACATGGAGCTTAAATTAGTCTTTATCTTGGCCTTGAATTTTCCTTTATCCACTCAACAATGGTAAGGTAGGATATCCCCTTTTAAAATCCCTCCTAATGACATCTAATGATAGTTGAGATGTAAAGTTGAATGACTAAGCTAACTGTTATTCATTTTCACAATCATTTTCTATGGGAGTTGTCTAGAATAAGTGTATTCTACTTGTGTTGCCAAAGGATTCTAACTGGTATAGATATTCTGGCATTGTGTATTTGGGTTTTGTAGCACAAAGCATTTTGGGGTTTTATCACACAGGTTAGAATCCTCACTCAAACTCATTACAGTAGCTCCTTGGAGGTTTTTCAGTAACAAGGTGCTAATCTAGTAATAACCACAACCATTTGTTGACTATTTACCCTGTTACAGATGTTTTATAAACATTATTTTATCTTTTACAACAACCATGAAAGGTAGATGCATAATCTCAATAATTCAGATGGGGAAACTGAGGATCAGGGGGGTTAAAGCACTCGCCCAAAGTCAAGGAACTCGTACATGACAGAGCTGGGATTGAAACCTGTCTTTGCTGACTCTGGTACTTTTCTGCTTTCCACTGCTCCAACATGGCTTCAGAAATTTTAAATGAGGGGAAAACCCCATACACCCCTAAATCTCCCCTCATTTTATTTCATCTCATTGTAAGGGGCTTGCTTATTCAACTTATCAAGGACACAGACATGGCTAAAATGTCAGCATCCATCTAACTTATTTCACTTGTGATCCAAAATGATATTGAAACTCTGCTCTCCTGAGAGATGAAAAGTTGGTGGGTTATTGCATTTGTTGGTTTGTTGCTTAAAAATGATTAATTGTGTTCAGAGCTCCTCAGCTGTTTCTCTTGCCCTAGTGCTGAGGTAGTGAACTGGGATGGGGGCTGGGGGAAGAAACAAGGCAAGGGAGGCAGGTCAGTTTTGCTTTCATTGACAGTGAAAGCAGTTAATAGTTTATGGAGAGCAAGCTCCCTTGCTAAACTTTGCTGCCAGTACTGCCGCTGCGGTGAGATGATGTCTGGGGCCAACCCTTTGTTGGAGGGGGCAGGATGATGGGGCAAATAATGACAAGGGGGCTCCCTCCTTCCGTTTATTATCCACAGTTTCAAAAAAGTGAATGCAAGAGAAAGAGACCATAATGGGGAAAATTTGACATCATAGCCTGGTGATCCCAGTGAGGCTGGTGCCTTCTGTCCCTGCCTCTTGCTTCTGGAGCAAATTAGGCTTATATGAGGCTCAGAATCTCCCAAGAACCGAGAAGTGCAGTACATTTTCCTGAAAGTCATGGTGACAGGTGGGAATGTGGCCAAACACCCCACACCATTCGTTCATCATCTCTTTTAACAGGCTGCTGCTGTGCAAGGTTCTCAGGGGCCAACTCGTGCTAGCCAGCTCCCCAGCCTCTCTGACTTCCTTTAGGAGGCTGGCTATTTTGCCTTGCCTGACCTTGGGGTGTGGTGGAGGAGAGAATTTCAAATAAGTGAATCAACTTCATCAGAAAGCCTGCTTAGTGTTTTATTTTGTGCTACATGTGAATAGTAAGCTCATTTCATTTCCACAGCAATTCTTTATTTAAAGGTAGGTATAATTTTCTCTGTTTTACAGGATATATAACTGAGGTCCAGGAAGTTAAGTAAATTCCCTAAGACCCACCACTAGGAAGTGGTAAAAGAAGGATTCCAACTCATGTTTGTCTCCTTGTGGTCCTTCTGGTGACACTGATTCCTCTCAGCTGGGATGGTCTTCCAAGTTGAGAGGACAGCCCTCACTACCCCCTAGAAACATGAACAATAATGATCATGGTGAACAAGGATGGTGATCATCTCAGAAAGAATGAATGCTCCTTCACTGGAAGCTCTCAGATTTTGTTTGAATTTCATCTTGTCTGATTTACAGAAATTAATGAGCTACTAGATCTAGAACTGGTGTGTCTTGATAAAATGACTTATTTTTAGTGCTTTAGCATTTAAAAGGATCTGTTATAATTTCATGCTTAAATAACACCAGATAAGGGTCTGTGTTTGTCTAGTGTAATTGGAAGAAGCAATGGAAAAGGAAACAGTTTCTTCTAAACAAATGGCATGAATGCATCCCGGGAGAAATTTGAAGATAGAGAAACCTCCCAATAAAACAAACACCAGGGTTTTAAGTATTCTCCTTGGAGAGCATTTCCCATAGTCCACAGATGGCCTTTAAGGACACAGAGACCTACACAAGGAGGCTGGAGATGTGTGTGGGGTGGCAGTGGGCGTTGGAAGCCAGGGGCAGGGTTGCCTCAGTGAAGAAGTGCAGCTATCCATCAAAAAGCCTACTTAGGTTGCTTGAAAACAGTGGGGAAAACACAGGAGTGAACCTCCCTCCCTTCTTGGACTCTGGCAGGGCTGATTTATGGACTTGTCCCTGTGCCTTTAACATCAACATCCTCAGGGCCTCTGAGACCACCTAAGTCACAGTACCCAAGGCAATGGGAAAAAGCTGGCTGAAATAACTAAAGCTGGGAGAGGTTAGAGACTATGATATAGTAAAACGACTGCTCTCCCAGACGTCTGGACCTCTGAATCACCCACAGGCCACTGAGCCTCTTTCCTTCCCTGCTCTCTCTAAAGGCTTTTCCTGCCTGGGAGCCTCTTCCTTCTGCATCCTCTTCCCAGCGGTACCTATTGGCCCCGCCCCTCCCATGGCCATGCCCCCTCCACACTCAGCCAGCACCCAGTCCCGCTCCCGCCAGCCCCTTTCTCCCATGGTAAAATTTTGCTCTCTTTGTACATTTACATTTCTGCTGACTGCAAGGATCAGTTTAATTTCATGGGTGTCATTTCCTTCAAGAAATCTCTGTCTGAGCAGCGGCCCATCGAATCCCCGGTAAAACATATTTTCCTACGGTAATGATTTTATGGGCCCATAAGTCATGAATTTATTATGATCTCAGCCCTTGCTGCTGATTGCTGTAAAATGCAAAGTAATTAACAGCGAGCGGTAGCAGTTATTCCCACCTGGTAACGTGTTCCTTCGTTCGCTGATGGGTTTGATTAAAGTAATGACTAAAGAGTGAAGCCCGGCTGTAAAATATTAGCATGATTATTGCTGTATCCTAAATAAGAAACAAAACTAATGGGTATGGTCTGAGAAATTAAAAAAATACACACACAATCCTTCCTCTCCCCCCACTCCCATCTCCCTTAAGCAATTGTTATGGCTCATTTAAGGTGTGTCTTCCTTCCCATTAAATAATGTATGGATTCCAAGGCCAGAGGCTGGCTAGCAGAGCATATCACACAGTTCTCATAACGTTTAAAGTGCTGGTGTTAAGTTATTTCCTTTTCTCTTCGATGTGCAGAATGGAGCTTGGATGGGGGTATTATTTGAGCTAAAGCCTACAGAGCTGCTAAAAGGCTTTCTCCCACTCTACATGAGGCAGGGGTCTTTGGTTAGGGCTACCCCAACCATAGAGATATGCTTGAAATTGATGAGTCTCAGTCACCTTTCCCAACCTTAGGAATAATTTGTTTCTATTGTCACGTTGGTCTGGGGATACACAACAACTCACACAATGCCTATTTTGATGCCCAAACAGTTAACTGCCCTTTACGCTGGTGCTATGAGGAGGTCAAGCTTCTTGAAGCTCCACCTTCCCTGGAAGACCAGGTAGGAAGCTCAGCTGTGAGTTGGCTCCAAGGCAGTCCTGCTCATGGCATGCCAGTGTCTTCCCCTCTCAACTCTGAGAGCACTCCACACTCCAGAGAGCCAAGAGACCGTAAACAGGTACTGTTCTCCTGGAGTATGTATGGGCAGGCAGTGGGACAGGGAGTGGGCTGGAGGACATGGCCTGCTTGCTGAGGAGGTCATGGAGAGATAGGAGGGATCTGCTTCTGCTCTTCTCCAGTGGTCCTGAATTAAATTCACCTTACATCTTTGTAGGTTGGAAGAGAACAGCCAGAAGAGAGTCAGGATATGCAGGAAGCTATGTGCCAAGGGAGATCCCTCAAGTATTTGGCTCTAGAAAGATTGTTTTGCCAAGGGTGAGATGACTGAGGCTGCAGGAAGACAAAAGTCCATTTGATTAACTCAATATTGCATACCTAGTATATGACAGTCATAGGAATACACTCTCTACCATTAAGAAACTTCTAGTCTAGAAACATAATGCAAGGGGAAGATGATCAAAAAACCTCATTTGCAAGGGACAGGAATAAAGAGAAGTGGTACCTTGGAAAGGGACTTGTGGCCATGATATCCTCAGGGAGAGGTATGGACAAGTGGCTGAAGGGAGAATGCCACACTGCCACTGTGGGAGGTTGAAGTGACTCTTCTGCACACCTCGTGAATTTGGAAGGGAAAAGACCATTTCTTATGGGGAAAAATGGGCATCATTTTTCTGATTCATAACCATGGAGACCAGGAAAAACAGTACTATAAATGTGCACCTCTCTCTGCTTCAGAAGAGCTCAAAGCATTTAAAAAATACAAGGTCCTTATGAAGAAAGAGGTGAGGGACAGGCATGCATGGCCCCATTTTAAAGATTCAGGGACCTAATTATGGAGAAAGAAGTGATTGGCCCAAAGCTGCTCTCAGTAAGGGGCAGACGCAAGGTCAGACCCTGTGTCTTTCCTATTAACCAACTGGTAGCTGTTTGTTCAATGGGTTGTGCTTCACATGCCAAAGTTTTGGAGGCTACACTTCCAAACCAATGGACCACCTGGCTGTGTTGGGTCATCCACCAGCAGTGGCTATTATCATGACTCTGCTCTCAATCCAAGGAATATCACATGTGCCGTGCTGGGACAGTACCAGGCAGAAAAGCACCAGGTTTCTCCTTATAGTAGAAAGACAGCTGTTTCCCAAATGGAAGGTACTCCTGCATTTTCCTAATCATGGATGAAGCAGAGACAAAGTGAGGTTGTGTTTCAGGTGAGAGGAAATAGATCTATAAAAATACTTTTTATTCTTCTCTTCCCCTTCCTTCTCAATCATTTAAAAAATAACACTTGTTGCATCATATCTCAGAAAAAATATAATGAACATGCACGTTTTTGCCTTTACTTCTCTGGCTCTTGCTCCTTATAAGGGGAAGATGAAGGAAAAGTTATTGGGATCGCAGTGCTGGCACCAGGAAGATAAATGTGAAGCCCTCCCTCTCTCCGCCACTGAACAGGTCAAAAAATGATTGCATTGGGCGTGAAGGATTTATGTCTGCAGTGAGTCAGTCAGAGTGTTGGGGTAAATCAAGGCTGACATTTTTAGCATCTGGGAAAAAAAAGCAATTGCATTTTATGTCTACATTTTGCTTGGCTAATCAAGGTGCGGAAGAGGCACTCTTCCTGGGGAAACTTTCCCACTTTTTATTATTTAGGTAGAGTTTGGTTTTTCCCATAGAAACATGAAGCAAGGCTTCAGGTTAAAGAAAGGAAAAGGCCCTCCCTGTCAGTTCTGACTTGGAGAGATTTTAATTTGGCAGAAGGGGATCTGGGGAGGGACTGGACATGTGAGCTACCTGAACAGTCTTAGGGATAGCTCTGGAGCAAGGGGGTGGATGACCACTTTTGCAATGAATTTCATCTCTCCATAGGCCTCTAGCAGGACCTAGGACATAACAGAAACATTAGGGGCGGGTGGGGAACTAGTTTGATGCTTTTGACTAAATTGACCAGCTACTAATTGATTACTAATCAGTCCTTTAGCTGAAGCAACCAGTGAAATACCTACACAGCTTAGTTAAAACTGTTGACCCTGTTGATGCATATTGACATAGTTCAAGATCAAGCCACAGTTAATGTGTGCAAGGGGAAAAGACAGATGAACAAATTATCTAGCAACTTTTTTTTAGCTTTGCATTTCAAGGTCAGTTTATCTAAGTGCTTTGCCTTAGTAAATGAAAATGTATTTGGATTTCAAAAGTGTTATATTTTGCATGAGGGACAAGATTCAGCAAATATTACTTTCGTATGTTAACAGATAGTAATCATGGTAGCTAATGTTTTAGAGGGAGGGGGTTTACTATATAAAGTGCTTAATAACTTTATATATATGATCTCATTAAATCTCCATTGCTCCAGGAGCTAGTTATGATCCCCATTTATCAATGGGGAAACTGATGGATAAACCCGAGGTTATATCCAGCTCTTCTTAGCTAGTAAAAGCTAGAGAAGTTTATTGAACCAAGGGAATTCTGCCTTCATAGCCTTCATCCCTAACTTCTATGCATGCTACTTCAGATTTGATCAAAGCAGCTATGCACATTCTAACAATTTTGGGAATAAGAGATTCAACAAAAACAGATTTCATGGATGTTCAGATTTTCTTTTTGTGGGCTTGAAAAAGGTTAGGAACCAGCCACAGGTCCTGCAACTAGGTACTTATGATGATAGTAATAGCTAAAATGTATTGCTCACTTGTCATGTGTCAGGCACTGTGTTAAGCTCTTTATGTATATTTACTCATAGAAGTCCCACATAGCTCTAAACAAGTCGGCCTATTATGATCCTATGTTCCAGGTGAAAAAAATTGAGGCACCGAGAAGTTTAGATTCTTTTCCATGCATTTAGCTAACAAGTGACAGCCAGGATGGGACACCAGGCACATTGACATCAGAGCCATCACACATAATTTTCTGGATAGCCCTTGCGGTGGCTTTGCCATGCTCATGGAACGTGTTTCTGGTGAGGCAATGGTGTTGGCAGTTGTTAGTTGTTTGCCTTCCTTCTTGTGTGTGTGTGCCCTCAAATAATTGCTTTGTGATGTCTGACTAAAGAGACTTCCAAGTTCTCTTTAAAAAAATTTAAATACTCTTCCTTTATTAGCACATACTGAATTTAAAAATAATGGAAAAAAAATTATTTGATTGGGAGGCTGAGGCAGGCCAATTACTTGAGGTTGGAGTTCGAGACCAGCCTGGGCAACATGGTGAAACCCCATCTCTACTAAAAATACAAAAATCAGCTGGACACGGTGGCATACACCTGTAATCCCAGCTACTCAGGAGGCTGAGGCAGGAGAATCACTTGAACCCAGGAAGCAGAGGTTGCAGTGAGCTGAGATGGCACCACTGCACTCCAGTCTGGGCAACAGAGTGAGACTCCATCTCAAAAACAAAAACAAAAAAATATTATTTGAGATTTCAATTAGTGCTTTATTGCCCAGGGCCCTAGGACTCCTAGAAGTCCTTTAAGGAGGTAGCGGAGACCTTAAAGAAATGTTCTGTATATTTAAAAACTGAACTGAAATGGATTTACTGATAATAAGGCTTCAGAGGGTAACTCAAACACCAAGTTCGTGGAATTATATTAGCTCAGTGAGGTAATGCGGATTATTGCATACTGATTGTTCTTTGATGAATAAACATAGGGGAATGGAGAATTCTTTAATAAAGGTTGTCAATGAGACAAAAACATTAAAAATAGGAAACCTTAGAGGAAAAAGAATAGAGGAGGTCCTTGGTGACAGAAAGCCTGGGAGCCCCTGATATAAAGCCTTGTTCTTTTTGTTCCCTGTCCCTTGGTTATTTGTTTGAAATGTTATCAAAATACCTTTCAAAGACCAGTGATGTAATTTATGTAAAGTGTTATGCAAATACCAGTTTTTGTTATTAATATTAGCAGTAATAGTTATGATAATGATCTTGCTGTGGCACATGTGATTTCATTAACAATTATATCAAGAACCTTTAAAATTAAGGAATTTTAAACATTTCATTTCCTAGGGTTAGATTTAACTTCTTCCCCAAACCCTGCATTAGCACAGTCGTGCCCTGACATGCCGTGTGCTCTGTGTATGTGTACATGCTTGTTTAATGCATCACACGTGTGTGTGCATGTGTGCAGTGCCCATAGTTTTGTGAGTTTTGTATTGCTCTTACCCCCTCTGCCTTGTACAGCTGCACATTATAAGATTCTTTGTTCAGAAAACTTGTTTGAAAGGGCGATGAAGCATTTGGATCGAGGTGTGGGTTTTTACTCCCACATTTTTTGCCAATAATTAGACAAACTTTACCACCAAATCTTCTTTTGCCTCTGTGGAGGATGAAGGGTCTGGGAGAAACTGGATTTGAAAATCTGATCTGGCTGTCACATTGTTCGGGGGCTGTGCCTACACACACAAGTTGGTTTGAATGTCACAAAGAGGTTACGAACTTGTGTTTCCAGGTATGCTCCTATCATATATACCTGGTGCCAAAAATGGATTTGACTTCATTCTTCCTTTTTAACTAGTTGTTTTGATGCACTTTGGAGACAGTCTGAATAATGCTATTAATTGGGCAGAGATTAGCACATAATCAAATCACATCTGCTTTAAAAAAAAGTCAGAGCCCTCTTTACTAAAATAGCATAAAGTATAAATTGATTCATAGCAACCTAGCTCTATATTCCTGATTAAAAAAGAAAGTTATCAGTAGAATAAGATTGGTACCTGCTCTAATATTTGTTATCACCCCTTCTTAGTCTGCTTCTGTATGTTTCCTTTCTCTTATTTCCTTTATCTTGTATCTATCTGGCTGCTGCTTCAACCTGGCTCACACCACCAGCAAGCTGAGTGTCCTCGTGAACACCCCAGTTCATTCTCAGGGTCCCTGTCTTACTCCAGAGCTCTCTTCTGCTTCTCTCCTTTGTGTAAAGCTGTCTTCTCTTCGTGCCTTGGGTCTTGCTGGTCTCTTTTTTTTAGCATCTAGAACAGCAGGACATCCCTCTCTACCACCTGCATGTGTGCTTGAGCAGGCTGTGTTCTAACCCACAGCAGCCCCCTGTCCACTCATGGTTGTGTTATATTTTCCTTGCTCTGAAGCTCATAATTAAAATTACTAATTTTTACTTAGACTGGGCCTCTTCTATAACATTAGTTTTCACCACCTGCCAAAGAATTTGCCAGCGACTTAAAAAAAAGTTCTACCTTCCTCTTATTTCTATTATTCAGATTGAACATGAGGGTTAAAGTAGCAGTGTGCCATGGTTTCTCAGATAGCAGAAGTACAACCAGGGCCTCTGGTGGGGGCCACAGGCAGTCATTTACTGGGTCAGGCATTGAACTAGGTGGGTCATGAGTTGATCTGAGTTGGTATTTTTCTCCAAGGCAGTCTCTGTAGACTTGAGGAGCTGGAACATACGTGGAATTAAGTGGCGGCCGAAAGGATGTGACAAGTGAACTCTGCTGCCACTTTGCATCCTGGCCAAAAAGGAAAGGCTTCAGGTTTTGGAGTTTTACATGAGTCCAAATCTGGGTCTCCTGGCTTATTAGCCATGTGACTCCTGAGTCTCACTTTCCTAATCCATAAAATGGGAATGATGATACCTGCTTCACAGGGTGTTATGAAGAATAAATGAGGCAGTGTGTTTAAAATGGCTAGCAGAGCACACAGCAGGTCTATGGTTGTCATGTGTTGTGGTAGATCAAGAGAGGATATCCCTGGGCTATGGAAACCTAAAAATGTTAGCACAGTCATGCTGCAAAAAAATTTTGAACATCAGTGAAAATTGACGAGCATAAAACTGCCGGAAACAGTTTCTAATGAAACTGTAGCCCTTGCTATGCTGAGCCTTGCACTTCCTGGGGGTCATGGCTGCCCAGGGGACTTTGCCCATTAGGGGCAGTGAGGCAGGAGGGCTGGAGCTATACCAGATCAGTTTTTTAGCCTCAGGCAGCACTTCTGGTGGAAAAAAGACATGACTCACATTTTTAGAAGCTGGGAGAAGGAAACAGAAAATAAGTCTCTAGAAAGAGTTGAGAGTCAGAAAGAGACTTAGAAGAACCCCAGAAGGGCAAGTACATACAAAATCAAGGGCAAAAGTCTGAAGATTGAAACATGAGAAAAAAGAAATGCAAATGTAGGAAGACTAGAAACGAGTTTCAAAAATATCTGTACCTGTTGGAACTTTGGTTAAAATCAAGAAGGTAATAGGAATACTTGAAGAGTCTTACACTTAGCTTATGTTATCAGTTGCAGAGATACTGTGTGTGTGTGTGTGTGTGTGTGTGTGTGTGTGTACTTGAGCACACATGAATTCAACTGTGGTGGTCTCTCCTCTTAACAAAGACTAGTTCCTTCAAACATGTCCAGGATCCCATTCTTTCTTACTACTGTAAAGTCTAATTTTCTTCTCTCTTCATCATGATTAATCTCCCCCTTTCTTACTGCATTATTCCTCAGTTTGAACGCATGTGGTAGTATTTTCCAAGTTAAAATCAAAAAGCAAAACCTTCTCATGACTCCTTGTCTCTCTCCAGCCAATGACTCAATTCTCTGCTACCCTTCAACATAAAACTTCTTCTAGAAGTTGTCAAAGTGTGCTGCTTTTATTTTCTCATCTTCTCAATCATTCCTTAGTTCACTCTTTTGCCCTAAAAGTAGTAGCCCAAGGTCACTGACAATTTCATTGTACCATCCAAGGGCAACTTTCAGCCTTATCTTCCATAGCCTCTCAGCCACATTCTCTAAGGCTGAAGGCTGTTATTCTCAGCACAGGCCTCCCTTGGCTTCTGTGGCTCCACACATTTCCTGGCTGTCCTCTTCTCACCTGCAGTCTCCTTTGCTGGGTCCTCTATGCTGGCTCTCTGAGTGTGGGTGTGCTCTAGGGCTTAGTTCTGGGTCCTGTTTTCATCTCTCCCTACGCTTATTTCCTAGGTGACCTCCTCTATCCCCTGTGGCTTTAAGCATCATCTGTATGCTGATGACTTACCAATTTATGTCTCCAGTCCAGAAATATCCTCTGAGATTCAGACTCATATCTATCTAACTGGCTACTTGACATCTCTACTTGGATATCTCATAGGCGTCTCTAAAGAAACATGGAAAAATAGCATTTTCTCTTTTCCTCCCAAACCTGTTTCTTTCCCAGAATATCATGTCTCCATAGATGATGGCACCTTCAATGCAGTTGCTCAAGTCTAAAGCCCTCAGTTCATTGACAAAATCTGCCACATCTATCACATTAATTCATTTGTTCAATTAGCAGTTAGAGTTGATGTTCATTGTGTGTGGCAATTATATTCTATAAAGTCACTGTGAACACTGATTTAGCGAATACTGAACCATTGCTCTTAAAGAAAACACAGGTTAGGTGCCTTTGAGCCTCTGGTTACAATGTTTACATCGACTGACCAATACATTTTAGGTGTGTTTCTGTTTAAAGACACCTTCTTGAATATATATGTGTATATATAGTTGATTCGTTAATATTGAATTCACAGCCAACAGCACTGGCTCATACTGGAATGAGGCTCACCTAACACACAAATTTTCTCCATAAGTCACACCACAGCTTTCTTGCACTCAGGAACACTACATAGCACTTCAGCACTAGGCCTGGGGGGCATTTTGTACAGCAAAAGCACCAACACAAAGCACAAAAATATGACCAAACGTGGCACTAACCAGGCAGCAAAAAGGACACTTGCTGAAAATATAAAACTAGAAACAAGAAGGCAGAATGTGCTCTTGTTTGACCTCAGCCAGGAACGTCCATGACTCAAACTCTTCACCTGTTTTTGCAAGTGCATTTCTGCAAACAATGGCAAAAGTGCCATAAGCATTGATTTTGGGGTTACAAATTTTAGGGAATAAGCAAATTCATAAATATGGAGTCTGTAAATAATGAGGAGCAACTATATTGCTATTTACACACCAAACACTGTACTAAGAACTGAAGATAAGTCTGCTAAGCAAAACACACATTGTTCCTTCCCTCACGGAATATACTAAGTCAAACTCCTGTGTATACTGTATTTTGAATCAGTCTGCTTTTTTCAAATTCTCCCCCAGCTACCCTAATTCTTATGACCTATATTTGCCATTTGGGCAATTACTTATTAAATGATTTACTTCTAATCTTGCCCCCTTCTATTCATTCTCTAACTATGGGCAGACCAATTCCCTTAAACATGAACTGAATTGTGCCATGGTCTGCTTTTTGTCCTTTAATGATTTGCTCCTCAAATATTTACTGTGACTGCAGAGTCCTGTTGATCTCTGCAGCCTCATCTTGAACCACAGTCTCCTTTCACTCATGCTCCCACTACATGGGCATCCTTTCAGGTTCTTGTGTGTGCAAAGGCCTTTCCTGCCTCTCAGCCTTTGCACATGTTGTTCCATAGGGCTGTGCCTAGAGTACTCCATAAATTTGTTTGTCCTCCGATCTAATATAAGCTCTATCCCCTTAGAAAAACCTCCCCCCGAACACCAAGGCCTGCCTTGTTATTCTCTATACAAACACACCTTGTTTGTTTCTTTTATTACACACTTAATATTTTATAACATACTTACGTTTAATATTTTCTTTATGGTTTACTGTGTCATCCCTCACTAGACTTTTAATTCCAGGAGAGTAGAGACCATGTTAGTTTTGTTTACCACTTTTTTCTCAGTATCCAGTACAGTGCCTGGTACACAATAAGCATGTAATTAATATTTAGTAAATGAATGAATTCATGAATTATTAAATAATTTCCTTAGAGTATCAAAGAGTCCCCATATACCAGCTTGTCAGCTAAAGTAGAAAAGCTCCAATATTGTCTTCATCCAGTTTTCTTTTGCTGTTTCTAGTAATTCTAGAGAACTTTATTCCAGTTCTTATTCTGGATTTATAATTTAGCATTTTCATTAGGTCTAGGAGTCCACTCTAATAAGCAGAACCGTAGCAACCTATTTTCTTATCAGGTTCCCAGATTCACTGCGCAACCATGGGCTTTATAAAGTATTCTTGAGGCTCTCCTAGTCAGTCAGTGCCATTGAAGGCTATTCTCAGACAACCCCACATCCTTGCACAGTCAGCAATATAGCTGGCTTACATTAAGCCCTTTTACCGGTGAGTGAGCAGTCATGTGGACCAAATCTTTCGAGGAATCACCTGAACCTAAGTTGCCCTTTCAATCACTTGTAGCTCAGGCCATTGGCCTCGAAATACTCTGAGCTGCACAAAAGAGAACTGGTAACAATAGCCAGAAAGTTCAGAAAGTCCTGTTTGGACCCAGTATATGAAAGAACTTTTTAATAGTCATCTGACTGAAGACAAATGGACTGCTTGAGTAGGTAGTAAACCCCAGTCCTTAAAGGGGTTGGAAAGCCATTGTCTGGAATGCTGGAGAGAATATTATTGTAGTTGATCAGCTGACGGTCTTAGAGTTTTTCAGGCTGTGACCTGTGGACCAACTGCATCAAAATCATCTGGAGATGCTTGCAGGGCAGTGGGATTAGTTGTGGTGGCCCTAGCATGCTTGTTGAAAACCATTTCTTACTTTACACCCCAGCCTTAGATATAGATGGTATGGGGGATGCAGCATGGAGAATCTCTGAGCTTTAGAATTCTGACACAGATAGTCTCTAAGGTGGTTTTATGCCTTCATATTTTGGTCTTGTGATCTCATAATTATCTATTTATTAGTCAACAAATGTTTTTGAAAACTATCAGTCAATGTTATTGGCTTTGGAGATTTTGATGAATTAATTTCATGTGTCAATTGGCTAGGCTATGGTACCCGACTACTTACTGAAATACTAATCTAAGTATTCTCGTGAAAGTATTTTGTATATGTAGTTGATATCTATGTTCAGTTTACTTCAAGTAAAGGAGATTATACTTGATAATTTCGTTTATCAGTTGACAATGTTAAGAGCAAAAACAGGTTTCCCAGAGAAGAAATTCTGCTTCAAAACTACAGCTTGAAACTTCTACTTGAGTTTTCATTCTGTTAATTTGTCCCACAGATTTCTAATTTGCCAGTCTTCACCATTGCATGAGCTAATTCCTTAAAATAAAACTCACATATATATATATATATATAATAAGTATATTTTACATATGTATGTGGTATATATGATGGTATATGATAGATATTATATATGTTTATGTATGTGTATGCACACACACACACACCTACACACACATTCACGTATTTCTCTGGAGAACCTTAACTAATCAACAGATATAGCAGAGAACAAAACTAAATCACCTGATCTCATTTCAGGTTCCACAGAGTGCTGAGTATTATTTTTTCAGTCTTTTTACATTTATTAAAACTGTTGAGATCCAGCATATGGTCTATCTTGATGAAAATATCATGTACACCTGAAAAATGTATATTCTACAGTTGTAGTTTAAGGTGGTTGAAAGTATGGTTTGGATCACTATGTCTTTACTGATTTTTGTCTAAGCATTCTATAAATTTTTGGAAGATGGGTGCTAAAATCTCCTGCTATGATTGCAGAATTGTCTGTTTCTTTTAATTCTGTAAATGTTTGCTTTATTTGGTTGTAGCTTATTATTAGGCACATGCCACATTGATGATTGTTATGTCTTCTTGATAAGATGATCCATTTATCATTTTGAAGTGTCCTTCTTTAATGTTACTTTCTATCTTGAAAGCTTATTTTATCTGATATGAAAATATCCCTGGCCACCTTATTTTTTAGTTTGCCTAGTATATATATTTCCATTAATTTACTTTTATCTGTTCATTTATTTTTAAAGTGCATCTCTTGTAGGCAGCATGTAGTTGAGTCTTGCTTTTAAATTTATTCTTACAATCTGACTTTTTTTGGAGTGTTTAGTTCATTAATGTTTAATGTAATTATTGATATTTTTGGATTTTCATCTGCCATTTTATTGGATTTTTTTGCACACTTTGTTGTTCCTTTATTTCTCCTTTCCTGTCTCCTTTTAGACTAAATACTTTTTACAATTCTACTTTATTAAATTACTTTTTTTGCATTTTTAGTGGTTATTCTAAGGACTGCAATATACATCCTTCACTTTTCATAGTCAACAAGGAGTTAATATTATACCAATTCATGTAAAATATGAAACTTTGTAAGTGTATAGGCCCATTTATCTCCCTCAACCTCAATGAGGTCTTTTAGGCTATAGTTGTCATATGTATTAAGTCCACATAGACCCTATAAGACAATGTTACAAGTTTCCTTTAAATAGTCCTATGTATTTTATAAAAATTTAGAGAAAACTAGTATTTTATATATATTCAGATATATGCTATTTCCAATGTTCTGCATTCCTTCCTAAGAATCTGAGCTCTTATCTGGTATCATTTTCTTTCAGGATGAGGAGCATTTATTATTTGTAGTGTGAATCTGCTGGTGATGAGTTCTCACTTTTAGAAAATCTGAAAATTCTTTAATTTTGCCTCATTCTTTTATTTATTTATTTATTTTACATATATATATTTATTATACTTTAAGTTCTAGGGTACATGTGCACAATGTGCAGGTTTGTTACATATGTATCCATGTGACATGTTGGTGTGCTGCACCCATTAACTTGGCATTTACATTAGGTATATCTCCTAATGCTATCCCTCCCGCTTCCCCCCACACCACAACAGGCCCCAGTGTGTGATGTTCCCCTTCCTGTGTCCAAGTGTTCTCATTGTTCAATTCCCACCTCTTAGTGAGAACATGCAGTGTTTGGTTTTTTGTCCTTGTGATAGTTTGCTTGAGAATGATGGTTTCCAGCTTCATCCATGTCCCTACAAAGGACAAGAACTCATCATTTTTTATGGCTGCATAGTATTCCATGCTGTATATGTGCCATATTTTCTTAATCCAGTCTATCATTGTTGGACATTTGGGTTGGTTCCAAGTCTTTGCTATTGTGAGTAGTGCTGCAATAAACATACGTGTGCATGTGTCTTCATAGTAGCATGATTTATATTCCTTTGGGTATATACCCAGTAATGGGATGGCTGGGTCAAATGGTATTTCTAGTTCTAGATCCCTGAGGAATCGCCACACTGACTTCCACAATAGTTGAACTAGTTTATAGTCCCACCAACAGTGTAAAAGTGTTCCTATTTCTCCACATCCTCTCCAGCACCTGTTGTTTCCTGACTTTTGAATGATCGCCATTCTAACTGGTGTGAGATGATATCTCATTGTGGTTTTGATTTGCATTTCTCTGATGGCCAGTGATGATGAGCATTTTTTCATGTGTCTTTTGACTGCATAAATGTCTTCTTTTGAGAAGTGTCTGTTCATATCCTTCGCCCACTTGTTGATGGGATTGTTTTTTTTTTTTCTTGTAAATTTGTTTGAGTTCTTTGTAGATTGTGGATATTAGCCCTTTGTCAGATAAGTAGATAGCAAAAATTTTCTCCCATTCTGTAGGTGGCCTGTTCACTCTGATGACGGTTTATTTTGCTGTGCAGGAGCTTTTTAGTTTAATGAGATCCCATTAGTCAATTTTGGCTTTTGTTGCCATTGCTTTTGGTGTTTTAGACATGAAGTCCTTGCCCATGCCTATGTCCTGAATGGTATTGCCTAGGTTTTATTCTAGGATTTTTATGGTTTTAGGTCTAACATTTAAGTCTTTAATCCATCTTGAATTAATTTTTGTATGAGGTGTAAGGAAGGGGTCCAGTTTCAGCTTTCTACATATGGCTAGCCAGTTTTCCCAGCACCATTTATTAACTAGGGAATCCTTTCCCCATTGCTTGTTTTTGTCAGGTTTATCAAAGATCAGATAGTTGTAGATGTGTGGTATTATTTCTGAGGCCTCTGTTTTGATCCATTGGTCTATATCTCTGTTTTGGTACCAGTACCATGCTGTTTTGGTTACTGTAGCCTCGTACTGTAGTTTGAAGTCAGGTAGCATGATGCCTCCAGCTTTGTTCTTTTGGCTTAGGATTGACTTGGCAATGCGGGCTCTTTTTTGGTTCCATATGAACTTTAAAGTAGTTTTTTCCAATTCTGTGAAGAAAGTCATTGGTAGCTTGATGGGGATGGCATTGAATCTATAAATTACCTTGGGCTGTATGGCCATTTTCAGGATATTGATTCTTCCTATCCATGAGCATGGAATGTTCTTCCATTTGTTTGTGTCCTCTTTTATTTCTTTGAGCAGTGGTTTGTAGTTCTCCTTGAAGAGGTCCTTCACATCCCTTGTAAGTTGGATTCCTAGGTATTTTATTCTCTTTGAAGCAATTGTGAATGGGAGTTCACTCATGATTTGGCTCTCTGTTTGTCTGTTATTGGTGTATAAGAATGCTTGTGATTTTTGCACATTGATTTTGTATCCTGAGACTTTGCTGAAGTTGCTTATCAGCTGAAGGAGATTTTGGGCTGAGACGATGGGGTTTTCTAGATATACAATCATGTCATCTGCAAACAGGGACAATTTGACTTCGTCTTTTGCTAATGGAATACCCTTTATTTCTTTCTCCTGCCTGATTGCCCTGGCCAGAACTTCCAACACTATGTTGAATAGGAGTGGTGAAAGAGGGCATCCCTGTCTTGTGCTAGTTTTGAAAGGGAATGCTTCCAGTTTTTGCCCATTCAGTATGATATTGGCTGTGGGTTTGTCATAAATAGCTCTTATTATTTTGAGATACGTCCCATCAATACCTAATTTATTGAGAGTTTTTAGCATGAAGGGCTGTTGAATTTTGTCAAAGGCCTTTTCTGCATCTATTGAGATAATCATGTGGTTTTTGTCTTTGGTTCTGTTTATATGCTGAATTACGTTTATTGATTTTTGTATGTTGAACCAGCCTTGCATCCCAGGGATGAGGCCCACTTGATAATGGTGGATAAGCTTTTTGATGTGCTGCTGGATTCAGTTTGCCAGTATTTCATTGAGGATTTTTGCATCAATGTTCATCAGGGATATTGGTCTAAAATTCTGTTTTTTTGTTGTGTCTCTGCCAGGCTTTGGTATCAGGATGATGCTGGCCTCATAAAATGAGTTAGGGAGGATTCCCTCTTTTTCTATTGACTAGAATAGTTTCAGACGGAATGGTACCAGTTCCTCCTTGTACCTCTGGTAGATTTCAGCTGTGAATCCATCTGGTCCTGGACTTTTTTTGGTTGGTAAGCTATTAATTATTGCCTCAATTTCAGAGCCTGTTATTGGTCTATTCAGAGATTCAACTTCTCCTGGTTTAGTCTTGGGAGAGTGTATGTGTCGAGGAATTTATCCATTTCTTCTAGATTTTCTAGTTAATTTGCATAGAGGTGTTTTTACTATTCTCTGATGGTAGTTTGTATTTCTGTGGGATCGGTGGTGATATCCCCTTTATCATTTTTTATTGTGTCTATTTGATTCTTCTCTCTTTTCTTCTTTATTAGTCTTGCTAGCAGTCTGTCAATTTTGTTGATCTTTTCAAAACACCAGCTCCTGGATTCATTGATTTTTTTGAAGGGTTTTTTTGTGTCTCTATTTCCTTCAGTTCTGTTCTGATCTTAGTTATTTCTTGCCTTCTGCTAGCTTTTGAATGTGTTTGCTCTTGCTTCTCTAGTTCTTTTAATTGTGATGTTTGGGTGTCAATTTTAGATTTCTCTTGCTTTCTCTTGTGGGCATTTAGTGCTATAAATTTCCCTCTACACACTGCTTTAAATGTGTTCCAGAGCTTCTGGTATGTTATGTCTTTGTTCTCATTGGTTTCAAAGAATATCTTTATTTCTGCCTTCATTTTTTTATGCACCCCACAGTCATTCAGGAGCAGGTTGTTCAGTTTCCATGTAGTTGAGTGGTTTTGAGTGAGTTTCTTAATCCTGAGTTCTAGTTTGATTGCACTGTGGTCTGAGAGCCAGTTTGTTATAATTTCTGTTCTTTTACATTTGCTGAGGAGTTCTTTACTTCCAACTATGTGGTCAATTTTGGAATAAGTGCTGTGTGGTGCTGAGAAGAATTTATATTCTGTTGATTTGGGGTGGAGAGTTCTGTAGATGTCTATTAGGTCCACTTGGTGCAGAGCCGAATTCAATTCCTGGATATCCTTGTTAACTTTCTGTCTCATGGATCTGTCTAATATTGACAGTGGGGTGTTAAAGTCTCCCATTATTATTGTGTGGGAGTCCAAGTCTCTTTGTAGGTCTCTAAGGACTTGCTTTATGAATCTGGGTGCTCCTGTATTGGGTGCATATATATTTAGGATAGTTAGCTCTTCTTGTTGAATTGATCCCTTTAGCATTATGTAATGGTTTTCTTTGTCTCTTTTGATCTTTGTTGGTTTAAAGTCTGTTTTATCAGAGACTAGGATTGCAACCCCTGCCTTTTCTGTTTTCCATTTGCTTGGTAGATCTTCCTCCATCCCTTTATTTTGAGCCTATCTGTGTCTCTGCATGTGAGATGGGTTTCCTGAATATAGCACACTGATGGGTCTTGACTCTTTATCCAGTTTGCCAGTCTTTGTCTTTTAATTGGAGCAGTTAGCCCATTTACATTTAAGGTTAATATTGTTATGTGTGAATTTGATCCTGTCATTATGATATTAGCCGGTTGTTTTGCTCATTAGTTGATGCAGTTTCTTCCTAGCATCGATGAGCTTTACAATTTGTCATGTTTTTGCAATGGCTGGTACCGGTTGTTCCTTTCCATGTTTAGTGCTTCCTTCAGGAGCTCTTTTAGGGCAGGCCTGGTGGTGACAAAATCTCTCAGCATTTGCTTGTCTGTAAAGTATTTTATTTCTCCTTCACTTATGAAGCTTAGTTTGGCAGATATGAAATACTGGGTCAAAAATTCTTTTCTTTAAGAATGTTGAATATTGGCCCCCACTCTCTTCTGGCTTGTAGAGTGTCTGCCAAGAGATCAGCTGTTAGTCTGATGGGCTTCCCTTTGTGGGTAACCCGACCTTTCTCTCTGGCTGCCCTTAACATTTTTTCCTTCATTTCAACTTTGGTGAATCTGACAATTATGTGTCTTGAAGTTGTTCTTCTCGAGGAGTATCTTTGTGGTGTTCTCTGTATTTCCTGAATTTGAATGTTGGCCTGCCTTGCTAGATTGGGGAAGTTCTCCTGGATAATATCCTGCAGAATATTTTCCAACTTGGTTCCATTCTCCCCATCACTTTCAGGTACACCAATCAGACGTAGATTTGGTCTTTTCACATGGTCGCATATTTCTTGGAGGTTTTGTTCTTTTCTTTTTATTCTTTTTTCCCTATACTTCTTTTCTCGCTTCATTTCATTGATTTGATCTTCAATCACTGATACGCTTTCTTCCAGCTGATGGAATTGCCTACTGAATCTTGTGCATTCGTCATGTAGTTTTCGTGCCGTGGTTTTCAGCTCCATCAGGTCCTTTAAGGACTTCTCTTCATTGGTTATTCTAGTTAGCCATTTGTCTAATCTTTTTTCAAGGTTTTTAGCTTCTTTGCGATGGGTTCAAACTTCCTCCTTTAGCTCAGAGAAGTTTGATTATCTGAAGCCTTCTTCTCTCAACTCACGAAAGTCATTCTCCATCCAGCTTTGTTCCATTGCTGGTGAGGAGCTGCGTTCCTTTGGAGGAGGAGAGGTGCTTTGATTTTTAGAATTTTCAGTTTTTCTGTTCTGTTTTTTCCCTATCTTTGTGGTTTTATCTGCATTTGGTCTTTGATGATGGCGATGTACAGATGGGGTTTTGGTGTGGATGTCCTTTCTGTTTGTTAGTTTTCCTTTTAACAGTGAGGACCCTCAGCTGCAGGTCTGTTGGAGTTTGCTGGAGGTCCACTCCAGACGCTGTTTGCCTAGGTATCATCAGCAGAGGCTGCAGAACAGCGAATATTGCTGAACAGCAAATGTTGCTGTCGGATCGTTCCTCTGGAGGTTTTGTCTCAGAGGGGTACCTGGCCGTGTGAGGTGTCAGTCTTCCCTTACTGGGCGTGCCTCCCAGATAGGCTACTTGGGGGTCAGGGACCCACTTGAGGAGCAAGTCTGTCCATTCTCAGAGCTCAAGCTGTGTGCTGAAGGAACCACTACTCTCTTCAAAGCTGTTTAGACAGGGACATTTAATTCTGCAGAGGTTTCTGCTGCCTTTTGTTCAGCTATGCCCTGCCCCTAGAGGTGGAGTCTACAGAGGCAGGCAGGCCTCCTTGAGCTGTGGTGGGCTCCACCCAGTTCAAGCTTCCCCACCGCTTTGTTTACCTACTCAAGCCTCAGCAGTCGCCCCTCCCCCAGCCTTGCTGCTGCCTTGCAGTTCAATCTCTGCTGTGCTAGCAATGAGTGAGGCTCCATGGGTGTGGGACCCTCCAAGCCATGTGTGGGATATAATCTCCTGGTGTGCTGTTTGCTAAGACCATCGGAAAAGTGCAGTATTAGGGTGGGAGTGACCCAATTTTCCAGGTGCCGTCTGTCACAGCTTTGCTTGGCTATGAAAGGGAATTCCCTGACCCCTTGTGCTTCCCGAGTGAGGCGATGCCTTGCCCTGCTTTGGCTCACGCTCAGTGGGCTGCACCCACTGTCCTGCACCAACTGTCCGACAAGCCCCAGTGAGATGAACCCGGTACCTCAGTTGGAAATGCAGAAATCACCCATCTTCTGCGTCGCTCATGCTGGGAGCTGTAGGCTGGAGCTGTTCCTATTTGGCCATCTTGGAACCGCCCCTCATTTTTGCCTCATTCTTAAAGGATAATTTTACTGATATAGAATTCTGAGCTAACAGTTCTACCTCTAGCACAAAGATGTTATTCCGTTAAAGTTTGGCTCGCAAATTTTCCAACAGGAAGTCTATAGTAGTTCTTATTTTTTCTTCCTTTGTGTGTAATGTGTTATTTTGCTCTACTTGCAAAATTTTCTTTCTCTCCCTCCCTTTTTAAAAGCAATTTGATTATGGTATGCCTAGGCATGTTTGTCTTCATAATTATCTTACTTGAGCTTCCTAAGATTCTTAAATCTGGAAATTTATGTTTATCCTCACATTTGGGAAAATTTTGGTTATTGTTTCTTTATATTTTTGCTCCTACCCTCTTCTCCCCTCTTATTCTGAAACTCTAGTAATGCATATATTAGATGTTTTGACATTACTCTCAGCTCTAAGGTCTTGCTCATTTTTTGATCACCTTTTTTTTCACCCAGTCTTCAAACTGAATAATTTTTATTGATCTGTTTCCAACTTCCCTTACTCTTTCATGTGTTACCTCTATTTTGCTCTTAAGCCCATCCTGTGAATTTTTAATTTCAGGTATTGCATTTTTACATCATAGCATTTCTAGTTTTACAAAAGTTTCTCTGTCGATATTTTCTATCTTTTATTTATTGTGAGCACATTTTACTTTACATTAAAGAGGATAGCTGTAATAAATAGCTGCTTTAAAATTCTTCTCTGCTTGGGTCACGCCTGTAATCCCAGCACTTTGGGAGACCAAGGCAGGCAGATCACGAGGTCAGGAGATCGAGACCAACCTGGCTAACACGGTGAAACCCTGTCTCTACTAAAAATACAAAAACTTAGCCGGGCGTGATGGCGGGCGCCTGTAGTCCCAGCTACTCTGGAGGCTGAGGCAGGAGAATGGTGTGAACCCAGGAGGCAGAGCTTGCAGTGAGCCGAGATCACACCACTGCACTCCAGCCTGGGTGACAGAGCGAGACTCCGTCTCAAAAAAAAAAAAAAAAAAAAAAAAAAATAAATAAATAATAAAAAAATAAAAATAAAAAAATAAAATTCTTCTCTGCTGATTCCAGTGTGTGAGCCAACTTATTACTCTCTGTTATCTTTCCTCAAGATTCTTCAGCTTTTAATAGTTATTTAAATGTGAAATAATTTTGACTTTACCCCCAGCATTATGGCTATTTTGTTGTGAAGACTCCAGATTTAGTTATATAACCTTGAAGAATGTTGACTTTTTGTTTTACCAGTTAATTTGTTTAGATTTAAACTGCAAATCCTGTTTCTTGGCCAACAGCTTACATTTCAGCTCTTTTCTCCTTAGCTGATTTTGAGTCTTTCTGGCACTTCATGGTTCAGTGAGCCAGAGATATGGGTGGGGTAGAGTTTGTACACAGAATCTGGGGTTCTATCTGGTTCTCTGTTTTTTTACTTTCTAGTGGCTGTAGTTGTAATAAACTCTGGTCTTTGTTTTTTTTTTTTTTTTGGACAGAAAGACTATTTTTTTTGGTCTATTTGAGTTTTAATTATCTTATGAAATTCTGGCCCATTCTTAAAGTTGTAAATGGGAAACTCCATGCAGTTTTCTTCTTTAAAGTCCTTACACTCATCCAGAATATGTTTGCATTTGGTTTTTAGTCTTAAGAGCTTTCAGGTTTTTTTTTTTTTTTATTGTTTTTGGATTTTGTCCTAAGTTTACAGTTGTTTTCTGAGGGAGGTTAGTATATTACTTAACGGGCCACATTGGAAGTAATACTCTGAGCATTACCTCTAATTTTAGACAGATACAACTCCAGGCCCTCAAGAAATGTGTGCCTCTTCAAATAGATAGAAATGAGGGACAAAGTCAGGAGTTATCAAGGTTTTGGTAGGATCACCTCAGGGAGCTAGAAGGTATTGCCTGGGAACATGTTGCTGACCTTTATGTCAGATATCTCACAGAAATTAATGACGAGGGAAGTGTCTCTGATTTCTACGTGTGGTGACAATTAGGATTAGGAGGAAGAAATTGCTTGAGCTTGGAAGTCAGAATAATGCAGATCAACTCTATGTTACACCTCACTTGGTCTGTGGCAAATGTTATAAGTTATCTAAGGTTACCTAAAACTCCCTATTGGAGAACTTATTGTAATGATACCTACCATTCATGCAGTTGTGAGGATTCAATGAGATAAAATACTTAAAGGCCCCTGGCACCTACAAGATGCTCAACATATTTTCCTCTCTGTATTTTGGGAAATGGACTGGTTTGCCTTGCAGTGACCATGTGATCTTGGGGAGAATTAAAGGCAAGATCAGGATCACTGATGCATAAAAAGTACATCAGAATTTCATTGAGTTCTACAGTGAATTTCAGTTATTTTTTTTTTAAATTAAAGAACCATCATAGCACTGTGGGTGAGCATGGACTTTATGGTCAGAGAGACCTGGTTTGAATCCCAGGTTTTCTAGTTACACACAATATGATTTGGGCCAATTATTCTCTGAGCCTCAGTTTTCTATCTATGTAACAGGAATAATAAAACCTTCCTCATAGAGTTTTATGAAGTTTACATGAAATCACATTTATAAAGCTCCTAAAGCATCCATCAGGGCCTGGTGCATAGTATGCACTCAATAGATGTTGTTTGTTGTCATTTTTATTGTGACTGTTTGTTTAATAAAAAACATGGGGCTAACATAAAACTACTAATGTTTGAAAGTGAGATGGAAAGGTTCACTAGAAAAAAGGTGGGGACAAAGGATGTTGTGGGTGGGGTAGGGCAAGTCTGTTTTCATAAAGAAAACAGTGGGAAGTGGGAAGACTAAAGGGCATATTTTGATAGTGAGGCTAAACTATCCATGTGAGGGAAATTAACATGGGAGAACCATGTGGAATTTTGCTAGTGGAATGAGTCAGGTCTACTCTGGGCCTTTGCCTCAAGGGTTAAAGATGAGATTAAATATTTAATGCCCATTCATATTTAGATCCTTGGGAGCATTTTACTGACACAGTCATTTTACTCTCTCTCCATTTACATTTCCAGCTCTATAAGGAAAGCATTGATTCTACAGCATAACATGCTTGTGCGGAACAAGGGTTCCTTAACAAAATCACAGCCTTATTATCCAGCATTTGTAAGTTTAAAGGGCAGGGTGGTTTCAGTGTCCTAGAGGATCTGTTAGCTGCCCTCCACCAGGACCAGGGGCTGGAGGAGGCACAGCACATGTCAAGTTGTTGAGGAAGCAGACTTCTGCTGATTTGCATGGCATACAGGTGACAAGAGAAAGGAAGAGGGGTCAGAGGCAAAGAATCACATCTAAAGGACGAGCCAGCATCAATAACAGGAGGAGGGATTCAAAGGGCTAGATAGTCTGCATCCTCAACAGGAGGGCACCAGAGATAGAGGGAGGTGGCAGGTGGTCTGAATGCAGCCTCCAGGGGTTTGTGATATCAGCCTTCAGATGTCGCCTTTCTCCTAAGCAAGGAGAATCTTTGGCACATATCAAGCCTGAAGGAAATAAGCTGGCCTCAATAGCCTTTGTACTTCCACATGACTTACTAATCTATTTGGCTTATTTAAAATATGTCTCTAGCCTGGGGGACTCTGGACCTGTGCCAAAAACTACCTGCATTTATTGTAAAGTCAGAGGTTCCCTTATAAAGGATGCCAGGTCAGATGGTTGGAACTTTGGGTCAGAAACTGGGGACCCAATCATGGACTTCCTGTGAGTTCTTGAGGAAAATCCTCTTTTCATGCCATGCCTCAGCTTCTCTATTTTATATCCTCCTTGGCATCTACCACCTCACAAGTGAGAATGGGCACAGAGATGGGAGACCAGTCTGACCTCCCACCCTCCCTCACTTCCCACAGGCAGCTTAACTAAGTTAATAATTGAAAACTTACACACCTGCTATGGACCTCTGTCTCCTCTTATGGTTCCTGTCTTACCAAATGCCACCAACATTCCCTTAGTAAAAGCATCTTGCTGAACTCTTACCTCTCTCTCTTGCACCTCCGCTCCCAGTGTTAATCCATCACTCTTGTTAATTCTACCTCATACATATTTCTAAAATCTATCTACTTTTCCAAAACTCCACTGCCACTAACTTGATTCAGCTCAGTCATTCCTTGTGTAGATGACAATAGTTTCCTGATGTTTTCCTTATCTCCTTATGCCTGCCCCCATCACTGCTCCCCGCTAAACTGTTTCTAAAATGTGAATCTCATCCTGTTGGGTCCTGCTTAAAATCTTTTAATGGTACCCTGCTGCCAGCAGGTGAAAAGTCAAACTCCTCACTGGGATGACAAGCTTTGGATCTGGCCCCTGCTGACCCCCCAAGCCTCCCCTCTTATGCCATCCCCCAACTCAAAGCCCACACTGGACCCCAGTCTTGATAAACCAGTCACAATGCTCCGTTTTGTTTGCCTTTGGTCCCTCTGCCCGCAGCACTCTTCTCTTCCCTGTCTTTCCCACTCTAATTTTCTTAGCCTGTGTTTGCCCTTATCTTGCAGGCTTCAACTTAGGCATGACTTCCACAGGTAATTCTTCTATGACTCTTCAAAGCCTGGATCCAGTGTACCCCTCATGTTCATTTACATCCTGTGCCTCTTCAATCACACAGTCCTCCATTGCGAGTGCTTCTATTACAAGTGTTTTGTCTTGTCTGAATTCTTCAACAAGCTATGAACGTGGTGAAGGTTGGGCCATGTCTGCCTCATTTCCTTTTGCACGTCCTAGCACTATACTTGGCACCAACCAGGAACCTGATACATATCTGTTAAATGAATGAAGATAAAGAGTTACTGAAATGTAAGCCATGTGTTTTTTGGAGTGAAGGGAATTTTATTAAATTAGAGCCAAATAAAGTTGTTTCATTTCAGAAGGTCTTTGGCACAGAGATGGGAGACCAGTCTGACCTCCCTACCTCCCTCACTTCCCACAGGCAGCTTAACTAAATCTTTTAATGGTACCCTGCTGCCAGCAGGTGAAAACTCACACTCCTCACTGGGATGACAAGCTTTGGATCCGGCCCCTGCTTAAAATCTTTTCTCCAACATCCTGTACTTTTCCAGGGATAGGATGAGGATGGCATTCGTCACTCACCCACAAACACATTGTCTGGAAGGCCCGCCTTGTAGGATGAGCTGTGTTAGTTTGTGAGGATCCAACCTTGCAGATGGAAAATGACTTTTGAGGAAATACGAGGCCTAATGGTTCCTTATTTGCTCATCTGGGTGGGTCTGAGAGGAAGAGGGTCTGGGAGAAATGGGCTCTTAATGGACCAGGGTGACCTTTTTATGTCTCTGGGCAACTGAACTCAGAAAGGGTCTGACTGATTCTAATTGCTCTGACAACACACCAGGAGTGTGTGTTGAGCCTCAGAACAAGCCGGCAGCCTGGCTCCCTCTGTTCCTGGATGATGAGCTGGGCCCTCAGGCTCCTGACAGGCTGCTAGCATAAGCTTCATCCATAGTGCTTGAATGCTGCCTTGCTGCTGCAAGAACAGAGAACAGTGGTGTGTCAGCATGAGGACAGGCCCACTGGGAAGACAGGAGTTGGGACAGAAAACTTTTTATTCTGTCACATGATGTAAAATCAAGGGGACTTGGTAAAATCACAGGAACTAGATTAAAGGAAATGTCTCTGGTCGTATTGTATACTATAGAGCTGGTCTAACTGTGGCAACAACATTATGGGTTTTTATAGCACCTTTCTTCCCCACGGCACGGGGTGCTTTACTGTCTATTAACAGGCTTTCAATTGAATGGATTCTCACAGGCCCTCAGTTCTGGTATTTATTTACTTTGTAGCATTAGAGTATTTATTATAGCACAGAAAAAATGGATCGAGAAATGGTCTGTTCTTGGCATGCACAGATAGGGGCATATGTGTGTCTCTGTGTGTCTGTGTTAAATTCAACCATTAAATATTAGATGAAATAGGAGGATATGTAATGAATACATAATAAAGGGAGCTAAAGAAATAAGAAAAATTTTGCATAAATCATTACAATTCAATTACAACATTGATGAGAAATCAAGGCCAGTTTATACTTTGGAAACAGTGAACAATTAGGTGAGTGAGTTTCTCTCTTACTCTCAAGGCCATTTCTGTTTTCCAGAGGAAAATCTTTTCCTCTCCTTGGAAGTCATCACTAAATGACTAAATATGAAA
Source organism: Homo sapiens (assembly GCF_000001405.40). Classification (NCBI taxonomy): domain Eukaryota; kingdom Metazoa; phylum Chordata; class Mammalia; order Primates; family Hominidae; genus Homo; species Homo sapiens. Next base: position 177,686,369 of record NC_000001.11, on the reverse strand, counting down.
CAAGAAAAACAGGCTCAGAATGAGGACACCAAAATGATTAAACCTTTGTTTCTGGGTTCTTGGAACTTAAACTAGGCCAACATTGATGAGTTTGCTTCTACTTAGACTTCTGTAGCAGTACAATTTACAAATAGTAGAAACAAAGATAGAATTAAGAAGCAATAAGCATTCATGATGTTTTAAGGAAACTGTTTACTGAAGGAAAAAAACCCAATCAATTTAACAGTAGTTGTAAATATATACTTAGGCACAGCGAAGGAAGATTGTTAAGAATAATTTCAAGCCATAGTATTGGAATTCATATGGTCATTAAGTACTTAGAGGAATGCTTTCGAGATGAGAGATGAGTGTTTTATAGCCATTCAAGTTAAGGTGAATGACTTCTGCTTCTAGCAGAAGCTGGATCTTCCCTTTCACAAAACAACTAAAAATTAGACCACTTGTATGAAACAATAGTTTATGAAACTTTAAACATCAGAAAAAGGATGGAAATACTTGAGAGATAGAAAAAGAAGAGTGTGAGCCCTATGATTGCCCGAACATGCCACTGAGAGAGCTTCCAGGCCACGGCACAGGGAGGGGAAACCCAGGAACATCTTGGTAGTCTCTCTGATTTGAGGAGTCTGGGGAGGCCAGTGGGACTAGAATTTGCAGGAAGAGTGCTCTGAGGAAAAAGTTGCACAGAAAGAGAACTCTGGAGATCTTCAGAAAGTCCCCCTTAAGTCTCCCTCTGAGTACTGTTGAGTGCAGGTTTGTGAGGAAATGACCTGAGGCTGGGGAAAGAACTACTTGACAGGATTGGAGGCAACACTCTCCAAAGCTCACACATGACTGAGAATATTTTCTGTTCCCATCAGAGTGGGAAATCTCATAATTAATGAGACATCATCAATGAGAGTATTCAGCAGGGTCCCACCTCTGTAGTGGGTTGAAATTAGCCCTAGACTGAGCACTGCTGTGATACTGCCTAGCAAAGCTTAAAAGCATGATCAGAACTCTTCCCAAGTAAAAATTATGGAGCAAAAAAAAAAAACAACTAAAAAAAAATTACTAGAAATAAAAAAATGTCCAGCACCCAGTAAGACAAAATTCACAATGTCTGACATCCAATATTTTACCAGGCATGCAAAAAAAAAAAAAAAAAAAAAAAGAAAGAAAAAAAAAAAAAGGAAGAAAATGTATGGTGCATAATTAGGAGAAAAATCAATTAAAACTAAGCCAGAAATGACATAGATGACAAAATTATTAGATAAGGACATTCCCTATATTCAAGAACCTGAAGAAACAACTTAGTGTATTAAAGGGCACATTACATAAAATATAAAAAATAACTTCTTGAGATGAAAACTACAATTTCTGAGATGAAAAATATACTGGATAGAATTGATGATAGATTAGACAATGAAGAAGAAAGGGTTACTGAATATAAAAACAGAGTAGAGACTATCCAGAATGAATCACGTAGAGAAAGAATTCTGGGAAACAATGGAAACAAAGCATACTTATGGGGGTATACTTTATACTTCAAGTGGCCCAAGATGCACATGATCTTGGGAGATGGACTCTCCGAAGAGAAGAGGTTGGGTACAAAAAATATTTGAAGGCATAATGGCCAGATATCGTCCAAGTTTGATGAAAACTCTAAATCCACAGTTCCAACATTCAACAAATGGCCAAGAAATACGAAGGAAACAAACTAAAGCACTTTATAATAAAATTGTTTAACCCCCAATGATAAAGAGAAAAACCTAAAAGCAGCCACAGAAAAAAGATACATTGTATATAGAGAAACAAAGTTAAGGATGACAATAGATTTCTTATCAGAAACAATGCAAGAGAAGAGAGTGAGGCAATATTTAAAGTACTGATGGAAAATAACTGTCAACTTAGATTCTATACCAAGCAAAAATGTTTCCAAAGCTAAAATTAAAGATTTTTCAGATATACACAAACTGAAAAAATTTGTTACCAGCAGACTGGAGAGAGAAAGAGATATATATATATATATAAAATGTCATATATATACACATACATATATGTCACTATATATTATATATAACTATATATACATTATTACTATACATATATATGATACATGTATGTGTCCTATATGTCATATGTGACACATGTATGTGTATCTATGTCATATGTGTGTCATATGTATGTGCATATGTCATATGTATGTGTATATATGACATATATGACACATACATGTTTCATATTATATATGTATAGTAATAAAGTACTAGGCATGGTAACAATGTGGGTAAATATGAAAATGCTTAATCATTTAAATCTTAAAAAAATGAGCATTTAAGGCCAAAAAATAACAATGTGTGTTGGAGTTTATTTTATTTTTATATATATATGTGTGTGTGTATATATATATATATATATATGTATATATATATATATATATATATATGTAAAATGTATAACAACAATATCACAAAAGCCAGGAGAGGAGAGATACAATTATATGGTTATTAGATTCTTGTACTATATATGAAATGATATAATGTCACTTGAAGGGAGACAGTGGTAAGTTAAAGATGTATATTATCAGTCTTAGAACCACCACTAAATTAACACCGCAAAGACTCATAGTTAAAAAGCCAACCATGTTATGGTAGATAACATGGGATCATAAGGGATACTTAACTAATCCCAATGTAAGGTTGATGGATATAAACTTTATCGTGATTGTGCTAATGGCTTCATGAGTATATACATATAACAAAGCTTACCAAACTGTAAACTTTATGTACATATTATTGTATGCCAGTTTTCCCTTATAAAGCCATTAAAAAGTTAAGGTGGGTCTAACTACTCACTGTATCTGAAATAAAATTTTTTTTAAGCAATAAAATGTTCCATAGTTCACATTAATGTGCCAGAAATTCAACTCCATAATTTTGGAGAATAAATTAGAATTGTAGAAGAATGGTATTTAAAAGAGCTAGAAGATATCTTAGAAGCCATCTAGTCCTCCTTCCTCATTTCATTTATATGGAAATGAAGGTCCAGATAAATAATGTGAGTTACCCCAATTTATTACCAATCATCCAAGATGAGAATAAACAATAATAAAAAAGTAAATGCTTACTTAATTTGTCTTTTTTTGTGAAACTTCTCATTGTGATGGATATGGTTTTGCCTACAACACGTGGGTTAAAGATCGTGTTTTGACTAAGACTGGGAAATCAAGCTATGAGTGGTACAGTAACTGGAGCTACTGGGAATAGCAACAGCTGAATTATGTAGTTAATTCCAAGACAGCCTCCTTGTTACTAGTGATCATGATCTTCTTGAATTCTTTAAGTAAGCAGTGACTTCAAAGACTTAGGGTATTAAACTTCAAAAAAGCACATTTGGGGAATTAATCAATCTAATAAATATGGTTCAGAGGGAAGAAGTATTAAAATCTATAACTGGATGGAATTTTGAACATCTGAATAGACACTATAATTAAACCAAGTGGATTACAATTGCTCTGGAAAAGAAGATTGGAGATTGCTTGCTCTTTGCAAAGTGGATTTACAAAGGGTGGCTTAAAAACCTATGTGCAAAGAAAAATCTGACTTGGAAAGGAAAGGGACAGGAGGGGATCAAATGAGAATATGCAACTAAAGTTAGGGCAGCCAAAGAGCAGGGTGAATTAATGTAAGCAAAATGAGAATGAGAAAGGTCTTCTTGAATAGACAAAAAATAAATAAAAAATGGAGGCAAGGGAAACGGGAGGCCAGCTGATGGATGAAGATGATTACAAGATTAAAGATGACTTTGAAGGTTGCTGAGGGATAGCTACATTCCCCTTTCTCCCCCCTCTGCCATCTCTGCTTTAATAAGAGAAGTGAAGAAAATAAACTCAGACAATTAAAAGGCAATAAAGAGTTCTCCAAAAGAGCTTTCGATAAAAAGCAGGGAAGAAAACATGTTATAACTTTGGCTTTCCATTAAGAAATAGCCCTGCTAATCAAAACTAGAAGGCAGTACAGGAAGGAGCTTTCTATAGGAAGATTTAGGTATATCTATAGAATTTAGGGAAATAAACTAGGTAAAATATTAGCCTTTGGAAAAGCTAGAAACACCTAGGTAATAAATGTCAAAAGTAATGTCAATGTTTAGTAGAATAGTGGAATTGATTTGGACAGAGAAGAAAATCTGTAGAAGTATGAAGAATAAACAATTACTATCATTGTTAAATAGCCTGAGTGTTTAGGTATTCAAATTAAGTTATTTAGGTTATGCTTTAACTCTTTTGAGAAAGCTTTTTTTGGGGGACTATATAATACGAGCAGGAAAAGTAAAATGATCTGTCGTACTTCCTTTTATAATACAGTTATGAAAATCAGTCTCGATTGCCATTTTCCAGGCTTGGGGATTTTAGGAATTTGGACAACAAGCCAAGCCCAAGTCTATCTGCACATGTTAGGGCAATAGGCATCTACCTACTTTATGTGACATCCAGGATCTATGAATGTCTCCTGCCCAAAGCTCTTCCCTTCTCCATCTGCCTGGAAACTTAAAATTCCCCAAGTACAGCCTTTGATTGGATAATAAACATCCACTCTGCTTAAATGTAGGGTTGTATTACCTGGGAGGGGTAAAATACAGTGCCCTTAAATACTACTTAAGAGAGGAATTGATTAGGATTGATTTTCTTAAAGAATAAGGATACAAAAGCTTTAAGAAATAATAAAAGCTAACATTTATTAAGTGCCAGGTACCATGCTAATTGATTCACATAAGATTCTCTCATTAATCCTCTGGATGTTCCTTTGAAGGAAGGTACTGATACAATTCCATTTTGCTGATGAGAAAACAAATGCACAAAGAAGTTTAGACAGTTGCCCATGATCAATTTGCCAATGAAGAGTGGAGCTGATATTTAGAAGGATGCAGGGAACTGGGACTATAGAGAAGAGATGAGACCTGTAAAAAACAGAGGGGCTCTAAAGACAAAACACACAAACCCCTCTGCCTTCATCTTTTAAAAGGAGTAAGCTCTGGTTTTCCCACTTTATGGTAAGATAACATAAATCTAAAATTCTGTGGTTCTACAACTCCATTAGGGAGCAAGTTCCTAGGAAAATGAATTAGGAGTTGGGTGTATTCTGGTGAGGGAGGAGGAGATGGAGAAAGTGAGTTTAGAGGCTGGGGCATGGTCTCTGACTTTGGAAAGCCTGGGAGGCCCAGAGCAGCTACAGGGCACCTTGTGGTGGCCTGGCTCCACTCACCCGTTAGGGCCCTAAATATTTTACTGCTTTCTAAATGAAACTCCCTCCCATAAACATAGGAAAGACTCTGTTATCATAATACACATTTACCTGAAACACTCTAAACTATTATCTCTAAGGCCCTGTGCATTTGTAAACCTGTTATCTTGCTGAGGTCCAGAGAGGAGGCAGCTTATGGATATCTGTGTAGGAGCAGAGAGTAGGCTTGTTGGGCAAGATGGGGGACCCAGGTTGGGGATGGGGGCTGGTGGTGAGCCAGGTGTGAAGAAGGGGCTTGATGGGAGACATCAGCAGAGCCTTGATGCTCATGTCCTTCCTGCTTTTGGTAGCTTAGTAAGAATTTAGCTCAGTTGAATTAGCTCAGTGGCAGGATGAATTGACACTAGCTGCTGATCTCTTCAGTCCTAAAGCTCTCGTTGTCATACAGTCAACTAGATATTCCTCAGCCCCCTTTTTCTGTAAATATTTAGAACATCATGGAGTATGTTATTTCTATTGGTGCCCTTTCTACAATATACCTGGCTGTGCTCAACCCAGAAACCCCTATCCAGGAGGCAAACAGATGAGAGCCTGTGTACGCCACTGCTCTGCGCCCATGAGCTTCTCAAAGGAGATCTTATTTTATTTCATATTTATGTCATGTAGCACAAATGATGGTTGTCCTCATGTCTCCTTTGCAGGTCTGGGCAATGGTGAGCCAGGTGAATAGTGCTGGAAAGGGATCATTTAGAATTGAGGAACAGAGTGTTTGGTGGAGAGCAGGCATAGACACCATTTGAAGATGCCTGCAGTTACCAGCTATCATAGCAGGAATCAATCCTGAATTTGTAGAGGGAGTCTGGATGGTGCCCAGGAAGAAATAATCACTGAGTAACCATGAGGCAGAACCAAAGCCAATTCTTGGAAGTTAAAAGTCTAGAAACTCAGGTTAAAGCACATGGGCAATAGGAGTTGGAAAACAGAGATAAGCAGGTGAGGATACATACACAGCACCAGAGGCGAGAAGAAACTAGAAAGCAAATAACCCCCTAGTGTGTGATGTGCATGCACTGACCTATCCAGGAGGACTTCACCGTGTCCAGGGCAGGATTAGACATGGGAAGGCAGGGATTCTTGACCAGGGCTGAGTATATTTACAAAGTGGAGCAGAGGATGGGGAAGCTCATGTCCGGAAAGGTAAAAGAACTAGACAGAAGCAGGGTCATTCAGGCTGACATTGCCAGAAAGGCCAGAAAAAGGTCATGTGGGCTGACCTGGCTGGGCAGGGCCTACATAATCTAGGCTGGACTCTTAGATGTATTGCAGAGAGTCATAGGCACAGAGAACGGGATGTAGTATTATCTAGGGTCAGCTAATGGAGGATTGAAAGGTTAGCAAATTTTCAAGAGAGCAAAGAAGGTTCAAGCCAGATCAACCTGTAAAATACCTCAGGGAGCCTAATTAGACAGGGGTCCCTTGCTGAATGAGGCTGATTCTTATGGCAGCTCCTGAAAACCCAGTTGTTCCTGCTTCAGAGTTTAGTCTAAAGCATTAAAAGATCTCAGCTGGTTAGGGAAGCGCTGTGTTCTTGGGGAGAGGGAGGCACAGGCCGTCGTTTACCTTGACATATCAAAATCTAAATTCTGAGTGAGGGCATGGTCCTAGAGTGGGGTTTTGTTGGGATATTTATTACTGGGGCCTTTTTGGGCCACATGCTGGAAGGGTGGTAGTCATTCTGTAGGGACTCATCTTCTCAGCTTGAGTCTTCTCCTTTAATACATAGTGCCTTTCTATCTTTCTGCAGCAGAAGCAATAATACAGTCACACAAGCCCTGAGGAAAGTAATAATGCTGATTTATTGATTTATTGAGTCCTTTACTTATTCATTCAATGAATGTTGATTAAGAATCTACTAGGGGGTGGGGGACAAGGGGAGAGATAGCATTAGGAGAAATACCTAATATAGATGATGGGTTGATGGGTGCACAAAACCACCATGGCACATGTATACCTATGTAACAAACCTGCACGTTCTGCACATGTATCCAAAACTTAAAGTATTTTTTTAAAAGAATCGTTGAATAGCAAAAAAAAAAAAAAAAAAAAAAAAAAAAAAGAATTTACTAGGTTGATGCTCTGGATACAATGGCGAACTAATTAGACACCATCCCTGTCCTCTGAGTACATTATAGGGAGGTGGGCAAGACAGAGAAGTAAACAGCCATTGTATTAAAGTGTAATTCGTGGTATAACAGAACTATTTATGGGTGCCTGTGGGACTACAGGGAAGAAGTATCTAACCCTGACCTGGAGGGTCAGGGAAGGCTCTAGGGGGTGGTCAGTCTTGGTCTGCAGAACTCCTCCTGAAGGCCTCTCTCCCTCATTCATTCTGGCACAGGATTCTCTACTGCTTTCGAAATGAAACCTCCTCTTGTAAACACAGGAAAGACTGTTATCATCATACACATTTACCTGAAACTCACTAATGTATTATCTCTAAGGCTCTGTGCATTTGTAAACATTTTATCTCTAATTGTGGAATGAAAGATTATTTCCTGTTCAAAGGAATTTCATGCTTCAGCAAATAGATATAATGGGCACTTTTTCTATAATTTTTTTTTTTTTTAAACTGTGAGCAGGTGAGTATGCTGCATGGAAAGTGAACACATAAAGTGTGATTGCAAGAGACTGAGAACCGTTTCTCTATATACTCTAATACACCATCAAAATTAAAAGACCAATCCCACACTGGAAGAAATATTTGCAGCACATGTAATAGATAAAGGGATGCTCTCCTCAATGCATAGAGGCCATTTAAAAATCATTAAAGAAAAAGATAAACAACCATGTAGAAATATTGGCAAAGGACTTAAAAAGACAACGGAGTCCTGTTCATTTAGTCTTTTTACTTGCACAACTTGTACACAAAGTTCAAAATTGTTGTTTTAAAAGCTGGTACCAGCTGGGTGCAGTGGCTCACACCTGTAACCCCAGCACATTGGGAGGCCGAGGCTGGCGGATCACCTGAGGAGGAAAATTCTTCCAAGGATGGTCTCCCACCCAGAGCTGAGGAAGCTTTTCTACTCAGCAGATGCAGTGTGTTTTGATGTTGACAACACCTTCATCAGAGAAGAAGGAATCAGCCATCTGACATTTTGCTATGGAAGTAAATATTACTCTACTAAATGTGAGTAGAAATTAATAGGGGTGGAGCCAAGATGGCCGAATAGGAACAGCTCCAGTCTACAGCTCCCAGCGTGAGTGACGCAGAAGATGGGTGATTTCTGCATTTCCAACTGAGGTACCAGGTTCATCTCACTAGGGAGTGCCGGACGGTGGATGCAGGACAGTGGGTGCAGAGCACCGTGTGTGAGCCGAAGCAGGGCGAGGCATTGCCTCACCTGGGAAATGCAAGGGGTCAGGGAATTCCCTTTCCTAGTCAAAGAAAGGGGTGACAGACGGCACCTGGAAAATCGGGTCACTCCCACCCTAATACTGCGCTCTTCCAACAGGCTTAACAAACGGCACACCAGGAGATTATATCCCGCACCTGGCTCAGAGGGTCCTATGCCCACGGAGGCTTGCTCGTTGCTAGCACAACAGTCTGAGATCAAACCGCAAGGCAGCAGCAAGGCTGGGGGAGGGGCGCCTGCCATTGCTCAGGCCTGAGTAAGTAAACAAAGCAGCCTGGAAGCTCGAACTGGGTGGAGCCCACCACAGCTCAAGGAGGCTTGCCTGCCTCTGTAAGTTCCTCCTCTTGGGGCAGGGCACAGACAAACAAAAGAAGCAATAACCTCTGCAGTCTTAAATGTCCCTGTCTGACAGCTTTGAAGAGAGTAGTGGTTCTCCCAGCATGCAGCTTGAGATCTGAGAATGGGCAGACTGCCTTCTCAAGTGGGTCCCTGAACCCTGAGTAGCCTAACTGGGAGGCACCCCTTAGTAGGGGCAGACTGACACCTCACACAGCCAGGTACTCCTCTGAGACAAAACTTCCAGAGGAACGATCAGGCAGCAGCATTTGCGGTTCACCAATATCTGCTGTTCTGCAGCCACCGCTGCTGATACCCAGGCAAACCGGGTCTGGAGCAGACCTGCAGTAAACTCCAACAGACCTGCAGCTGAGGGTCCTGACTGTTAGAAGGAAAACTAACAAACAGAAAGGACATCCACACCAAAAACCCATCTGTACATCACCATCATCAAAGACCAAAGGTAGATAAAATCGCAAAGGTGGGGAAAAAACAGAGCAGGAAAACTGGAAACTCTAAAAATCAGAGCACCTCTCCTCCTCCAAAGGAACACAGCTCCTCACCAGCAATGGAACAAAGCTGGATGGAGAATGACTTTGACGAGTTGAGAGAAGAAGCCTTCAGAAGATCAACCTACTCTGAGCTAAAGGAGGAAGTTCGAACCAATGGCAAAGGAGTTAAAAACTTTGAAAAAAAATTAGACAAATGGATAACTAGAATAACCAATGCAGAGAAGTGCTTAAAGGACCTGATGGAGCTGAAAACCACAGCACGAGAACTACGTGACGAATGCACAAGCCTCAGTAACCAATGCGATCAACTGGAAGAAAGGGTATCAGTGATGGAAGATGAAATGAATGAAATGAAGCGTGAAGAGAAGTTTAGAGAAAAAAGAATAAAAAGAAACAAAGCCTCCAAGAAATACGGGACTATGTGAAAAGACCAAATCTACATCTAACTGGTGTACCTGAAAGTGACGGGGAGAATGGAACCAAGTTGGTAAACACTGTGCAGGATATTATCCAGGAGAACTTCCCCAATCTAGCAAGGCAGGCCAACATTCAAATTCAGGAAATACAGAAAACGCCAAAAAGATACTCCTGGAGAAGAGCAACTCCAAGACACATAATTGTCAGATTCACCAAAGTTGAAATGAAGGAAAAAATGTTAAGGGCAGCCAGAGAGGAAGGTCGGGTTACCCACAAAGGGAAGCCCATCAGACTAACAGCTGATCTCTCGGCAGAAACCCTACAAGCCAGAAGAGAGTGGGGGCCAATATTCAACATTCTTAAAGAAAAGAATTTTCAACCCAGAATTTCATATCCAGCCAAACTAAGCTTCATAAATGAAGGAGAAATAAAATACTTTACAGACAAGCAAATGCTGAGAGATTTTGTCACCACCAGGCCTGCCCTAAAAGAGCTCCTGAAGGAAGCACTAAACATGGAAAGGAACAACCAGTACCAGCCACTGCAAAAACATGCCAAATTGTAAAGACCATCGAGGCTATGAAGAAACTGCATCAACTAACGAGCAAAATAACCAGCTAACATCATAATGACAGGATCAAATTCACACATAACAATACTAACCTTAAATGTAAATGGGCTAACTGCTCCAATTAAAAGACAAAGACTGGCAAATTGGATAAAGAGTCAAGACCCATCAGTGTGCTGTATTCAGGAAACCCATCTCACGTGCTGAAACACAGATAGGCTCAAAATAAAGGGATGGAGGAAGATCTACCAAGCAAATGGAAAACAAAAAAAAGGCAGGGATTGCAATCCTAGTCTCTAATAAAACAGACTTTAAACCAACAAAGATCAAAAGAGACAAAGAAGGCCATTACATAATGGTAAAGGGATCAATTCAGCAAGAGCTAACTATCCTAGATATATGTGCACCCAATTTCATAAAGCAAGTCCTTAGAGACCTAGAAAGAGATTTAGACTCCCACACAATAATAATGGGAGACTTTAACACCCCACTGTCAACATTAGACAGATCAAGGAGACAGAGAGTTAACAATGATATCCAGGAATTGAACTCAGCTCTGCACCAAGCAGACCTAATAGACATCTACAGAACTCTCCACCCCAAATCAACAGAATATACATTCTTTTCAGCACCACACCACACCTATTCCAAAATTGGCCACATAGTTGGAAGTAGAACACTCCTCAGCAAATATAAAAGAACAGAAATTATACCAAACTGGCTCTCAGACCACAGTGTAATCAAACTAGAACTCAGGATTAAGAAACTCACTCAAAACCACTCAACTACATGGAAACTGAACAACCTGCTCCTGAGTGACTACTGGGTACATAATGAAATGAAGGGAGAAGTAAAGATGTTCTTTGAAACCAACAAGAACAAAGATACAACATACCAGAATCTCTGGGACACATTCAAAGCAGTGTGTAGAGGGAAATTTATAGCACTAAATTGCCCACAAGAGAAAGCAAGAGAAATCTAAAATTGACACCCTAACATCACAATTAAAAGAACTAGAGAAGCGAGAGCAAACACATTCAAAAGCTAGCAGAAGGGAAGAAATAACTAAGATCAGAGCAGAACTGAAGGAATTAGAGACACAAAAAACCCTTCAAAAAATCAATGAATCCAGGAGCTGGTTTTTTGAAAAGATCAACAAAATTGATAGACTGCTAGCAAGACTAATAAAGAAGAAAGGAGAGAAGACTCAAATAGATGCAATAACAAATGACAAAGGGAATATCACCACCCATCCCACAGAAATACAAACTACCATCAGAGAATAGTAAAAACACTTCTATGCAAATAAACGAGAAAATCTAGAAGAAATGGACAAATTCCTCGACACATACACTCTCCCAAGACTAAACCAGGAAGAAGTTGAATCTCCGAATAGACCAATAACGGGCTCTGAAATTGAGGCAATAATTAATAGCTTACCAACCAAAAAAAGTCCAGGACCAGATGGATTCACAGCTGAATTCTACCAGAGGTACAAGGAGGAGCTGGTACCATTCCTTCTGAAACTATTCCAATCAATAGAAAAAGAGGGAATCCTCCCTAACTCATTTTATGAGGCCAGCATCATTCTGATACCAAAGCCTGGCAGAGACACAACAGAAAAAAAGAGAATTTTAGACCAATATCCTTGATGAACACTGATGCAAAAATCCTCAATAAAATACTGGCAAAGCAAATCCAGCAGCACATCAAAAAGCTTATCCACCATGATCAAGTGGGCTTCATCCCTGGGATGCAAGGCTGGTTCAACATATGAAAATCAATAAATATAATCCAGCATATAAACAGAACCAAAGACAAAAACCACATGATTATCTCAATAGATGCAGAAAAGGCCTTTAACAAAATTCAACAACCCTTCATGCTAAAATCTCTCAATAAATTAGGTTTTGATGGGACGTATCTCAAAATAATTACAGCTATCAATGACAAACCCACAGCCTATATCATACTGAATGGACAAAAACTGGAAGCATTCCTTTTGAAAACTGGCACAACACAGGGATGCCCTCTCTTACCACTCCTATTCAACATAGTGTTGGAAGTTCTGGCCAGGGCAATCAGGCAGGAGAAGGAAATAAAGGGTATTCCATTAGGAAAAGAGGAAGTCAAATTGTCCCTGTTTGCAGATGACATGATTGTATATCTAGAAAACCCCATTGTCTCAGCCCAAAATCTCCTTAAGGTGATAAGCAAATTCAGCAAAGTCTCAGGATACAAAATCAATGTGCAAAAATCACAAGCATTCTTATACACCAATAACAGACAAACAGAGAGCCAAATCATGAGTGAACTCCCATTCACAATTGCTTCAAAGAGAATAAAATACCTAGGAATCCAACTTACAAGGGATGTGAAGGACCTCTTCAAGGAGAACTACAAACCACTGCTCAAGGAAATAAAAGAGGATACAAACAAATGGAAGAACATTCCATGCTCATGGATAGGAAGAATCAATATCCTGAAAATGGCCACACAGCCCAAGGTAATTTATAGATTCAATGCCATCCCCATCAAGCTACCAATGACTTTCTTCACAGAATTGGAAAAAACTACTTTAAAGTTCATATGGAACCAAAAAAGAGCCCACATTGCCATGTCAATCCTAAGCCTAAAGAACAAAGCTGGAGGCATCACGCTACCTGACTTCAAACTATACTACAAGGCTACAGTAAACAAAACAGCATGGTACTGGTACCAAAACAGAGATATAGACCAATGGAACAGAACAGAGCCCTCAGAAATAATGCCGCATATCTACAACTATCTGATCTTTGATGAACCTGACAAAAACAAGCAATGGGGAAGGGATTCCCTATTTAATAATTGGTGCTGGGACAACTGGCTAGCCATATGTAGAAAGCTGAAACTGGATCCCTTCCTTACACCTTATACAAAAATTAATTCCAGATGGATTAAAGACTTAAATGTTAGACCTAAAACCATAAAAACCCTAGAAGAAAACCTAGGCAATACCATTCAGGACATAGGCATGGGCAAGGACTTCATGTCTAAAACACCAAAAGCAATGGCAACAAAAGTCACAATTGACAAATGGGATCTTATTAAACTAAAGAGCTTCTGCACAGCAAAAGAAACCACCATCAGAGTGAACAGGCAACCTACAGAATGGGAGAAAATTTTCGCAACCTACTCATCTGACAAAGGGTTAATATCCAGAATCTACAATGAACTCAAACAAATTTACAAGAAAAAAACAAACAACCCCATCAAAAAGTGGGCGAAGGATATGAACAGACACTTCTCAAAAGAAGACATTTATGCAGTCAAAAGACACATGAAAAAATGTTCATCATCACTGGCTATCAGAGAAATGCAAATCAAAACCACAGTGAGATACCATCTCACACCAGTTAGAATGGCAATCATTAAAAAGTCAGGAAACCACAGGTGCTGGAGAGGATGTGGAGAAATAGGAACACTTTTACACTGTTGGTGGGACTGTAAACTAGTTCAAGTATTGTGGAAATCAGTGTGGCGATTCTTCAGGGATCTAGAACTAGAAATACCATTTGACCCAGCCATCCCATTACTGGGTGTATATACCCAAAGGATTATAAATCATGCTGCTATAAAGACACATGCACATGTATGTTTATTGGGGCACTATTCACAATAGCAAAGACTTGGAACCAACCCAAATGTCCAGCAACGATAGACTGGATTAAGAAAATGTGGCACATATACACCATAGATTACTATGCAGCCATAAAAAATGATGAGTTCATGTCTTTTGTAGGGACATGGATGAAGCTGGAAACCATAATTCTCAGCAAACTATCGCAAGGACAAAAAACCAAACACCGCATGTTCTCACTCATAGGTGGGAATTGAACAATGAGAACACATGGACACAGGAAGGGGAACATCACACACCGGGGAGTGTTGTGGGGTGGGAGCAGTGGGGAGGGATAGCATCAGGAGATATACCTAATGCTAAATGACGAGCTAATGGGTGTAGCACACCAACATGGCACATGTATGCATATGTAACAAACCTGCACATTGTGCACATGTATCCTAAAACTTAAAGTATAATAATAATAAAAAAATAAATTAATATTAATGTCCAAAAAAAAAGTTCAAAATTGTTATGGAAAATTTACAAGAAAGTTAACTTGACATATTATAATGATAGACATATTATTGTGTTGCATGATAATTGGACTTAATTTGCATGAAGCCTATAATTAGTATTACTTTTAGGTAGCCAAAGATTAAGTTCTTTTTCTAACTTTTAAAGTTTCTTGGTAATACTAATTATTGTCAAATATGTCAGTTTCCCCTCAACACATGCTCTTACACACAGACGCACACTCTTGTATGCACACACTCACCTTTGCAGGGAAAGTGATAAATGTCATTGCTCAGGTTCCCACACCTCTGCCATCTCTACCTCGTGCCCCCATCTATGACTGCTGCTCCCTCTGTGATCATCTAAGGCTCCACTACATTTGGAGGGATGTTGTTGAGCAATAGAAAGTTTCCAGCACCTTCTCTCCTCTCATATTCCCAGGTCTCCCTTTGATAATGAACCCAAGACAGAGAAGTCTGTGCGTTAAGGGAGTAGAAAACCTTTCTAGAAAGAAAGTGGCAGCTATGTAGAGGGCATTGGTGAACAGGTACAAACTTGTTAGTGCTGGAAGAGAGAGAAAGAGACAGAAGGACTGGAATGGGTAGTGCCAGGGTCTCAAGATGGTAAGAAAGAATCCCAGAAGACCAAGGGAAGGGTAGAGGGCTCAGATACCTCTGACTCCAGACCCATGTGCCACAGTGCAAGACACCAGCAATTCCAGGACTTTTCCCCCTGCAACCATTGCAGAAAAGGATGTCTGAGGGAGCAGGCCAGGTACATTCATCTGAGGACAGCCAGGTGAGAAAGAGAACGGAACTCTCACAGTTCTTTCTGACTCATGTCTTCCACTCTGACCTTTGTCCCTCTGGGCCCACCAAGTCTTAGCCTGATGCTTAGGAGACCTGGGAGTCTCTCTGCCCTGCACATTGCTTAGTTGATGCATGAAATTTCTTTCATGGGAGATAAAATCCTTAATTCCACAATTAAAGATAAGAGGCTTAAAACTGTCTGGGGGAACCAATGCATTCTTATAAAGGTGTTTTTGTCAAGTTGTAAAAGAATTATGGCATCCTCTTCTGTTTTGATGGAGTTCAGAGAAGCAATGAGAAGGCAGAAGATCCCAGAGCCCGAGACTAGAAAGAGGTCATCAGGGTGATTGTTACCCTGGAATCACAATGACTTTTCATGGGTCTGGAACAAGTGGAAATGCCTGAGGCCCAGGGTCCCTCTGGCTCATACTGTGAGAATGATGCTGCTGAGCCCAGCCAGAGCAGTAGGTAAGGAGAGGTGCAGGTGGAAGGTGGTGCTAGGCGGTGCTTACTAACAAGCCCTGGGCCTCCCACCCTCCTGGGAATCCACATACACCTCTCAGGGCAACTAGACGCTCTTACAGTCACAAGATTGTAAGTTAGTCAGAATCTTGTTCTACCTTTGTTTCTTCTTCTCAGCACAGTTGTTGGCCTCTGAATTTTCTTTTCTCTCTTTTTTTTTTTTTTTCTGAGACGGAGTCTCGCTCTGTCACCCAGGCTGGAGTAGAGTGGTGTGATCTCAACTCACTGTAACCTCCGCCTCCTGGGTTCAAGTGATCTCCTGCCTCAGCCTCCCAAGTAGCTGGCAGTACAGGCGCTGACCAGCATGCCCAGCTAATTTTTATATTTTTAGTTGAGCTGGGGTTTTGCCACGTTGGCCAGGCTGGTCTCAAACCCCTTGCTTCAGGTGATCTGCCTGCTTTGGCCTCCCAAAGTGCTAGGATTATAGGCATGAGCCTAGCCTGCATTTTCTTCTGAAGACAGCTGGGCAAGAGTGAACATAGAGCTCTTGGGGGTGTGGAGCCAACTGCTAGATGTAATGGCCAAGATCAGTTTTTCTGTAATGAATGTTGTCCTTCATATAGCTAGCCCCCTCTTTGTTTCGTGGCCCACCCTTGATGTTTTATAGTCCTGTAATTACACAGGGGCTGAAACATTGTTTGGGTATGTGTGAGGACAGGTTATTTTGTCTGTGTAATAGTTGGTACCAATGTTATTAAACAGAAGTGACCAGACTTAAGAAACAAAAATTGGAGAGTTGAAAAGGTTAATGAGAGAGTCATAAGGAAGCTGGTAGACTGCAAACATTGCTTCCCACTGAGATTATTTAGAAATTTGGAACCCATATGAGTCCCTGGAGGGAAAAGGGGATATTACATGCACAGATATTTTATTTATTGTTTTCTCTACAAACAGTAAGTAATAAACAGATGAAACTACAAGGTTATAGAATTGTATTATCTTTTGGCTTTGGCCAAGTAAAACTTTAATTTTCTAAGTAGAGATAACAGACAGCTCCTATTACTCTGAGGCAGGGGAAGGACTGCTGTGAAATCTTCACATAAAGGGATTTGTTCTGGGCTTTAGTGGCTCCCAGGGAATAATGCACAGGGGGCTGAATGATCTAGGGGAGAATGCTATGGATTAAGGGTAAGCTTCCTCCCAGAAGCAGGCCAGTCAGAGTTACAGAGATACCTGCACATGAACTGAATGTTTTGAATTCCAGTAGTAGAGTATGGCTTATTTCCCCTCTCCAGCTCTTCATGCCTAGCCCCTTAGCTCAGATTGAAAGTTCAAAAGGCGGATAGATCAATGCTTGATTTTCTCCTGGCATTCATGTCCTGCAGAGTCTGGGGTCAGCTGATTGTGGCTATGGGGGAGAGGACACTAATGATTATTGTATGTGTAAATCAGGTTGCCCTGAGCCATGTTGCAGTAAAAAACAATCCTAAAAACCCAGTGGTTTGATAACAAAAGTTTATTTCTTGCTCCTGCAAAATTCACTGTGGTTCCAACAACTCTCCAGGTAGCTGCCCTCCATGCAGTGAGTCGTTGATCCAGCTGCTTCAGTCTTTTGGCCCTACCATCTCAACACATGGCCTCTAAACTCTTCACCAAAGGGAAGGAGGGAAGCTGGTGATTCTCACTGAGATTATTTGGACTCAGCTTGGAAGGGACATGCTATTCACATGTCATCCACCAGAAATAGTCACATGATTCTGCTGACTTCAAGGTGGTTAAATATTGTAACCTCCTGTGTGCCCAGAAAGGAAAAGATGACTGCATATTGGTAAGGACTGGTGCTGTCTCCCATAGTGTTCCTCCCATGTGTTGATAATTTTGAAAACAAATAATATTGACTGTTGATATTATTATTACTATTATTCACTCTAGAATACCAGGATTCAATGAAGTTGAGGAACTTGACAGTGAGCCACTGGGTCAATATTCAAAATTGATCTGTTTAACTCCCATACATATGGTGTTTGCTCATTTAATTTTTATCTCAGTGGCAAAGGATTGGGTTAATCATATACATTATCAGCATTCCATTGATGCAAATCAAGCCCCCCCTTTTTTGTTTTTATTTACTTATTTATTCTCTTCCATTTACATTACTCAGGCTCAGCCAACCTCCCTGTATCCCCTTAGGCACCTCCTCAAATATGTTCTATATACATAGTTTCTCTGTGCTCTTGTAAAATGCATGTTCATATTTGAATGGCCTATGCTCTCTCAACCATGACATACCATCTCTCAAACTGCATTAATAATCTCTAGAAAGTCCTTATAAAGATAGTGAAGGGGAGAGGGAAACACTGATCAGGTATGTGTGATCACTCTATACAGCTCAGGTAGAAGTCCCTGACTTCCAGTGTTCCTTGCAGTAGACTAGTGTGTGCATGTGTGTTTCCCTTTTAATAAGGTACCAGTTGCCTCCACCACATGTTTTTGCCCTTGCTAGTCATTATTTATCCTTAGATAGGGCAGTTAATGAGTATCTCAGGACCTCAGTTTTGCCATCTATGAAAAGAAGCCAAGGAGAGCTTCCTTGGACTGTGAAGGGATGTCTTGATGTTTAATTACTTTAGAAGCCAAACTAAAAAGAGACCCAGGATTTCCTTGGAGGCTAGGGCTTTGCAGATATAAACTCTTATCATCCTTATTTTCTTGGTGACAGGTTTATAGCCTGTGGGACTCACTTGGTACCTGTCACTTACCTTCCTCTTGATCCCTTGCTACAGAGCTATATTTGTCACTGCATCTCACGATCAAAAGAATGTATAGAATCATGCTCATGGGAGATGGTGCTGGAAACACATTGTTATCTCCAGGACACCATAGGTACTGGGCTGCCTTTGGAAGAAGCAGGAGGCATTTTAGGAGAGGCTGAAGTCTAGTCTACTTGTGGCCACCCAGTCTACATTGTTTAATTAGCATCTACTGTATGCAGTGGGTGTGCAGTGTATAAAACAGTATTAAGAACTGTGAATATATTTCTTGACATAGAGGGCCTCATTTGATTTATCTTTGCTAGCTGCTGGCTTCTCTGTCAGACTGCCTAAAACAGCACCCTCCAGCACTCTCAGTTGGCTCATTTTTTTTCCCCTTAAATCTTTTATTACCTGCTATCTCATGTATTTGCTTATTTGCTATCTATGTCTCCCTTGCTGACCCTATGACAACAAACAACTAAAATGTAAGCTTCACAAGAGCAGGGACTTCGTTTTATTTACAGTTAATTTCTCAGTGCTTAGCACAGTGCTGGAAACACAGTAGGACACGTTCATTGACCGAATGGCTGGCAGGTACCCTTGAACACTGCCTCGTATGTGTATGTATACTGTGAATGTGTGTCTTTGAGTTGTTATGGTGAAAAGAGGATATATTAAAAAATAACACCCGCATCTTGCTTTTAAGAAATAGCATAGTTAGGGAGAAAAGGCTAAAGCGCATGAGATGAAACTCCACAGTTCTCCCAAGTGATTCTAATTGTATTCACTGTACTGTGCCTTCTAAAATCCCCTTGTGCACTATTTATGAGCAGGCTATTTTTCTTTATTCTCTTTCTTAAATTGAGACACTGCTCTAGCAGTTAATAGCCATGGTATTTCACCTCTGAGTTGTCTGGCGCCCAGTAGTGTGGTGAAGTGATCCCTGTGTTAAGCTTATCGATATCCATTTGGTGCATTTGTCTTCTAGACTGGCTCTTTCTCAGCCTGCCCCAACTATTCTTTAATCCTGTAAGTCATTTTAATCTGAGATGCTCTGCAGATGAAAGTTATACCGCATATGCCACATAAATTAATATTATGATGCTAAGACCATTCCATTTGTCTAGCGATTTGCAATGATTTACTTTTTATGGGTAAAGTTTTATTCAACTCTTAACAGTGAAACATAAAACTGTTATAATTGTAATGAAATCTATAAAAACACAGGGTAGTCTGGGGTAAAATATCTCCATGGGAGATCATGATACCTCTGGGAACAAACTGAAGAATGCTTTCATTTGTTATTCTCAAAGGTACTCCTGGCAAATTCTGGGTGATCCCAGATCAGGGCCCTGAAACAGCCTTGTATATAACTGTGGTTCCTGAACTCCAATCTGAGTCTGTCAAAATTTGAAACTCTCAGTGTTTACAGAGGGCCTAAAAAGGGACATCAAAGAAAGATGAACTTGTTTCTAACCCCTTTGCCAAATATGGAACAGGTTGGGTGCCTCAGCAAGGGTTGCAGTAGGAAACAGATGGCAAAATCAGATTAGGATAACTTGAGAAGATTTTTATTCAAGGTACTATTTTCAAAGTTATGGGTGTAGGAGAACCATATGTGATGGCAGGACTCTGGAGCTGGCGAAGGTGGGGCTCCAGTACCACCCACAGGTCTAAAGGGGCGGGGAGACCAAGTGGTTCCTGAAACCCTGGGACAAAGAGGTCTTCTGGAGAGTTTCACTAGTTAAGATCTTTGGAAACACAGCCAGCCCACAGCCACCTTTCAGGAAGGGAACTGGAGAAATTTCTCCTTCCCTCTGCTCTTTTGCCAGGGTTGCTGATTGGCTAAACTCAGCTGCAAGCCAGAGGACAAATGGACCCATGGATGTTTTCTACTTTGGCCAGACTTGTGGGTCACAGAGAAGTTTGGGGCATAGTGAAGAGTGGATTTAGATGGGCTCAGCAGGGATAGAGAGGTTTCTTTTAAGAAGAGGAGACAGCTGGAGGAAAAGGTCAATGCCAGAATCTCAGCCTTTGCAGAGGTAAAGATAAAACTTCTTCAAGCTCTTATAAAACCCTGGCAATGCATGAGTCCACTGGAACTCTTTTTTTTTTAAGTTTTTTTTCTTTTATTATTATACTTTAAGTTTTAGGGTACATGTGCACATTGTGCAGGTTAGTTAACATATGTATACATGTGCCATGCCAGTAAAACCCAGTTATATAATTTTTGCTTCCTGCCTGGTTTTCTGAATGAGTTATGGCAAGACAGAAGAGAAGGAGAAAGAGAAACAAGAGCCCTGGAAAAGTTGGACTCCAAACCTAAGAGTCAGGCTCTTTTGATATTGCAATAGTCATTGGTGTCACAAATCTGACTGTTAAAGTTTTTACTTTTTTACCTCCTTTAGACTTTAGGATTCTCAACCTTTATTTTGTTATTTGGAGTTAAGGTAAGAAATATTTTGGGGCCATGGAAGGTGTTTATAGTGTTGTCTGTGGCATGAATTATCATTTACTATGTCAATCTTCGTCAGCCACTCGTCAAAATTGTGATTACCTTCCCAGGATCTCAGAAAGGGTTTAGAGGAGTGAGAATAAGCAGGGTAGGGTTGGTGATTCTCAGGGTCTCTAGCCTTGATGCAGAAAGTGGTCCAGAGACCAAACAAGTATGTGAACCATTAATCAAAGTACAAGTTTTCAAACTTTGATTATTTGCAATACATAGATGGTTTTGCCTTGTATGTTTAACTGTCCTGCTTCATCTCCTCATTGTTTATCTCGCCTAAGAATGCCATATGACACATGCACATATGCAATTCCTTTTTTTTTTTTTTCTAAGGTGGAGTTTCACTCTTGTTGCCCAGGCTGGAGTGCAGTGGCGCGGTCTCAGCTCACTGCAACCTCTGCCTCCTGGGTTTAAGAGATTCTCCTGCCTCAGCCTGCAGACTAGCTGGGATTACAGGCATGTGCCACCATGCCCAGCTAATTTTTTTGTATTTTTAGTACAGACGGGTTTCATCATGTTTGCCAGGTTGGTCCAAACTCCTGACCTCCAGTGATCAGCCTCCCAAAGTGATGGGATTACAGGTGTGAGCTACCATGCCTGGCTGCAAATATGCAATTCTTATTTCTTTATTTATTTTTGAAATCTGTTGGTGAATGTTGAGTTACTTATATCTCCTCAGTTAATGATATGTTCTTCCCATTGGTCCGTGTAAGACTGGCTACTCATTCAGTCATTCTCTTTTGTTGCAATTCCTTCCTTATTCCTATAGGCAACCATTCTATAGTTTGGATGTATTATCTTAAAAAGAAAATTATTACTTTTTGTATATATATATATTCAACTTACATATATTATGTACTTATCAACACTGTGTTTTCAGATATATCCATGTTATTATATGTACATGTAGACTATTGCTTTTAACTAATTCCATTCATTTAGGAAAAGAATATCCTATTAATGATATTAACTCCTTAATGAATACCACATTGATGGTTTTTCATCATAGTTTGCATATCCACTCTCTCATTTATGGCTACCTCGATGATCTCCAACTGCCTACTATCTGAAGTCATACTTCAGGTGAATATTTCTGCCCAGTGCTCAAGGGTTTTTATAATTCCATATCATCGCTATCACCTGGCTTTAACCAGCTTTCTAATTCTTGCTGCTTTAATTGATGTAAAGTGATGTCTCATTGTTGCTTTAATTTACAATACTGTGATTACTAATAATTTTGAACATTTCTTCATATATTTCATAGCCATTTAGGTTTCCTTTTCTGTGAATTGCATGTTCCTATTTTTGCTCATTTGCAAATTGATGTTTCTGTATTTTTTTTAAAATGTTGACTTGTAGGAATTTCTTGTATATGCCAGATGATTTTTTTTGTTTGAGGCATAAATATATTCTCCTATTCTTTATTTCTTTATTTACTTTGTTATATCCTTTGTAGAATGAAAAAATATTTAATTTTGAATCAAACCTTTTATGTTTATTTGTTTTACTACTTGTGCTTTGGAATTTTAAGAAGTCTGTCTTCACAGCTAGGCACATAAAGAATTCTCCTACAGTTTTTTTTCTGCTTAACTTTATAAAAATACCTTTTATGTTTAGCTCTTTATTCCATCTACTTTTCAGCTTTGTATGAGGCATTAAATAGATACCCAGTTTCACTTTTCTTCATGTAATGAGCTAGTTTCCCCAGCCCTACTCCCTAAATAACAGTTGTTTCCACTTTGATTTGGGGTGCCATCATTATCCTACATTAAGTCCTCATACATACACGGCTCCCTTTCTGAACTATGGCTGTTCTCAATGGGACAATGCTGTTCCATGGTCCATAATTTGTTCTTGTGCCAATATCACCTTGCTTTCATTACTATGGATTTACTACTATTTTTAAGTGGATCTTTACTTTTCCATATAAAACTTTCAAATGAGTTTATTGAATTCCTCTAAATTCTAACTGATATTTTAAATGAGATTGTATCAAATTTATAAATTAATTTGGAGGAGAAATGACATCTTTATGATATTAAAATCCTATTGACTTTTACAAATTGATCTTGTATCTTCCAAACTTGCTGAATTTTCTTTTTCATCTGGCTGCAAATAATGATAGTTTTATCTCTTTCTTGGAAAACATTATTTCTCTTATGTCTTCCTTTCTTTCCTTATAGTGTTGGCCATGACCTCCAATACCCTATTAAATAGGAATAGTGCTAATGATGACTTCCTTTTCTTGCTGCCGATTTTATAGGGAAAGCACCTGAAATTCTTCATTAAATATAGTGTTGCTATAGGTTTTTGTTATATTACCTTTAAAAAGTTAGAAAAATTGACTACTATATTCCTGCTTTCATAAATATGTTTTTTAAAATCACCATAAATTAGGGGTGATTTGTCAAATACTGTTTTTGCATCAATTGAAAGAATTGTATTTTTGATTACTGTCATAAATTTCATTTGTAAATTTCTCTAATTTTTGAATCCATTTTTAAAATACCAAAATAACCTACACATAATCATTTACTTCACTTTTTCTTATGCAAAATTAAAAATGAATAAAAAGTACAGAGAATAACATGATTATCTCCGATGTGTCTACCACCTAACTTTAACAATTATTAACTCCTGGCCCATCTTGTTTCACCTATTGCTCCTTCTTCACATCCCCCAGACTGGATCATTTGAAAGAAATTCCAGACATTTTATGATTTCATCAAGAAAAACTTCATTATGTATCTCTCAAAGATAAGATCTTTAAAATCACTTAATCACTGTATCATTATGATGCATTTATATTTAATCACTTAGCTGAAACTTTATATAGAATTTTTCATCTCATTTAACATGATGTGGGCCTGTAATTTAAATTTCTTATATTGTTTTTATTTGGTTTTAACGAAAGCATTTATTATTGTTGTCTCAGGAAATTAACCTGGTGGTTCTTGTTTTCTAGTCTCTTGAAAAATTTATATAGTTTAGGAAATAGCTAATCCTTGGAACCTGGCAGAATTCATCTCTAAAACAATCTGAATATGAGGGTTATAACTTTTTTTGAATGGGAGATCTTTAACTCAGATTTTTCTTTTTAAAAGTTTCTGCTGGCTATTTATGTTCTCAATTTCTTCACATTTTGGCACTTTATGTTTTCTATTCTTAGGTCTTCTAGGTCTCAAAGTTATTAGTATGCAGTCATTCACAGTATTTTCTTTTGAATCTTTGTTGATTTCATAATTTGTTTTTCCCCTGTATATTTTATTTATTTGTATGTTTTCTATGATTAGTTTTGCCAGAGTTCTCTTTCTCTTGCTAATCTGTTCAAGGAACCGGCTTGAACAATGAACAATAAACTCTCCCGAGATGTGCAACTCCTTTAATTTTACCTATCTCTTGCAGCACCTCTGCTTTTTATCTCTTACTTGAATGTATCCTTCAAGAGTGTTTTTAGTGTAGATTTTGCATGTTAAACTTCTTGACATCTTGTTTAGTTAAACATGTTTTTATTATGTCCTCATATTTGAAAATCAAATTCTAGGTTTGAAATAATTTTTCCTTCAGTATTTTAAAATTATACTCCATTATCTTTAAAAAGTTTTTCCATTATCATCTTGCTTTCAATGTTCTTGAATAGTCTAGTGATAGCCTCACTCTTATTACTTTATGGGGAACTCTTTTCCCCTCTAAATGGACTGTATTCCTGCTTTTTAAGTATTTTTTCTTTGCTTTAATATTTAAAAATTTTATTATAATGTTAATTAGTGTGGAGTTTTCCTTATCTCCCCTACTTGGTCCTTTAAGAGACTTTTCATTCTAAAATAGTCTATCATTCATTAATTCTGGAATATTTATCTTCGTTATTTCTTTAAATATTTTCTCCTCTCCATCCCATTCCTTCAGAGATCCTTTTAGCTGGACGCCAGTCCTTCTACTTTTATCCTCCAAATCTCTTATCTTGTAAATTTTTCTCTAATTATGCTTTCTGTCTCTGTATTCTTTCTAGCTACTTTTAGGAAGAGTTTCTTATTCTGATCTTCCAATTCACTAAATCCTTCTTTAGCTCTATTCCATCCTGTTATTTATCCCATGTATTGTGTTCTTTATTTCAACTCTACATTTTTGGCATCTAATATTTCACTTAGTTCTTTCTAAGATTTCTTATTCTCGCTTTATTTTACTAGTATCTTCCCACATCTCCTTAAGCATAGTTACCATACTAATGTCATATTCCTTTTTCATTTTATTTGTTCAAATGGTTCTGCTTCAGATGGTATATGATACTCTGTTTTTGTCTTCCTTTACTAGACCCTAGTTTTATTTGGGCTTGTAAGCTCATGTTCTTTTGTGGGTATCCACTACTCTGTCTGGTAATGTTTGCTGGGAAAGGCCAAATTTCAGATTCTAGTCTGTATTTATTTAGGTATTTAAAAAAATGAGAAGGATTGAGCCCCAGAGCATAGAGACAAAGGCAACATAAAAACACTTTGTATCATCCCTTTTTACTGCCTCTCCCCTGGGCAACTCCTCTGGTAAGGGTTTCTCCTTTAAATTAAATTATTGGGGAGAAAGAGCACTAGGATGAGGCAGTCTTCACACATTGTAATTCCCCCAGGAGTGGGAATTTGGAGGAGGAGTGAGTAGGGGTCAGGATACTGAAGGACCAGGCCCACCACTCATAACTGTGCAGATTGTCTCTACTCATGAGTGAGAGGAACGGGTTACAGGCACTGCCATTCACCTCCATTCCCAAGCTGTGCACCCTGGTGTGAGGCTTCACCTACCTGGAGACAGGGTGCCTTTCCTAATGTACGCCGCATGACCATACGCTTTCGTGGTGGCCTTCCAAGAGTTCCTAGTCAGGTGCACCTGCATTCAGCAGCTCCTCATTCCAGCATGCATCTGCATTGACAGGTTTCAGTTTCCCCCAAGAGATTTACATGCTTTCTGTTAGCTTTAGAAATGCATATTTCCCTTCTGCTTCTTATATTCTTAAATTTCATGAAAGGGTCAACAGATTCTAGGTCATCATCTCCATAAAACTCAGAAGCCTAAATTTATATCTTTAAAAACCTTACTTCATGTGACTTTTGCCTTGAAAATAACCTTTTCAACAATTTCCTGAAGACATTTAAGGGAATTGAAAGAGAACTGGGATGTCTCAAATGAGGATTGGTTGGGAATCCTGGAATTAGAGGTAAAGTGGGGGAAGATGAAAGGACACCAACTGTCTAGATGACAGGACTCAGAAACTGCAACTCCATCCCCATCCAATCAATTATTCTCTCTAACATCAAGTTTCATTGTCTATGAACTGGGAGTAGTAATGCATATTCTGTTTCCCTGGCATGGTTGTTGTGCCGTTCAAATGGGATAATATCTATGGAAGACACTCTGTACACCTTTACATGCAGGAAGAAAGAAAGCAGCAATATCTAACATGAACCAAAGAGCATTTGAAATGATATTAGCTCTCATGAGATGGGATGTTCTTTGGCTGGGAAGGTGGTAATCCCTCCCCTTGGTGACCTCAGTGAATTTCAGACAGATCTTCAAAGCAGATCAGGTCTCTGAAGCATAGAGTGGTGAAAATATTCCAAGTTCTCTGACCTCCCTAGGCTGGGGAAGGTTGGCATCAAGGACAGAAGCTTTCAATTGCATTG
The DNA here is from genome assembly GCF_000001405.40 of Homo sapiens. Taxonomy (NCBI): domain Eukaryota; kingdom Metazoa; phylum Chordata; class Mammalia; order Primates; family Hominidae; genus Homo; species Homo sapiens. The sequence goes on along the minus strand of NC_000001.11, from coordinate 177,659,591 downwards.
AACATAGCCTGGACAGGTTCCAAGTGGGTAATTACTTTATGCTTACTTACAATTTCCCCTTCAGCTTCGAAGGGATAAAGCATCCCTCACTCGCTGGACTAACGGGGCTATTCAGTGTTGCTAGGCATATGTTGAACAGCTGCCCCAGTCAGTTACCTCAGCAGACACCACATTTTAGTAATGAAGTCAGGGCTCAAATTGGGCAAGATGGTAGCACATTTCTTTGATTAGTGTGCGGGACAAATGTGGCTTCTCTTTGAACAGAAGGGAGGGCATGTAGCATGTTTTTTCCTTATTCCCTTCAGAGGCAGGTGTAAAGTGAGCAGATTCTTTGAGAGCCAGCTTTGAGAGGTGCTCTGATATGAATCTAATTGAGAAAAATATGTTAATTTTATCATGATCAATAACTATAGCAGTTACTCTTCAATTATGAAAAATACAAGCTTTTGAAAAGTGGAGTGGAAAACAAAATTTCATCGAATGAGTTGTGTCCTCTGCATGTCTTATGTTATAAAACTGACGGTGTGTATAGTCAGAAAAATAACCTTCAATAAGGCAGGGTCTGGGCAATGAGAGATTTCCTGTAACTCCAGATCAGAAATTTATTTTAAGGGGTCTCAAATATGCTGATCCATCTGCCTCTCTACCACCCCTCTTTTACCTACTGCCCAGTTAGCAGTGATTTTGGCCTAGGAACTTAACTTTTCTGAGCCTCGGGTTCTTCCATCTATAAAATAGAGATAATTTTGGTGTCTACCTCACAGGGCTCTTGTGAGGAATAAGGGAGATAATATTCCTAGCACATGAAAATATCTCAATAAATATGAATAATTATTACTATTTTTATTGTTGTGATTACTCATCTTTCAGGTCTCAACTTAAATATCACTTTTTTTTCCAACCACTTCTGCCCCTATTCTAAGACCAGGTTAAGTGAATGGCTTTATGCTTCCCCAGAACATGCTCTACTCTCTATAAAAAGAACTAACTTTTTTTAGTATGTATTAGTTTTTCTGCACTATTGTAATCGTTTTCCATGTATAAATTATTATCTTATTTCAAAATTAAGGGAACTTAGGTGCAGAAAATTTATGTAACTCATAAAGGTTGGGATTTGAATGTAATAATTTGACTGCAAAGCTCATATTCTTAAGTATAGCATTTATCATATTTGAGGGTGATTGTTTATGCAGCGGCCTTTTGTCTGCTAGATAGTAAGCTCTGGGTGGCTAGAAACCCCTTATCCTTTTCAAAACCACTGCCAATGTATGTGTTGTCTTCCTCTCTCCTACACCTATTGATGCCCACAACTTTCTAAGTTTTGTCTCCCCATTTCGCCCCTACAAATAACATCTTTCTCTGTGTTCTTGACTTTTAGTCTGATCTCTATTTTAAAGTCGGTTGAATATTGCCCTTGTGGACACCCTAAATTTGCTCTCATCCTCTGACTGTCTGTCATGCAATGTGCATCAGTCAGAGATTTTGATTGCAAGCAATAGAAACTGTCTCTGACAATTTTAAGCAGAAAGGGCATACACTAGAAGGATCTGAAGAGCTCAGAGAATCAATGAGAATATCAGACCCAGGCTTAGAAAATCAGAAGGAACCAAGGGTTCTCTTATTCCCACTGCAGCCTCCACCAGTTCCCACATCCTTGTTCTATGTGTTCAGTATTCAAAGCCCTGGAATCTGAGTGGCTTAGCTTAGGGCCCAATGCCCATTTTCTAGGATGGCAAGGTATGGGAGGAACAAGGATCTGGCTCCTGTCAGCTTCTGTGATGGAAGATGGTAATAGAAGGGAGGTACTTGGAATCACCCATGCCCAAGACCACATCACACAGGTGGAAGGGTATTTCTTCATGAGGAAAGAGGATAGATACTTGACAGCAAAAAATTGGCAATTTTCTAATGCACATTTTAATTGTTACCTCTGGATCACCCCATCAGTTTGTGTAATTTTTCCTTGTGCCAAGTCTTTTGTTCCTTTTGATCTCTACACCATCCTCCCCTATCGAGGCCTTCCTGGCTCCCTAGGCTGGGCATAGACCTTGAGAATTGGTCAAGAGAATGCCTATGGATGATAACAATGATCCCATCTTACTTAAAGCATGCTGTTCTGGCTCTCCGTGAGCACACCTCCCCTGACTTATTCCCCAATTCCCCCTGAGACATCCTTACAGCCTGCTTCTATGTTACAGACCCTTGACCATGTCAATGCATTTACCTCCCTTTCTACTCCCACTCACTCTTTCAATTTTTAAAACTTGCTGCTTTTCCTTTCTCTCACTGTCATAGCCTATGCCTGCTTTGCAGAAATGTGTTGGTATCAACCTACTGGTTAGCAGTCTTCACTTCTATTTGCTGTTTTGATTAGCTTCACTCCTCCTGGATTTGATTCTAGGCCCGGTTCAGGAGTCTTATGTGGCTTCACTCTGGCCAACCAACTGCCCTGGGATTCCTCATCCAAATCTATCTGGATCTTGCCTTGAGCCTGGATGTTGTTGTTGCTGGTTCAGTCCTTTTGGAATTTCCAGAGCTCATGCTGATGTGGTAGAAGCAGTTAATGTAATCTGACCTCTGTGACTAACTAGAACAGAGGCTCAAGATTTGTCATATTCTTAAGTCCCAGATACCTGTCTGTCCTAATAAATGGCCTACTCTATTTTTTCCTCAAGAACTACTCTTTAGGCTGAACCTCAGCTCTGGTGTAAGATTTTGACTTGTTCCCGCTGTACCAGTCCTGGTTTGGTAACACCTCTTCAGGACTGGAAACCTGTCTTGTGTTAGAGTCCTCACATTGACTTTGAGCTCCGCTGGCTGTTACACAATTCTAAGATGACACCTACTTGTCTATTGATGCCAAAAGCCAGCCATATCTTAAAATGCTGTGGGAAAAAACTGGCTGCAATTGTGAACAGCTCAGTAAGAATATAACGAAACAGGGTTGGATGATGTGCAGTGCCCAGTGAACTGCACTGAGTTAGACCACTGATACCTGTCTCCATTTTGTGTTTGCTCCTTAGCTTCTGTTCCAGGCTTCACTGCTCATCCTGGTCTCTGCCTTTTTGATTGAGTGCTCAGCATTTCTCTCATGTCCCCCAAAATCTGACTCAACACTCCCCTGGGTTTCATTTTTCCTTCTTTCTCCCACTATGCTATCCTCAGATGCACTTGAACATGCCTGTGCCTTCACTGTAAGTGTTCTTCATCAGCCTGCCTGGGAGAAACCAGCTGCATCACAGTGGAAGATTTTATATCAGGTGCCCCTCATATATCTACTCAGAACACAAAGTCATCTGACATAGACCATGTTCCAAGCAAGGACACTTCCTCTAAAGCTTCTCCACTCTCCTTCAGTTTTTGTTGTTGTTGTTGTTGTTTTTACCTTAGCAGTCCTCTTGACCTCTCAGCAAATGGTCTTGCTTTGTGCTTTTCTGAGCCTGTGGAAGTCACCTGGAAGTTTTTGGTTCACTGTCTGCTCCTTCAAAGTTTCTGCCTTCATTCTTCTCTATCTTAGAGTAGTTATCCTTCCTGAAACTTACTCCTGGACCCAATAGTTAGAGTTGGTTCCTGTCTCCTCTTTCAAGATAATGAAAGATGTTCTGCTTTTTCTGGCCATTTTGAATCTCTCTCCCTCTCTGTGGGATTCTTCCCATCTGCTTTTAAATCAGCTTGATCTATTGTCTCCAAAAGAATGGCCCTCTGTTTTCTCCTTGCCAAACTTCTTGAATATGTGGACTCCACCCACGGACTCCATATCCTGGGCTTCCTCACTACTATTTCACTTCGAATACCCTGCAATCTGGCTTCTGTTGTCACCAAATTCTAAAGTTTCTCTCTCAGAGTTCACTGTTAATTGCCAGACAGAAAGACTTATTCTCACATTTTATGTCCTTTATCCTATCAGTAACATTAGTACTGTTAAAATAGCCGATGCTATCTTTCTTGATTGAAATTATTTTCTCTTTTTTATGGCCATCTTATTTTTATTGAATGTTTGCAGTGCTATTTAGCTTTTCTTACATGTTTCTCTCTTCTTTCCAGCTAGACTTTAGTTCCTTGAGGATGGGAGCTGTATATAATAGATACGCATTGTTGTTTCAAGAGCACCTAGTATCATGCTATATACCTAACAGATGTATGATAATATTTTCTAAATGAAGAAATAATGAAGAATTTAGAGTAATTCACTCATGTAGTCATGTATTTATGAAAAAATTCTTATGTCACCTCTCTATAGATTCTGTTATATGCTGTGATGCAGCATCTCAAAAGACATGAATAGTTCCTGCTTTCAGAGAATTTATAGTCCAGTGGGTTTCTGTGCTATAGACCCTTAGTACTTGCCAGAAATATGTTACAGGAAAGGGGTCCCAATCCAGACCCCAAGAGAGGGTTCTTGGATCTCATGCAAGAAAGAATTCAGGGCAGGTCTGCCATGCAAAGTAAAAGTAAGTTTATTAAGAAAGTAAAGTGGTGAAAGAACAGCTACTCCACAGAGTAGGACGTTCCGAAAGTAAGAGGAGGAACACATCCACCCTAGGTACAATGCTTGTATATATGGGGAGTTGTGCTCTGCTATAAGGGTTTGTGATAAAGGATTAATTTTCTTAATTACTATATTTTGCAAGAATCGATATTATTATCTTTAAAGCAAAATTAGGAATGCCTCTGTTCTCCAGGTATTGGGATATCTGGACACTCACAAGTCTGGGTGTGTTTAGTAAACATTATTAATTTGTTCCCCTAACTGTAAACATCTAGAAGCTAGGAATGCCTATGCTTCTGCAAATGCAGCCCAGCAAGTCTCAGCCTCATTTTCTCAGCCCCCACTCAAAAATGGAGTTACTTTGGTTCAACTGCTTCTGACACTATGATGGGGAAGCACTTAACTAGAGGCGTGGAGGTCAGGAAAGGTTTCCTGGAAGAAATATTATATAGGAATTTGCAAGGCAAAGAGAAGGAAAAAGAAGTAGGTGTTCCTGGTAAAGGGAGCAGCATGTTCAAAGACTAGAGAACATGACACCCTTGAGGAACTGACCAAATGAAAATTGGAGCCAGAGAGTAGAGAGAATGAGGGAGATAAAGCAGACAGGTGGGTTGTGTCCAGATTAAAACAGGCATTTGAACTTCTTCCTCCTCTTGAAGTCTTTTACTACTGTGTACTATTTAATCTTTACACTCTTCTGAGTGGTATGTGGCAGCTGTTTTACAAATGGAGAAACTGAGGTTCATAGAGGAAAAACTCACTAAGTCAATAGCAAACTGAAAATATCACTTCCTGATGCAGTTTCCTTTTTTAATTACTACCTTAGCAACAAGAACAAAATGGGCAAGATGTAAAAAAAAATAATAATTAGGCTGGGTGCGATGGCTCATGCCTGTAATCCCAGCACTTTGGGAGGCCAAGGTGGGCGGATCATGAGGTCAGGAGATCGAGATCATCCTGGCTAACACGGTGAAACCCCATCTCTACTAAAAATATAAAAAATTAGCCGGGCGTGGTGGCGGGTGCCTGTAGTCCCAGCTACTCAGGAGGCTGAGGCAGAAGAATGGCATGAACCTGGGAGGCAGAGCTTGCAGTGAGCCGAGATCATGCCACTGCACTCCAGCCTGGCCGACAGTGCGAGACTCCCTCTCAGAAAAAAAAAAAAAAAATCATAATTAAAAAAACCCATCAGAGAGCTGGAGATGCAAAGAAACCTAAGTGAGCTATATTTAAAAAAAGAAGGATTTGGCTGTGTTTATCACTGGAACAATGGTGGGAAAGGGAGGAATTTATTGTAAACAGGAATAATGGGAAACTGAGCTAACTTTCCATGAATTTTAATCATCACATGGGGCTTGTGTGATGGTATCCTTAGTTACAGAACATATCAGTATCACCTGTGGATTCCATCTTGGGTTTTTACTACATACACAGGGAGAGGATGTCAAAGGTGAGGACAGAGCAAGAAAGTGGGGAGAAATTACCCCAAGAAGCATATGGTTTTCCCTAAATGAAAAGCAGGAACCTTCTTCAAGTGCAATATAGTGGCCTAATAAAGGCTGGGAGAGAGCAGGTGAGCTGAACAAATGCCCCAACTAGATGCATAGTACCTTCCCTGGGTATAAGGCAATATTTCATTGAAGGCTAGCATCAGGACAGAAGAATTTATAGAAATCTCTCTAACGCACACTGGTTCTTCTCCAAATGCACTGATGATGCTCTCTGAAGGCTGGAGGAAGAGCAGTAAAGGTAAAGCAAAATCCCTCCTAGGCACATTAGGTCTTTACTGAATCCATTGCTGCATCTTTTTAAAAACTGGAGACAGGATGGCAGGGTGAAGAGAAATCTCTTGAGGTACAGAAAATTACAAGTGGGGTTAGAGAGAAAAGATAACTCCTCCATGATCTGAAATCTGGTGGTCAGGCTGTAGAGAAGAGCTCTCTTATGGTTCAGGACGTTGGTGACAGTGATGCAAAGCACAAAAAGATCCCGAGTCTCCCTGGTGCTCAGACCCCAAGTTATTTTAAAGAAATAGCTCTAATTCTGTCTGCAAAATATCTAAGTCCAATAGTAATCTAAATCTAGTTAAAGCTGCAACAATACCCACCTCAATATAGATTAGATGGAAACAGCCCCTTAGTGGCTTGACGGGGAAAATATGCATGATATTTGGGAAGTATTTACTTTTAAATATCCCCCTCTTTTTCACACACAGTGTCTGGCATAGTAAACAATTATATGTAAAGAAGCAAGAACATGTGACATGCAATCAAGAATAAAAGAGTTTATAGAAATGGGCCCTCAGATGGCCAAAATGTTTAAATTATCTGCCAAAAAAATTTAAAATGACTATGATAAATATTTTAAAGGATATAGTACAAAAGATAAACAAAATTCATGAATACATGGAGAATGTCAAGGAGAAATGGAATCTATAAAAAAGAACCAAGTGAGCATGATAGAAATAAAAAAGAAATAAGAGAAATGAAGAGTTCCTTCAACCAGTGTTTCATTTACCCATTGCTGCATAATGAGATGCCACAAAGAGGGATTTTAAAGAAAAAAAATTCAATTTTTTTCTTATTATTCTGCTATCTGAGCTGGGTTCAGGTGGACAGTTCTGCTCCATGTGCTGTATGCTGGGTCTCAAATAGCCAAGATGCCTTCTTTACTCATTTTTTTGGTGCTCAAAATTGTAGTGCTTTCATTAGTTCAGTTTGCCAGAAGAGTTGGGGGCTGACCAATCACTTTTCATTCATTCTGTGGGGACTTTCCAGTTTCTAACTTTACTCTTCTCAGAAAATGATAGTCTTAGGATAGTTTGGTTTTTGATATATGTTGCCTAGCTTCCAAGAGGGAAGAAATGGAAGCTGCAACTCCTCTTAAGATGTGAACTCATAAGTTCTAGAACATAATTTCTGATGCGTTGTATTGTTTAAAGCAAGTTACAAGTCAAATCCAGATTCCACCAGCATTAACTTTCAGTTTAAAAGAAATGTGGAGGATGGAAGAACCCATTAAATACCACTATAAGGGAAAAATCAGCCAAATTCAGAATATAGAATATTTGAGAGAACAAATGACCCACTTTTACTAACTGGCCTGAGAGATAAGGTAGAAGTGGGGAAAGGAAGGGAGAAGTGTTATAAAACCCAGCAACCAAATGCAATGAATGCAATGTGTAAATCTTACTTAGATCCTGAATAGAACAACCAATTGTAAACTGACATGTTTGAGACAATCAAGGAAATTTGAATATGTTTTTATTATTTGGGGTATTAATAAACACCTGTTAATTTTTGTTAGGTTTAATAATGGTGTAGGGGTTATATATGCATAGATAAATAAAGTATTGGTAATGTAATTATCAATTAGAGAATACTACAAGAAAATTTGGGGGAAGAATGGCATAATGTCTTGGTTTTGCTTTAAAATATTCTGGGAAAAACAAAACAAACAATGCATTTGAGGAGATAGATGAAACAAGATTGGTAAAATGTTGACGATGCCTGAAGGAAAATGGTGGGTTCATCAGGTTCATTTCATTATATTATTCTCTATACCTGAAACATAATAAAACTTTTTATTAATTTTTATATAAACATAGTAAAGGTTAAAAGTTGCATTTGCCTTTCTTGAATAAGAAAATACAACGCACGTATAAAAAGTAGGACTATATTTTCATTTTTCTGAGATTTCAAGACATAGCTGGGGTAATTTGGAGAGGCATTAGCACATGCTACAGCAGGAAGGAGTGGTGCCACACAGACTCTGCTTGGGAACACAGACGTGGAGTTGAATTAAAAGTCACGGCCTGCATACAAACAGTTGGATCATATCAGTGAGGGACTTTATGTTCCCTTTGTGCTTCTGGACTGCCAGTCCCCTCTTTGTGCCAACTGCTCTGTCTCTCACAAGCTAGAGGCTGATTCTTCATTCAGTGAGTTAATTTTAAATGAAATGAAAACCCAAGTCATAATGTTTGGTTCACTACACAGGCAACAGGCACTGTCTGCCTCATTAATGATTAACATGGCAGCTGGTAATGTCTTGCAGCTGGTTGACCAGTTTAATGATGCCAAAATCTGGCTACATCCCTCTCCTGTTCTGACCAGTGCAGGGATCAGCTTTCGTCATAGTGGCTTGAGCTTGGTGCATAAGGACATAGATTATCAACATGAAGAAATAATATTTCTTGTAGTGGGGTCAACTTAAGTGCAAAGACTATAATTATTTTTGCTAGCCCAGACAGAAAGGCTGCAAGACCCATAACGCATTTATCTGGTATTGGAAGAAACAGAATATTTGATACCCTAAGAGGCAAGATTAAGTTCCAGAAAGAGTTAAGGGGCCACTGTTTCTAGAGACTAGCCCTGAAAGGTGATATAGGAGGTACAAGGTAGCCAAGAAAAGAATTAAGAACCTGCTGGGCATAGTGGCTCACATCTGTAATCCCAGCTACTTGAGAGACTGAGGTGGGAGGATCACTTAAGGCCTAGAGTTTGAGACCAGCCTAGGCAACATAGTGAGACCTCTATCTCTAACAATGTTTTTAAAACACAACAACCCCTCCGCCCCATTCTTCCTAGAGTTACATACAGGGCCCAGAACTGAAGGTTAAAGTATGGGGTAGTCAGAAGTTTGGAAATCCAGGCCTAAGTGAGCTGCAACAAGAATACAACGTCCACAACATTGAGGGGTGAATGTCAAACGTGATCTACTTGTATTTCTGCAAAGTTAAACATCTGAGAAGACCTGAACTCAGAAGTGTGAGACGGCAAATGCCTACTTTTGGCTGACTGTGGCTGATTATGACATTGAGAGGCAGAAAGAATGGAATAAAGATGACCAGGTGGGCTTTGAGCTTAATAGCCTGAGTTGAAATCTTAGCCATTCTATTTATTATCTGCGTTGACTTCAAATAGGTTTCTAAACTTCTTGAGATTAAATTTCCTCATGTACAAAATAGAGCATTCAAAGGATCAAATAATTAACATAATGAAGAGTATTAGTATTAATTGGAAAGATTCAAATTTTGGCTTCATTTTTTTCACTATCAGTTATAAAGTGTTTATGTGTACCTCATCTCTTATTTATTTGGAAAGAATCCTGTGATACAGATATTATTTTGATATCACAGGTGAGGAAACCAAGGCTCAGGATCTGCTCTGTGCCAGGAAGTAGCAGAGCTGGGACTAAGCCAGTTCTCCCAACTCCAGGGCAACATCTGCCCCTTGAACCTCTCACTGACTGCTCTGCCACAGGTCACCGATTTTTTAGCCTCTACTAGCCTCAGCTTACTTTTTGCTTTAGCATCCCTGATAGTCTTGACCAGCTCCCCTGGAGTGTTTTGCAGAGCCACTCATAATTTACATCAGCACAGTGTGGTTTGCTAGTAGAAGGTATCACATAAGTAAGAGCAGAGTCCAACATAGGGCCATCTCTGTTCTGGCTGCTTGACTTCCCTGATGTCCCTGATTAAGAGGACACTCTTGATATCCCAGGCTGTGAAGACTTATTTTGAGTTAAGTACTTGTACACTGGATTTGCTTTTATCTGATGCATGTTGTGACTGTGCTCTGTGCCTGTTTTGTGACCTGGGTTTTTCATTTTTCAGTACTTGAGGTTGTAAGGACACCAGAGGAGAATAGATTGTTGGGGATCACACCCTCTCCCATCCATCCCTGCCCCAGCTCTTGTTCACAGGGGCACAGACACGTGCACATGCACATATGTGAGCCTCCGCAGCCTCCCCTCCCTCAAGTTGGATTGAAGCCTCCACAGTACCAGAACAGACACTATTTCACTTGGAAGAAGTGTTCCATTTCTACCCTTCTGAAACCTCGTCAGGGTAAGAAAAACAGAAGCTGTGACTTCTCAATGCCATCTGGTAAGTTAGTTTGAGCATCGGCCCTGTGGTGCATGTCTGTTGTGTGGAAACAGACCGCCCTAGGGTGGAATAGCTGATGCTCCCAGGGGGCTCTCAGGAAAAGGAGGCATTTGTGAGTCCAGCCTCACTAAGGGCAATGCCAGGAATTAGCCATTTTTCCCCTTGAACATCATTGCCCCCTTTCAGATGCACTCATCTTGTGTGAGGCATCTGCGTGCTCACAGCCCCATACCACCTGCCCAGGGGCCTGGCAAAGCCCTGGTTCAGTTAATGAGGAGTTTAATAATCTCTGTGCATGCCAATGTGAGCCCATAACATTTAGCTCCTCTTTATCCAACCCCAGGCAATTTTCCTTCATTTTCACAGCACTGGTAGAACCCAGCTAATCGCAAGTCCCTGCAAGGAACTACATTATCAGATGAGACCCAACACATTCAGGGAGATATCGCCATAGAAGAAACACATTATCAAAGTAAACACTGAGAATGAAGAGAGCCATCCTGTATGCTTCCTTCAGCAGGATTGAAGCTCACTGTACAACATTTAGAGCTGAATGATAAACTAAACAAGTTCCAGTCTAGGAGGAGACAGCAACATCTGCCAGCAATGTTGGAAAGATGGCAGTATGTGGTCACTTCATATGGCCCAAGTGCCCTGGGGCTGAGAATGGAGAAGAGAGGAGGCTATGTAAGGCCAGACATCCCTCTCTATCACTGGGCCTTGACATCACACCTAAACAAGGGTTTGGGTGGCTCTGCAAACTCATCCAAATATGCTTTTGTATTCTTCCTCCAGTCCTATTGTGGGTTAGTGCTGCAAGTCTAGAGCTCCGGCTTATGATGCTCTGGCACCCAGATGGCTGGCAGTGGCTGACCTAATTTATCACTGCTAAGAGATGCTTTAGATAGCATGGTGGCTTTGTTATGTGTGAACTTGGGTAGGTGAACTATGTGTCCCAGAATTCCCTTCCCTGTATGTTTCCTATATGGGTAAGCCACAAGTAAGTCTCTTGTGTGAGATTTGGAGGGTGAACATGAGGCAGCAGCCATTTTGCAGCCCACACACATTGTTGATGATCTGCTGATTCACCTCATCAGCATGAAGCAGCAATTGGGCTTGCAATTTCTCTACCTTCTGTTTTCCAGCTTCTCTTGACTCTTAGGCTAGGTAGGTGCATTTGGCTCCATTTGATTACTGCAAGAAAGCCATATCACCAAGGTTACAGGTAACAAGAGACGGCAGGCATTCCAGACTGTTCTCGTGGCTGTAGGTTCTCCTTTGTTCTTACTTTCCCCACCTTCCTGACTGCCTGCCCTGTGGTCTTCAAGCGCCATAACATCTATACAGAGCCTGCTTGACCAGGTCGCACAATTGCATAAAGTCAAATCTGTATACTAAGTCTATCCATCTGTCCATCTATCTGTCTGTCAGCCTGCTTATCTATGTATCTGCCTATCAAAATCTCCTAGTGGCTCTGCTTTTCTAACTGAATGCTGACCACAGATTGCGATAGAAAAATGAGCCCCATGAATCCCCCAAGGTGGAATCCTCTTAAGACTGCTGCCTGGGCATTTGAGGGCAGTGCATTCATGGCTAGATACACTCCAACATGTTTTCCTACTTTCAGTTCTGGGAATGGTCCCTGTCCCTTAAATATTTATTCTGTACACATAGGAGGTCATGTTTGCTGTGTGGGTAACTGTATTAGCATTTCAAAGGCTTCTTCCAGCCACCTATCAAGTTTTCCCCACCACTCTACACCTTTTCTTCCTTCTCATCCCTGCTCCTCCTTCTGCCCTTGAATATTTGGGAAATTTGAGACTGGCTGGCCTTGAGTCATCTTAAGCCTAATAGACCAACTTCTCTGTGGGAGCCAGATAGTCAGGGGGACTTCAAGGAAAGGGCCCAGCTGGGAAATTAGTGCAGCAGATCCTGACAGCAGCCCTGCAGTGCAGGACAAACAGATGAAGAAAGGAACATAATTTGCTTTCTCTTACTGCAGTGTGGGAGCATCATAGACCTGTCACTCAGTTCAAGATCAGAGAAAGTTCCAAACAAGAAGCCAGCTTGGTCCAACTGCTTCTCCCTGCCCCCCTCTGCTGACTGCTGGGAGCTATGTGGGAAATTCAGGCTGGCACTCCTTGCTGCCATCCCAGGCAGCAGAAACTGGGCTCCCCCTACTCGTCACAAAAGACAGAGCCTGGAAACACTAGTACCTCTGACTAATTTGCCTTAAGTCACTTGTCATAGGATGTATAATGTGTTTTGCATTATGAGGTTTGATGGGCAGGTTGATGCCTCCTGGTAATTTCTCAGCACAAAATAATGACAGTGTGAATGAAGTTCAATGGTTACTATTTCTTCCCAACTCTTAGTTACTGTTTTACACCAGCGTATTACTTCCCCTAGTTAAAATTGGTAGCAGAAACAGAAGGGGTGAAAAACCACCGAGGGGACTATTCTTTCAGTGTTCATAGCAGGTGTCTCTATTAGGTTTTTCCTAAGAGCCACATCCAGGTGGATCAAATTAGTTAAGAGGGCTGTGAGTTCATTTGCATGTGGTCTGGATATCATTTCTGAGTACCCGAACAGTGCTGGTGTTTTTCAGGCAATTCCAACTTTAAATTGCGTTGCCCCCCATGAGAATTCACATGATCATGTACATGGAAGAAACTTAAAGTTGGTGAGAGAGAGAGGAGAGACCTACTTGGAAGAAATGCTGTGCTTTTGTGCCTTGGAGTCTGTTAAAGTAGGAGACAGGGTGAGAAGGGAAGCTGGAAGTAGTGGAAGCCTACTCCTGAAGGATTTTCTCATCTAAAATATTAATAATGATGAAAGTGATGTTACGTTATTAATGATGATGATGATGACACTAATAATCACTTGGGTCTGGCATGTCATAAAGTCCCTCTATGACCTCCCTCTCCAGGCCCAAAATACACTCGGGATTCATTCATTTGATCTCTATGTAGATTTAAATACTAGTTTAATTCACAGATACACAATCTACATGGACAAATAAGTAACTGAAGTCTGTTGTTGCATAATATTGCAGAGTAAAACAATACTTGCATTCAAAAGATTCTTCTAGTACCCTGTAGGGAAAAGCCCAGGCTTTCCCCTGAAATCCCTCCACTCACTGGTCCTCACTCTTTCCATCCATTCTTCCTTGCTACCATCAGATTCAGGGTCTGTTGAGAGGTTTATTTTTCTTGCCAACAGCCTGCGGGCTTCAAAACACAAGCTCACTCTTTCCTTTGGCTGAGTTAAAAGAACATCTCCATCTGATTTCCTTAGGGACTTGGTATAGTTTCCTCTAACTTTTTCTCCTCTTTTCCCTCTCTCTGCCTCTGTCTTTTTTCTGGGTCTGCCTTCCCTTCCTGTTTCAGTTTCTCTTCCCCCCACACTGCTCCCCCTTCTGCACTTTGCACAAAATGACCAGCACTCCATCCAAGCAGAAAGGCAGTGCTGGCGGTGGCAGCAGCAGAGGGATGGCAAGGCTATGGCCGACACTGAGATGAACAGGTCTGCGGGAGGGGTGTGTGCCACACTCAGGAAGCTGAGCCCTGTGATGATGGGCGCAGAATCTTGCGATTACACACTCCATAAAACCTGCCCTGCTGCAGCTGGATTCCATGCCAGGAAGATTGAGTTAATTTTGTTAAGTCCCTTAAAGAAGGAATGAGTGGCAGCTATTGAAGCTGTAGGAGATTTGTTGGAGTAAAACGGGGCTGGGCTGCCTGGCTTGGATGAAGGGCAGGAAGGGCCAATTGTTCAGATCTGCATGAAGGCCTGGGCATGGAAGGGGCATGAAAACCATGATACCAGAGTGCAGTGGGATTAATTGACCAGCCTTTCAGTATCAGAGTGAAGCTGGCTTTATAGCAGACTCCAGGGATTCAAACAATCATTTTGTAGTTTTGTGTTTGAGCTTCTTAAAGGAACAAATAAACACAAGTCAAAGTGCTTTCTATACCCCACACAGTATTCAACTGATCCTGTGTTTTGTCCCACCTCTGAGCTGAGGATGGGTGTGGCAGGTGTCACAAATTCTGGATCAACCCATTAGAACCCATGTTCAGTTCCTGTGAGCTCATCTCTAGTCCAGATCAATCCTTCTATCCCCCAGAGGAGTAGAAATTATTGGCAACCTCATTTTACTGATAGGCAAAGCCACCAATGAGCAAAAGGGCTATTTGCAGCTCCTCAGTAGCACAGGCCCCTTCCAAGGCTCTGGGAAGGAACCTAGTAGTATATTCAAATAATTATACATTTTGGATATTAAGTTGTCTTTACTACAGATGGTTAAGATCACTATCTCTTTCAACTCCAAGTTCCCCTCTGTCTTACTTTCCCTTGAGTGGGGAGACATCACAATGTCTATGGGCATTTTGGAATGCAGCTAAGGGGAAGCTGGAGTGAGATCTATTTGGTTTGAGCTTAGTAGATAGGTAAATCTAGGTCACCATCACTTCCATGCCTGGTTATTACCAGCTGCCTCCATATAGGAATAGCGTCCAGGAATAATTCTGCCACCTGCTGTACCAACTCACCAGCCCCCACAGTGTAGGGCTGGAAGTCATATCACCATAGGAAGGTGTCCTGTGACGCTGGTGCAGGATTTATGTGCTTAGTAGAGAAGAAACAAGTTTTGAAATGTACAGAGTTTAGAAGTTAGTCTGTGGAAAATTCTTTTAAATCTTATAGCTTACAAATGAGAAAAACAGAAGTTATTCCAAATTTATCAACAATCCTAAAAATTTACATGACATAACTAATTACAAGTTGTGAAGCTGAAACCTTCCTAAATTATCTATAATAATAAAAAAAGACTACCGATTATGCTAAAGACTAAATTGTCTTTCTAGTCTCTCTACAGAAACTTATACAATCATTATCATCTGAAGAGGTGATTATGCATTCGATAATGCAGGCAAAAAGAAGTGATGTAGGGATATACCAGGCAATTAGTAAAAGTATTAGGTGATTTAAAAATTTTGGTATATGTGATATTTGTCAGCTTTAAAAAATGTATAATTCATTGTGATTTATTTTCTTATTCTAAATGAATATTCACTTTTATGCTGAATTTTGAATTTGTAATTTTGTGTTCTTTTCTAAAAGAGAAATTCCCAAATTATGTAAGTGTCAGGCTTTGTAAATCCTGAATCTGTCCCTGGGGGTGTGGCTTGTCCTTGGTTATCCAGGATCCTGGTGTCTCTCCTGACTTTCCAGAGCAGAACTCTGCCTGCCTGACTGTAAACCTGGAGCTCAAGCTACAGGCAGATCCAATGAATGAATTTTTCCCTTCCCTCAGTCATTTGTTTAAACTCTTCATACAGAGAACTAATATCCCCTGGAGTATCTTGCCTTTCCAAAGGCTTAAATTTTTTTTTTATTCAGAAGAAAAGCCATGTGAAATTTAATGGAAAGATCCCTGATGTAATCTGATTATAGTTGAAAACTGGATACTACCTAATAGTGTGAATTTGACTAAGTCAAAAATCTTTTTTTAACCCCAATTTCCTCATCTCTCACCTGGGCATAGTTATGATGGTCCAGTTTCTCTTATAGGGTTATGGTGGGTATGACTGGGATTAAAACAGAGGTTAAAGTTTCTGAAAAGTACAGAGAACTTTGCAAACAGAAGGGATTATGTTTTATTTATAAAGTCAAAGCAACAATCTAAATTTGAGATTTTAGGTACTGAGACTGGGATTCCAAGTGAGTGAATATTTTCTGTATTTGTCCTTCTGACAATTACAACTACTTTGTGTTTTATAGGCCTGGTACAAAAAGCCATGTGGCACCTTGATTGTGGCATGTATGATGGGGCAGGCACCCATATCTTTTAGGTGTTGGAGGTTATTAAAGGATTTGGTGTATAAGAGGGGGCTTAATCCAATTCATATTCTCAAGGACTGCTCCTTCAAGATGGGCTCCTCCTTGTGCACTGAATCTTCTGATGCTTCTAACTGACTTGAAAGTATCTTGTCTCTCCTTGGAAATGTCACTTAGCCCTTTTCAAGTGTACTTGCAGGCAACTAGGATCAATACATCACTTAGGTTAAACATATTAGATAGTGATTGACAGCCCAAATGAGTATAGCTTCAGCTGCTAGCATCAGTTCTGAGCTTAGGACCTGTTGAAACCCATTCAAATCTATGAGTAGATATCCATGGCCTAGGAAGCAATGTCTTAAGAAGAGGTGTAGCCTGGAGGCAGACACAGTGGAGTTTATCACAGCTAGCCTCCAAGTTTAAGCTGGTCAGAGGGCTTCAAATTCAAAGTCATTTCCAATTAAATAGTTATTTTCTGGGCACATATTTTGTTCAGACATTGTGTTGTACATGATGGGATATAACAAAGATCAAGCTTGTCCCTCCCCATAATCAGCTTACAGGATTGCTGGGGGGTCAAACACATATACGACATACTCATATCAATTAGGCTAGTGGCTGTTAACAGCAGTAGAAAAAATCTTTCAACATTCAAGGGGGGATAAATAATGTCCTATTTATTTGGCCTTCAATTTTCTTTATTTGAACAGTGGGAAAAACTTCAGTAAAAAGAGACTTGAGTTAAAAAAATGCAAAGTTAACCCTTACACCAGCTCTGTCCACAAATGGCTTGTTTTTCCTTCTCTTTAACCATCTGGCACCATTTCCCGTAATGTGTTAATCGCTGTATCTGGCCCTGCTTAAAGAATATTCATTCCCTGACTTCAAGGAGATCATGGTCTAGTGCTGTGGTCTTTCATATATGCAGACTGTACTGCTGGCTCTCATGGTAGGACTTGTCCTGCTATGCAGGACAGTGAAGAAGGGGTCGTATATGTGGACCTGGGCTACCACAGCCTGACCCTTATGGGAACTGAACCAGCATCCTTAGCTTCATTTGTTGTGGCCCAGCCATCTGCCAAACCACGGTCTCCTGCAGCGTTCTGCTATTCCTGGGGCTTTTGTCATAAGTTGAGGGGAAGTAAAATGTAGAAACACAGATAAGAAGGTATCTTATATGTGCAGATACGATGAGGAAGAGTAGAGAGTGAGTCATGGACTTGGAGTTAGAAGACCTAGGTTCTACTCCCACCTCAGCCACCATGAGCTACTGCTTTCCTGCTTGCTCTCAACTCTTCCAACACATACTCAATCAGGTTGGAGTGTGTGCATGTGTGTGTATTTCCAGACATTATTACTTTTACCTGCAAGTCAAAAGCTGGGCTCTCTCTAGACAAACTCAAGAGGGTTTGGGCAGTAATGGCAGTGAGCCTAGGACAGGCTGCCTCAGTAGCAGTTCTTTACTTGCTCCCAGTGCCTAACCTCCTCTGTGCTCCTCTCTGTCTGGCCCTGCTGCCTTAATTCTGATTCCTATGAGTCTCTTCTTGGCTGACAGCATGGCATGTCTGGCCCACTTTTGGCAGCTCCAGCCACTCTCCTCCTTACTATTTATGTGAACCCTCTGTGTTGCTAGGCTTCTGGTTTCTCTGATGCCTGGATTTGCTGTAAGTTAATGCCCAAAGGTGACTCTTTCCATGTAGATCATGGAACAAGAAACACCCTGAGATGGGAGATCCTGAAATTCACTGGGAGGCCAAGGGACACTTGAATAGGCATTGGTTAAAGGAGCTAATGAGTGTAAAATCCTTAGCATGGTCCTTTCAAGTAGTACTCTCCCAATTAGTCCTGTATTATTATTGATGTAGTAGTAATAACAGTTGTTTATTATCATCATGATGATCATTATTTAACACCTGTTACCCAGTCTTTACTCTGTGAAAGACAGGCACCTAGAGCAGTACTCTGTGAATTTTAATTGCATACAAATCTCCTGAGGATCTTGTTAAAATGATGATTTTTGTTTAGAAGCTCTGAGCTTTTGAATTTTTAGCAAGCTCTCAGGTGATGCTGATATTCCTGATCCGTGGACCATATTTTGAGTAGCAAAGACCTAGGAGAACTTTAAAAGGGCAGAAGAAGACTAAGTGTGGGATCCTAAGGAAAGAGGATAGGATTGGGATGTTCAGTCTCTGAGTACCTCTGAAGTCAGGAACACATACAGGGGACAGTGCTGTTGGAGACTTCATAAGTTCCCAAGTTTATAATTTTTGTAATTATGGTTAACATCTGCTTTTCTGTGGAAATAACAGAGAAACTGATTAAATGAAAAGGGCACAGGGTATGGATACCACCTGTGTACCTGAACATTGGTTATCAATGACTTCTGTGAGGTTACAGTAGAGCTGACTGACAAACCAGCCCCAGGCATCCCAGGTCATCTGTGCCACTGGGTAAGAGGGAGCACACAGATATGGGAGAGGAGCTTGCATAGAGCACACATTCAGATATGGCTGGGTCAGCAGGCCAGCTCAAAGGTTGTTTTTTTGTATGAGGCCCATGTCATCTTCTATTTATTGAGGGTTTCTCAGCCCTAGCAGAGAATTTACATACTGTTCTTTTTAGTTCCCAAGGAAAACCTTACAAGGTATATATTAGAGTTGGAATCTCCAGGGGAAATAGTCAGGCAAGCCTCCCAAGCCACACAAATTCCACAGACAGAAAATGTCCTGGTTTCCCTACTAGAGACAGCAGTTGGGTGCTGATAGTGGTCTTTCTGCTGACCAGTATGCATGGCTTTAAAACATCATCAGAGCCTCAGGATCATAGCTTTGGCAGAATAGCAAAAAATAAAATCAACTTGTTTGCTAAAGCTAAATTCTTGCTTCAGAATTAGCTTCTTGGCATCTCCTAATATGAAGATGAGCTGCACATCCAGGACTAGGTGACCTCTTTTGAGCAAGGCAGTCAAATCTCACCATGCCAGAACCCTTGGCCAAGGATCCAGAAGATGGACATTGGGGAGGCATCCCCATCAAGCTCAAGGGTACAAAAGTTCAAGTGGCTATACCTGCCACTTGACACATTCCCAAATGTCCTTGGGCATAAAGGCATGAAGCCAGAAATGAGATCATAAATGATGAAAATTAAGTGTGCTGTGCTTTGAGATAGTTTTTCTCAGGAAAGGAAGGGAGAAAGTGATGCTATTATATGCCAGCAAACTGAGACTTTCCGTTTTGGTTATTTTAAATAGCTTATCCTGAGATGGAAGGGACAATTCATGAAAAGTCAACATGAGAGGATTACCTAGACTTTCATCATGTAGTCAAGACAGGACATACTCTAATTTGTTCATTATGTATCTACAGTGGCCCTAAATGAAATGCTCAATTTTTTTTTTTTTTTTTTTTTTTTTTTACTATTCTCTCTTTTTTTTATTATACTTTAAGTTTTAGGGTACATGTGCACATTGTGCAGGTTAGTTACATATGTATACATGTGCCATGCTGGTACGCTGCACCCACTAACTCGTCATCTAGCATTAGGTATATCTCCCGATGCTATCCCTCCCCCCCAACCCCCCACCCCACAACAGTCCCCAGAGTGTGATATTCCCCTTCCTGTGTCCATGTGATCTCATTGTTCAATTCCCACCTATGAGTGAGAATATGCGGTGTTTGGTTTTTTGTTCTTGCGATAGTTTACTGAGAATGATGATTTCCAATTTCATCCATGTCCCTACAAAGGACATGAACTCATCATTTTTATGGCTACATAGTATTCCATGGTGTATATGTGCCACATTTTCTTAATCCAGTCTATCATTGTTGGACATTTGGGTTGGTTCCAAGTCTTTGCTATTGTGAATAATACCGCAATAAACATACGTGTGCATGTGTCTTTATAGCAGCATGATTTATAGTCCTTTGGGTATATACCCAGTAATGGGATGGCTGGGTCAAATGGTATTTCCAGTTCTAGATCCCTGAGGAATCGCCACACTGACTTCCACAATGGTTGAACTAGTTTACAGTCCCACCAACAGTGTAAAAGTGTTCCTATTTCTCCACATCCTCTCCAGCACCTGTTGTTTCCTGACTTTTTAATGATTGCCATTCTAACTGGTGTGAGATGGTATCTCATTGTGGTTTTGATTTGCATTTCTCTGATGGCCAGTGATGATGAGCATTTTTTCATGTGTTTTTTGGCTGCATAAATGTCTTCTTTTGAGAAGTGTCTGTTCATATCCTTCGCCCACTTTTTGATGGGGTTATTTGTTTTTTTCTTGTAAATTTGTTTGAGTTCATTGTAGATTCTGGATATTAGCCCTTTGTCAGATGAGTAGGTTGCGAAAATTTTCTCCCATTTTGTAGGTTGCCTGTTCACTCTGATGGTAGTTTCTTTTGCTGTGCAGAAGCTCTTTAGTTTAATTAGATCCCATTTGTCAATTTTGTCTTTTGTTGCCATTGCTTTTGGTGTTTTAGACATGAAGTCCTTGCCCATGCCTATGTCCTGAATGGTAATGCCTAGGTTTTCTTCTAGGGTTTTTATGGTTTTAGGTCTAACGTTTAAGTCTTTAATCCATCTTGAATTGATTTTTGTATAAGGTGTAAGGAAGGGATCCAGTTTCAGCTTTCTACATATGGCTAGCCAGTTTTCCCAGCACCATTTATTAAATAGGGAATCCTTTCCCCATTGCTTGTTTTTCTCAGGTTTGTCAAAGATCAGATAGTTGTAGATATGCGGCGTTATTTCTGAGGGCTCTGTTCTGTTCCATTGATCTATATCTCTGTTTTGGTACCAGTACCATGCTGTTTTGGTTACTGTAGCCTTGTAGTATAGTTTGAAGTCAGGTAGTGTGATGCCTCCAGCTTTGTTCTTTTGGCTTAGGATTGACTTGGCGATGCGGGCTCTTTTTTGGTTCCATATGAACTTTAAAGTAGTTTTCTCCAATTGTGTGAAGAAAGTCACTGGTAGCTTGATGGGGATGGCATTGAATCTATAAATTACCTTGGGCAATATGGCCATTTTCACAATATTGATTCTTCCTACCCATGAGCATGGAATGTTCTTCCATTTGTTTGTATCCTCTTTTATTTCATCGAGCAGTGGTTTGTAGTTCTCCTTGAAGAGGTCCTTCACATCCCTTGTAAGTTGGATTCCTAGGTATTTTATTCTCTTTGAAGCAATTGTGAATGGGAGTTCACTCATGATTTGGCTCTCTGTTTGTCTGTTATTGGTGTATAAGAATGCTTGTGATTTTTGTACATTGATTTTGTATCCTGAGACTTTGCTGAAGTTGCTTATCAGCTTATGGAGATTTTGGGCTGAGACAATGGGGTTTTCTAGATATACAATCATGTCATATGCAAACAGGGACAATTTGACTTCCTCTTTTCCTAACTGAATACCCTTTATTTCCTTCTCCTGCCTAATTGCCCTGGCCAGAACTTCCAACACTATGTTGAATAGGAGTGGTGAGAGAGGGCATCCCTCTCTTGTGCCAGTTTTCAAAAGGAATGCTTCCAGTTTTTGCCCATTCAGTATGATATTGGCTGTGGGTTTGTCATAGATAGCTCTTATTATTTTGAAATACGTCCCATCAGTACCTAATTTATTGAGAGTTTTTAGCATGAAGGGTTGTTGAATTTTGTCAAAGGCTTTTTCTGCATCTATTGAGATAATCATGTGGTTTTTGTCTTTGGCTCTGTTTATATGCTGGATTACATTTATTGATTTGCATATATTGAACCAGCCTTGCATCCCAGGGATGAAGCCCACTTGATCATGGTGGATAAGCTTTTTGATGTGCTGCTGGATTCGTTTTGCCAGTATTTTATTGAGGATTTTTGCATCAATGTTCATCAAGGATATTGGTCTAAAATTCTCTTTTTTTGTTGTGTCTCTGCCAGGCTTTGGTATCAGAATGATGCTGGCCTCATAAAATGAGTTAGGGAGGATTCCCTCTTTTTCTATTGATTGGAATAGTTTCAGAAGGCATGGTACCAGTTCCTCCTTGTACCTCTGGTAGAATTCGGCTGTGAATCCATCTGGTCCTGGACTCTTTTTGGTTGGTAAGCTATTGATTATTGCCACAATTTCAGATCCTGTTATTGGTCTATTCAGGGATTCAACTTCTTCCTGGTTTAGTCTTGGGAGACTGTATGTGTCGAGGAATTTATCCATTTCTTCTAGATTTTCTGGTTTATTTGCGTAGAGGTGTTTGTAGTATTCCCTGATGGTAGTTTGTATTTCTGTGGGATCGGTGGTGATATCCCCTTTATCATTTTTTATTATGTCTATTTGATTCTTCTCTCTTTTTTTCTTTATTAGTCTTGCTAGCGGTCTATCTATTTTGTTGATCCTTTCAAAAAACCAGCTCCTGGATTCATTAATTTTTTGAAGGGTTTTTTGTGTCTCTATTTCCTTCAGTTCTGCTCTGATTTTAGTTATTTCTTGCCTTCTGCTAGCTTTTGAATGTGTTTGCTCTTGCTTTTCTAGTTCTTTTAATTGTGATGTAAGGGTGTCAATTTTGGATCTTTCCTGCTTTCTCTTGTGGGCATTTAGTGCTATAAATTTCCCTCTACACACTGCTTTGAATGCGTCCCAGAGATTCTGGTATGTTGTGTCTTTGTTCTCGTTGGTTTCAAAGAACATCTTTATTTCTGCCTTCATTTCGTTATGTACCCAGTAGTCATTCAGGAGCAGGTTGTTCAGTTTCCATGTAGTTGAGTGGTTTTGAGTGAGATTCTTAATCCTGAGTTCTAGTTTGATTGCACTGTGGTCTGAGACATAGTTTGTTATAATTTCTGTTCTTTTACATTTGCTGAGGAAAGCTTTACTTCCCAGTATGTGGTCAATTTTGGAATAGGTGTGGTGTGGTGCTGAAAAAAATGTATATTCTGTTGATTTGGGATGGAGAGTTCTGTAGATGTCTATTAGGTCCACTTGGTGCAGAGCTGAGTTCAATTCCTGGGTATCCTTGTTGACTTTCTGTCTCGTTGATCTGTCTAATGTTGACAGTGGGGTGTTAAAGTCTCCCATTATTAATGTGTGGGAATCTAAGTCTCTTTGTAGGTCACTCAGGACTTGCTTTATGAATCTTGGTGCTCCTGTATTGGGTGCATATATATTTAGGATAGTTAGCTCTTCTTGTTGAATTGATCCCTTTAGCATTATGTAATGGCCTTCTTTGTCTCTTTTGATCTTTGTTGGTTTAAAGTCTGTTTTATCAGAGACAAGGATTGCAACTCCTGCCTTTTTTTGTTTTCCATTTGCTTGGTAGATCTTCCTCCATCCTTTTATTTTGAGCCTATGTGTGTCTCTGCACGTGAGATGGGTTTCCTGAATACAGCACACTGATGGATCTTGACTCTTTATCCAATTTGCCAGTCTGTGTCTTTTAATTGGAGCATTTAGTCCATTTACATTTAAAGTTAATATTGTTATGTGTGAATTTGATCCTGTCATTATGATGTTAGCTGGTTATTTTGCTCATTAGTTGATGCAGCTTCTTCCTAGCCTCGATGGTCTTTACATTTTGGCATGATTTTGCAGTGGCTGGTACCGGTTGTTCCTTTCCATGTTTAGTGCTTCCTTCAGGAGCTCTTGTAAGGCAGGCCTGGTGGTGACAAAATCTCTCAGCATTTGCTTGTCTGTAAAGGATTTTATTTCTCCTTTACTTATGAAGCTTAATTTGGCTGGATATGAAATTCTGGGTTGAAAATTCTTTTCTTTAAGAATGTTGAATATTGGCCCCCACTCTCTTCTGGCTTGTAGGGTTTCTGCTGAGAGATCCGCTGTTAGTCTGATGGGCTTCCCTTTGTGGGTAACCCGACCTTTCTCTCTGGCTGCCCTTAACATTTTTTCCTTCATTTCAACTTTGGTGAATCTGACAATTATGTGTCTTGGAGTTGCTCTTCTCGAGGAGTATCTTTGTGGTGTTCTCTGTATTTCCTGAATCTGAACGTTGGCCTGCCTTGCTAGATTGGGGAAGTTCTCTTGGATAATATCCTGCAGAGTGTTTTCCAACTTGGTTCCATTCTCCCCATCACTTTCAGGTACACCAATCAGACGTAGATTTGGTCTTTTCACATAGTCCCATATTTCTTGGAGGCTTTGCTCATTTCTTTTTATTCTTTTTTCTCTAGACTTCCCTTCTCGCTTCATTTCATTCATTTCATCTTCCATCGCTGATACCCTTTCTTCCAGTTGATCGCATGGGCTCCTGAGGCTTCTGCATTCTTCACGTAGTTCTCGAGCCTTGGTTTTCAGCTCCATCACCTCCTTTAAGCACTTCTCTGTATTGGTTATTCTAGTTATACATTCTTCTAAATTTTTTTCAAAGTTTTCAACTTCTTTGCCTTTGGTTTGAATGTCCTCCCATAGCTCAGAGTAATTTGATCGTCTGAAGCCTTCTTCTCTCAGCTTGTCAAAGTCATTCTCCATCCAGCTTTGTTCCGTTGCTGGTGAGGAACTGCGTTCCTTTGGAGGAGGAGAGGCGCTCTGCTTTTTAGAGTTTCCAGTTTTTCTGTTCTGTTTTTTCCCCATCTTTGTGGTTTTATCTACTTTTGGTCTTTGATGATGGTGATGTACAGATGGGTTTTTGGTGTGGATGTCCTTTCTGTTTGTTAGTTTTCCTTCTAACAGAGAGGACCCTCAGCTGCAGGTCTGTTGGAGTACCCTGCCGTGTGAGGTGTCAGTGTGCCCCTGCTGGGGGGTGCCTCCCAGTTAGGCTGCTCGGGGTTCAGGGGTCAGGGACCCACTTGAGGAGGCAGTCTGCCCTTTCTCAGATCTCCAGCTGCGTGGTGGGAGAACCACTGCTCTCTTCAAAGCTGTCAGACAGGGACATTTAAGTCTGCAGAGGTTACTGCTGTCTTTTTGTTTGTCTGTTCCCTGCCCCCAGAGGTGGAGCCTACAGAGGCAGGCAGGCCTCCTTGAGCTGTGGTGGGCTCCACCCAGTTCGAGCTTCCTGGCTGCTTTGTTTACCTCAGGGAGCCTGGGCAATGGTGGGCGCCCCTCCCCCAGCCTCGCTGCCGCCTTGCAGTTTGATCTCAGACTGCTGTGCTAGCAATCAGGGAGACTCCGTGGGCATAGGACCCTCCTTGCCAGGTGCGGGATATAATCTCGTGGTGCACCGTTTTTTAAGCCCGTCGGAAAAGCGCAGTATTCGGGTGGGAGTGACCCGATTTTCCAGGTGCCGTCCGTCACCCCTTTCTTTGACTCAGAAAGGGAACTCCCTGACCCCTTGCGCTTCCCAAGTGAGGCAATGCCTCGCCCTGCTTCGGCTCGCTCACGGTGCGTGCACCCACTGACCTGCGCCCACTGTCTGGCACTCCCTAGTGAGATGAACCCGGTACCTCAGATGGAAATGCAGAAATCACCCGTCTTCTGCGTCGCTCACGCTGGGAGCTGTAGACCGGAGCTGTTCCTATTTGGCCATCTTAGAATATACCAGTTGAAATGCTCAATTTTTAATGGCTTTATGCAGTGCAAAATGGGATCTGATGTTCCTACTGTGTCTTTTAAAATAAGAGCCCTTCAAATTATCCTTGGGAAAAATTTTTATGTCTAACTGGCTTTTTAAGTTGAGAGGAAGAACGTTCAAATTCATGTGACCAAGTCTAAAGCAGAGTTTCCTATGGCTCAATGTATTAATGAAGGGGTTAATTTTCAGGACCCTTTTCCAACACACTGTAAATAGGAGAAAGGAAAGCAACTTCTCAAATTTAGGATGATCAGTAGCTCGTACCTTACCTTCAACTCATGAGTTCATTTTGTAACAAAGGGTTGAGAAATTTTTTGCTAGAGGTACATACATCACAACAATCTCCAAACCCAAATGAGGGCACAGCTCCATCAGGAATAACGAATGTCCAAGCTGTTTCAGACCATAATTTATTTCTGTTCCCAGAGTTCATCACATGATCTGCCACCACTGCTCATTTTCTGAAAATAATTTCTCTGCATGTCCATGGGCTTCCGACTCTCATCACCCAGAACAGTAAAGAATAGTCACATCCCCTCACATAATTTATCCAAGAGTCCACAAATCTCTCCAGGTCTCCACAAACAAAGCAGAATGCAAAATGCAGAATACAATTGTTCATCAGTGCATGGGCATGTCTCCAAGTGCATAATGGAAAATGTGAATAAAGGAGAAAATTGTGGGCTTGGGACTTTCAGCCAGTGGCTCTGATTTTACTCTTGCCTCACTCTAAACTAAAAGGCCTTCTGGCTACAGATAAATTCCCCTGGTTTCTAATATGAAATTTCCATTGTAGATTGCGTAATGAAGATTGCTTTAAAATCAAGTTTTAGTATCCTGTCTTAGTTGTCTTGGGAAATACAACAAGAGAAAGTAAATGGAGGTAGAATCATATTTCAGGCCAGAAATAGGAAAGAAAGTTTAGGCCTTGCAAGAAGAGCATGTCCAACAACCGTCTCCATACAGTCCTTGTTTGCTTCAGAGTCACTGGTATTTGTGGTTGGTACCAAACTGAAAGGAAACAGATAAAAGACCAGAAATCAGATGTATCATGGCCTGAATAAAGATGATTACATATTTTCTTGCAATTACTCTCAGATATACACTATGTCAAGAAAAACTGGAGGCAGAAAATCACAGAGAAAAAAGTACCATGACTGTCAACAAACTCAGTATAAAGAGCCCCATGAAGGAAGCTGGTCAAATGTTGCTCTTATATTTTAGGGAAGTAAATCAAATATAGCCAGGCGATACCAGAGAAACAAATATAATCCTTATTTGGGATTTTTTTCCAGAAAAAATCATTTACTGAGTTCCTGACTGTCCAATTCCTCCTTCCACTTTAAGCCAGTTATATGTCACAACTAGAGAGAGACCATTGACTTTTGACTACCACCCTCCAATGACCACTCCATTTTCCACTGCTCCTTCTCCACCAGCCAGACAATTTAATCACCCATCTTCTTCAATAACTCTGTCTTGTGGTTACTGTCATCCCGAAATAGCTCACTATTTTATAATTATTTATCATCCATTTCTGTCTTATATTTGGCTATACCATAGTCACCTTTGCAACTATGTTCAGCACACTATTGACCATGTAGCAGGGCTTTTTGTGAGTTTATTAAATGAATAGATTTGGATCAAAAAGGAAAATGCCATTTTCAAGTGCTCTGTGTAAATATATATGTACATATAAACACATATTGTTACTCACTGAACCGTCTTTTAGAAATTGAAATCTATAGATTAATTGTTATCTGCACATAGGGCTCTTTGGCTTGTTCTTGATTATAAGCTTGTTGATTTTAGGCACAGTTTTAAAGTTATTTCTTTTTCATATGTTTCCAGTGAAGTGTTAGCAATATGTGAATTTGAATTGAACTAAACTTAATTAAGAACAATTCTCCCTCTGGTGGTAAACTTTTTTTTTTCTCTGTGAGTTGCGCTGGCTCTTTTCCAGGTGTTTGGAACATACTCTTGTGTCCTAGAATGGACCATTTGCTAAATTATGCCCTTTGCTGAAAAATCATAATTTATCCTTAGAAAAGTATTGCATTTCCTTTTAGTAAGGTGCTTCTCTGAAGTGCTGAAAGTTCTGCAAGTGTACTAGGTTGGCCGTGTCTTTACTTATACATGTCAGCAAGTGAGGAACCATGGATATTATTTAAATAATTAATGTGCACAACCGAGACAGATTTGTTTTGTGCCCAATTATCTACCAGTTTGCCCCAGTTCTTGTTTTCTTGTTAGTTTTTGTTTGTTTTGCATGAAGCCCTGTCTTTGATTGTCTAGAAATGGTGAAGCCCTGGGCTCAGGAAGACCTCGTATCTTTTTCAATGATGGTCAGTGGCTTTTTCCATCATTTCTGCCTCTCAAGTGTCCTAAGGCCTGTTTCCTCTTCCTTCTTTTACTTCAGGTACCCTAGAAAATAGAAGCCCCTATCTTCTCTGCCTTTGACAGAGAAGACTGCTTCATATCTCTGAAATTAAGGGTTTATAAATATACCTCTCAGCGGCAGCTGCTGTGTGTTTTTATAATGGGTGGGAGATTAATTTCTTATCTGGTGGTGTTGGATTATCCGTTTCCCCAAATGCCACATCTCAGTGAGAACCTATAACTCTCCAAGACTGCTGTTTCTAAGTTACCTTTCCCTTTACTTTTCTACCTTTATTTCTCTGTCTCGTATTCTTTTTGGCTTTGTGGTTAGCCTTGCGAAAATGCTTTCTTGGTGGTATTCTAGGGCTTATCACATAGGTTGCCAGTATTCATTGGATGACTTGATATTCTCAGCTCTTATTCGGTTATTTCTTCTCTGTCTTATCCCCAAACTATAATATATTATTTTGGATTTTTTAACAGAGTATGTCTTAAGAATGGAACTGACTCATATGGTTAGCTTTTGGGGGATTGCTTTTTGTGATATATAGTACTGGTTCTCCTCCCTACTCTGTGGCTATGGGAGACTCCCAGACCGTACAGCCTTGGTGTGTAAGGGATTCTTTCCAACCTCAGAAAGCTATACGTTGTACAAAGGTAGAGACAAGAGGCAATAAAGCCATATTAAGTGTTATTCTTTCAGCCAGTTTCTCACAGGATGACACAAGACAATTTAACCCCATTATTTTATTTCACTTTTGTATCTTTCAGGATATATTCAGACATCCCTCTTTTTTTGCCTGAAAGAATAGAATAATAACTAATGATGGGATGATGCTTTGTGGTTTTCATAGTACTTCCATATATTCTATCTCATGTGTTTTTCAAAACAATCTCTTAAGAAAGACTGGTAAAATTTTTTTTATCTCTTTGTACTTTCTATATTTATACATAACACCAAAATTAAGTGAACATTTGAGTAAGCTTTTGTCATTCTGCTCCACAGGCAGGAAAACTGAAGCCCAAGGAGGTGAAGTGATTGCCTAAGTTCCTTGGATGGAAGTTGAAGAATTCAGGTCTCAAGTGTATTTTGAAATGAATTCACATGCTCTTGTGAGAAATAATGCAGGGAGATCTATTATACCCTTTACCCAGTTTTCCTTAATAGTAACATTTTCCAAAACTAGAGTGCGTTAGCACAATTAGTGTTGACATTGATACAGTCAAGATGGAACATTTCCATCAACACAAGGATCCCACCTACCTCCTGCACCCATTCCCTTCCGAATTCCTGGCAACCACTAATCTGCTTTTTCCATTTTTATAATATTTCCATTTCAAGGATGTTACATAGACAAACACTCAGCACAGTTCTCTGAAGATTCACACAGGTCATTGCATTTGCCAGTGGCTTGTTCTCTTTTATTGCTGAGTAGCATTCCATGGGATGGATGTATCACCACACTTCCTTTAGCCATTCACCTATTGAAAGACATTTGGGTTGTTTCTAGTTTGGGTTATTGCAAATAAAACTGTTATAAACATTTATGTAGGTTTTCATATGAACATAAGTTTTTGTTTCTCTGGGATAAATGTCCAGGAGTGCAATTCCTGGGTTGGATAGTAGATGCATGCTTAGTTTTCTGAGGAAGTCAAACCATTTTCCAGAATGGTTACACCATTTTATATTACAATCAGCAATATATGGGTGATCCAGTTTCTCCACATTCTCATCAGCTTTCGGTGTTATCACTATTTTTAATGTTAGTCATGCTGATATGTGTGTAATGATCTCATTGTGGTTTTAGTATGCATTTCTGTAATGGCTAAGGATGTTGAACATCTTTTCACATGTTTATTTGTCATCTACAGTTCCTCTTTAATGAAATGTCTTTTTATGTCTTTTGCCCATTATCTAATTGCAATCTTTTGTTTTCACTGTTGAATCAAGAGTGCCTTATATATTCTAGGTACTAGTTTTTCACTGGATATGTGGTTTGCACATATTTTCTCCCAGCATGTAGCTTAGCTTGTCTTTTCATTCTCTTAACAGCATCTTTTATAGAGGGCAAGTTTTTAATTTGATATTTTTCCTTTTATATATTGTGCTTTGGTGTCAAGTCTAAGAACGATTTTCCTAGCCCTAGATTCTGAAGCTGTTCCTATGTGGTTTTCTAAAGACTCTCAAAACTTTGGAGTTTTACATTTTGCATTTCAGTCTATGATCTATTTTGAGTTACATTTTGTATAAAGTGTGAGACCTGCATCAAAGTTCTTTTTGTTGTTATTTGTTTAGGCCAATGGGTGTCTAATTGATCCAGCAACATTTGTTAAAAAGGCTATCTCTCCTTCATTGAATTGCCTTTGCACCTTTATAAAAATAAGTTGGGCATATTCGTGTGAGTATATATCTGGGTCTTCTATTCCAGTGGCCTATATTTCTATTCCCCCACCAATGCCACATAGTCTTGATCACTGTAGTTGTAGTCAAAGTTTTAGAATCATGTAGAAGTATTCCTCCTACTTTATTCTTATTTGAATTGTTTTTACTGTTCTAGTTCCTTTATTTTTCCATGTAAATTGTACAATAAACTTGTCTATATCTAAAAAATACTTTGCTTGGATTTTAATGGAAATTGCATTAAACCTATATATCAATTTAGGAAGAATTGGCATTTTTACTATGTTAAGTCTTTAATTTCAAGAACATAATATGTTATCTCCATTTATTTAGATCTTTCATTTCTTTTATCAGCATTTTGCAGTTTTTAATGTATAAATCTGCTACATGTTTTGTTAGATTTTTTTGAATGATTGTAAATAGTACTTTTAAAATTTTGGTGTCTACATATTCACTGCTCATATAGAGAAACGATTTTGTATGTTTATCTGTAAGAAATCTTGTAACCTTGCTTAAGTCACTTACTGGTTCTGGGAATTAAAATATTTTTTGGTATATATCTTGGGATTTCCGATAAAGATAATTATATCACCTACAAATAGGAGCAGTTCTTTTTTTCCAATCTGTTTGATTAAATTCAAGTTCAGTTTTTAGGGTAAAAATCATTCATAGATGGTGCTGTATACTTCTTATTGGATCATATAATGAGACACATAATGTGTGGGTGTTCCATTTTTAGTGATGCTAAGATTGATCAATGGTATCAAATGGACCCCCCTTTTATAATAGTCTCCATTAATTTTTCACCCTAATAGGTTGTACATCAATTGATGATCCATTATCTCATTAGGGACTGCAGAATGGAAATTTTCTAATCCAATTATTACCTTTGTATCTATTAACTGGAATTATGTAAAGAAGGACCAGTTGTAATTAATCACTGATTTTCTGCATATAGTTTCTACTGGGAAAAAAGCAGGATAATTGCTTAATTATTTTCCATTATTTACCATATCCAGAGTAATAAGTTTTGCCCTAGAAATGCCTAAATGTGGTCATTTTTAAAGAGTATCAGGTTCAAGTCATGGGTTTTCGTATGCTTGATGTGTTTCAGCTAAATATAGCTGTTATTCTTTTTAATTATCAATTAGCCCCAATGTAAGCCAGTGGGAGTCTCTTTAAGTTAGTTTTATTGTTCTTTGGCATGACCCATTAGTTTTTTTAAAAAAATACTTTTTATTGTGGTAAAAATGTATATAACATAAAATTTGCTATTTTAGCCTTTTAAAGTGTGCAGTCCAGTGGCATGCACTACATTCACAATGTTGTACAACCAGCACCACTAAATATTTCCAAAACTTGTTATCACCCTAAACAGAAACTCTGTACCCATTAAGCAATAACTCCCCATTTCCCGCTTATCCCAGCCTCTGGTATCCTGGAATTTACCTTCTGTCTCTATGAGTTTGTCTACTCTGGATATTTCATACAGATCAAATAATGCAGTATTTGTCCTTTTATGTCTGGCTTACTTCACTTCACTTAGCATAACATTTTCAAAGCACATCAGTCTTGTAGCATATACCAATAATATATTCATTTTTTGGCTGAATAATGTTTCATTGTATTATGTGTATATCACATTTTGTTTATCCATTCATCTGTTGATGAGCACTTGGGACACTTTTGATTATTGTGGATAACGTTGCTATGAACACTGGTATTCACATGTCTATTTGAATCCCTGCTTTCAATTCTTTTCGGTATATGTCTAAGAGTGGAATTGCTGAGTCATATGATAATTCTATATTTAACTATTTAGGAGCTACCAAACTGTTTTGCGCAGTGGCCACAGCACTTTACATTCCCACAGGCAATATATGAGGGTTGCAATTTTACCACCACCTCACCAACACTTTTAAAAAATTATAGCCATCCTAGTAGATGTGAATTAGTATATCATTGTGGTTTTGATTTGAGTTTCCCTAATGACTAATGAAGTTGAACATCTTTTTATTTGCTTATTGGCCATTTATATATCTACTTTGGAGAAATCTCTATTCAAGCCCTTTGCCCATTTTAAAATTGAGTTGTTTGTCTTTTTGCTGTTGAGTTGCAGAAGTTCTTTATATATTCTGGATATTAAACCTTTATTGGATATGTGATTCACCAATATTTTCTCCCAGTCTGTAAAAGGTTACACTTTTAAAAGCTTTCCTCATAATATTCTTTGATGTTTACAATTTTAAAAATTTTGTTGAAGAACAATTTATTGATTTTTTTCTTTTGTTGTACATACTTTTAGTGTCATGCCAAATCCAAGGTCATGAAGATTTATCCCCATGTTTCTGTCTAAGAATTTTCTGGCTTTAGCTCTTATATTTAGGTTGTTCATCCATTTCAAGTTAATTTTTGTATATGGTGTGAGGTGGGGGTGAAACTTTATTCTTTGACATATAGAAATCAACTTGTTCCACCACCATTTGTTGAAGAGACCATTCTTTCCCCAATAAATGGTTTTGGCACCCTTCTCAAAATAAATTACTTACAGATGTATAAATAATTTATACATCTGGTTTATTTCTGGACTCTGTGTTCTACTTCACGGTGTATATGTGTATCTTTATGCTAGTACCATATTGTTTTGATTACTATAGTTTTGTAGTAAATTTTAAAATGGAGAAATGTGAGTACTCTAACACGTTTCTTTTTCAAGACCAAGAGTGTTTGGCTATCCAGGGACTCTTGCAATTCCATATGAATTTGAAGAATGGCTTTTCCATTTGTGTAAGAAAGCTTTTGAAATTTTGGTAGAAATTGTGTTGAGCAATATGAACATGAGATGTCTTTCTATTTATGTAGGTATTTAATTTACTTCAGCAATGTTTTGTAGTTTTCAGTGTAAAAGTCTTTCTAGGCATTTTATTATTTTGAATGCTATTGTAATGGAATTGATTTATTGATTTCCTGTTTGGATTATTTATTGTTGGTGTATAAAAACAAAATGTTTTTTCTGTGTTGATCTCTTGGACTAAATGAGGATGGAGAATGTGATTCCCACATTGTTTGGTAATAGCTAGTATTTTTTTAGTATTTTTATCATGAAAGTGTATTGGATTGTGTCAAATTTTTTTTCTACATCTATTGAGATAATCATGTATTTCCCCTGCCTTTCCAGCTCTTTTGTTCTGTTGATGTGGTATATTTCATTGATTGATTCACTTACGTTGAACCATTCTTTCATTCCTGGATAAATCACACTTTTGATTTAGCTAAGTCATGGTGTATTACTTAGCTTCTTTAATCTGCAGGTTTATACCTTTTGCATAATTTGTCAACATTTCAGCTGTTATTCTCTGTATATTTTTTAGTCCTGTAGTCTTTTTCCTCTATTTCTTGGACTGCAATCACATGAATATGAGATATTTTGTTATAGTCCACAGTTCCCTGAGTCTTTGTTATTTTTTTCAGTCTAGTTTTTCTCTGTTTAGATCATGTAACTTCTATCGTTTTATCTTCTGATTTACTAATGAATAGAGGAAAGCTGTCTCATCTCTTCTGCTATTGGAAATTCAAATTTGGTTACAGTTCTAAAATTTCCATTTTTGTTCTTTTTTTTTTTTTTTGAGATGGAGTCTTACTCTGTTGCCCAGGCTGGAGTGCAGTGGCGTGATCTTGGCTCACTGCAAGCTCCACCTCCCGGGTTCACGCCATTCTCCTGCCTCAGCCTCCTGAGTAGCTGGGACTACAGGCGCCTGCCACCATGCCCGGCAAATTTTTTTGTATTTTTAGTGGAGATGGGGTTTCACCGTGTTAGCCAGGGTGATCTTGATCTCCTGACCTTGTGATCTGCCCGTCTCGGCCTCCCAAAGTGCTGGGATTACAGGCGTGAGCCACCGCACCCAGCCATTTTTGTTCTTCTTTGTGTCTTTTATTTATTTGCTGAGACTTTCTATTTCTTGTTTCAAATTTCTATTTTTTTCATTTGCCTCAAGCATATTTGTAATTGACAGTTGAAACATTTTGATGATGACTGCTTTAAAAGTCTTTGTCTGATAATTATAACATCTCTGTCATCTCGATGGCATCTATTCTTTTTTCATTCAGTTTGAAATCTTGCTATTTCTTGGTATGATGAGTTATTTTTGAGTTAAATCTGGACCTTTTTGGTATTATGATGATCTACATCCTATTTAAATGTTAGCTTTAATTGGTTTCCTATTACACCTCTCTGGAAGAGGAAGGGGATTCACCAACCCATTACTGCCATGTGGGGTAGAAATTCAGATTCTCCACTGATACAGTCTGGCTCTGTGTCCCCACCCAAATCTCATGTTGAATTGCAATCCCCATGTCAAATTGGGTGAGTGGCCTGGTGGGAGGTGATTAAGTCGTAGGGGGTGGACTTCCCCCTTGCCATTCTCATGATGGAGTTCTCATGAGATATGGTTGTTTGATAAGTGTGTGGTGCTTCCCCCTTCTCTCTCTCTCTTTCTTACCACCACATAGACATGCTTGCTTCCCCTTCACCTTCTGCCATGATTGTAAGTTTCCTGAGGCCTCTCTAGTCATGCAGAACTATGAGTCAATTCAACCTCTTTTCTTTATAAATTACAGTCTAGAGTAGTTCTTTATAGCAGTGTGAAAATGGACTAATACACCCACTTGATCTCCATTGACATCTGAAGGGGAGGCTCTCTGTTAATGCTCAGCTCAGGGGAGGAGTACAGTTCTGTCTTTCCTCTAATACCTCCCCAGCTATAAAAAATAGAAGTTCTTCATTGCTGCTCCTCACATGACCTCGACTGACACCACATTGGGGGTAGCCTTGTTACCACTGGGAAGTGGTGAAAGTCCTGACTCTCCAGTAGGCCTCCTCTGACACCTCACCAGTGGGGAAGGGGAGTTTTTTGGTACTGTTGGGTGGAAGTGGAAGCCAGACTCCTTACAGTGTCTCCATTGATGCTGTGGACAGGGGTGGGTGGAATTTATTCCAACTAACCGGAATGGAAGTCCCAGCCCCTTACTCAGCCTTCTCTGACATTACTGCCTTGGGTGTGGGGCTTAGGGTGCCTTGTTAAACCCCTGTCTAGGCTTTTCACTTGGCCTTTGCTGGCATGGGAGTGGGTGAGGCACAGTTTTAATTGTTGTATTTGTCTGATATAGAATGGTTATTGTCTAAGCTTTCTGCCTTGTTAGGCTTTCTCTTTTTTTCTCAGTCCTTTAGAGAACTGATTTTTTTCTGCTGTCATTGGCATTTCTAGGTTTCTGGATTTTTCAGCTCCAGGTCTGACATATAGAAGGCAAAAAGAAAACCCAGAGATCTCACTAGCTCAGAGTGCCTTGGTCCTTGAGGTCCCTATCCAGTGTGCCTTCTTCTCTTCACCTTTTAGAGTCTTGTTATGTTTTTGTTATATTTCAGTTTCCAGGATTGCAGTTGTATTTAGTGGGAGAAATAAGTTAAAGTACATCTGGTCTATCTTCCCAGAACAGTCTGTGTAATTTTAACAAAATGTATGGTTTCCATGTACTTTAAAAGATGAATTTCATTTACTTCTTTTCTAGGCTAGTAGCTCCTTATTAAATACCTGGATCAGTGTTTGTAAAATGACAGACTGTGACCCATTAGTGAGTCATAAAATTGGTTTGATAGGTCATGACCAGCATTAAAAAATGAAGCAGAATGTAATAGAGTAGAAAATAAAGTGCATTGTATATAGTAAGGGTAAGAATTATTGCATTACATTACATTTTTGATAGTTGTGTGTGTTTGTGCATATGTGTGTGTGTGTGTGTATGCGTATGTAAATAGTGGGTTGCAATGTCAAATATATTTTTTAACTGTGGGTTTTAGTCATCTGCTAGATAACAAAGAATTGTGAGAAGGAGAGAACATAAGAGTTATTCAAGATGATTTAGATGAGACTTGCCACTGGTCTGTTCCTCATCCCACAGGCACTCATTGGCTTGGGAGGTTGTGTATTATGTATGTATAGATTAGACTAAAGACTCTTGTTTTCTATTTCAAAGTGCTTTCTGCCCAAGAAGGGTTTGACTGTAGATTAAAAGGAGGAGGACTCAGTGTTACTCTGTGATTTAGCCCCTAAACCTGAGGGTTCCTTTTAGACCCTGAACTTGGCAGCAAATGGGTTCTTACAGGGAATGTTTGGAGGAGATTCCCTTGCATTCCAAAGACAGGTTCCTCCAAGTAAAGTCTCTTGGGAAAAGTAAGTAGATTAATGCCATCCTTACCTCAGTCCCAAATATTTTCATCTCTGAGTTAAAATCAAGTTATTGCCTCATGCCTCTTGTGCTCTGTTGGCACTGAGTGAGGAAGAAGTGGTGGAGAAAGACAGAAAACACAACTCTGGTGGGGAATCCACAGGGTTATTCCTTAGTGGGGAGAAAAACATAAAAATTAACAAGTTGAACTGCGAGATCTGTCTTACTGAGAGGTAAGCATTGGAGGTAGAATGAAGGGTTAGCAGTATAAATCAGGGAAATCTTAAATGGCCAGGAACATCTGGAGAAATGCCTGGAGTTCTCCATATCACTTCACTTGAGAGGACTCCTTGTAAACTGTTAACTCATGTAATCTCATGTAAGATGAATTGCATATGCCCTGGTGATTCTAATTGCATATCTTGGTTGCTTACTTTGGGCCAGGTCAGTGTGAGGCACTTTACATGGGCACTGTTTTGGCTTGTTAAAATAATCCTGTGGACAACTGTTACTAACCCCACCTGACAAATGAGGATGATGGGCTTAGAGAAATGAAGGGATTTTTTCAAAGTTATAGTTGTCAAGTGGGAGTCAGGATTTAGACTGAAGTAAACTGAGGCCAGGTCAAGCATGCCTCCCATTCTACTCCAGTTGCTTTTGTGGAATATGACCACGAGAAAATGAAACTGACCTCTATGAGAATTAAAAGGCCCAACTATTTGTAAAGCTCTGCAGGGCCTGCTGTTGATACATAGTCCTGTGAAAAGTTTTCATGAGATAGGACTCTTTCTGTAGTCTGACTATTTAAAGAAAATGTATCTTCTTCCCTGAAACAAATTTTATTGGTTGAAAAGAGATCGCCATGAAATCCACTAAAGCATAAAACAAAATGTGAAATATGACAGGAGGCATAAGTTGTTTCATCTAACACTGAATGCTGCCTTTTCAGAAACAGCTGTAAATTAAATAAAGGAGCACACATTTGAAACTGTTTAAGCCTTTAACAAATATTTGGGACAGTGAGGCTGTTCTGTAAACTTACTGCCGGTGATAAAAGAACCAGTAGAGATAAATTCTGGTTAATAAATCCTGTCATTTTATCAATGAAGTAGAAAGTACTTTCAATAAGAGGTTCATGATGCAGGACATACCCCAGCGACCTTCTCTTCAACATCTGGGCTAAGTGGCTAAGCCAAACATTAGCCTACTGCTACCATTTCTGTTTTCTTCTGCAATGTTAAGCAAACAAAGAAAATCCAAGCAAACACCTGAACAATCTCTACCCCAGCATCAAAAATAGCAAAGTGGTTACTGAGCAGATTAATAAGGGCAGTGGTAAGGTGGAAAGTGCAGACTGAGCAATACAGGTGGAAACCTTAATAATTGACTGTATGTCGGCTCTGAGTGGCTATAAAGGATTCATTGGGGACAGTATTTTATAAGGTGAAAGAATCGCCTGAATCAGCTAGACCAGCTTTCTTAGCTGAGTTGAGGGGTTCTGGAAAGATTTGAACTTCTAAATCAGGTACATTATTCACTTTGCAGAGGTTTAATTAAAAAAGAAAAAAAATCATATACCATAACCTTATGGAGAAAAATGCTTTTTTAAAAAATTATTTGGATGCCACCTGGATCATTATAGCAAAGAAGAATTTAGAATCTAATTACTTACAGAGTGTTTACATATGTTATCACAGAAGCTTGGAAAGCAAATCAAGAAAGACCTAGGCACTTTTTATTTAACTTGCAATGAGTCTTGTCTTTCCAGTTCCTCAGATGCAAATACAATATAGAGGTAACTCAATTTACACAAATGTATTCCTGAAAACCAGATGTGCCATGTGAAAACCAAGTTTTTGTGAATCAAATTATGTGTTATATCCTAGGGGAATTTGTTATTTAAGCATCTGTGATGCTTGCAATGACTTAACGGATTGGCATTTGTAGGCCAACTGGTTACCTCTGCTAAGTTGGTGTGCTTGTGATTTAGTCAGGGTCATGTTAGGCTATGCTGCGAGGGGAAAAAAAATGTCAGTGACTTAACAGAGCAAAGAGTTATTTCTTGTTCAAATCAGTGTCTGATGTAGGTCGGGTGGCATTCCTGTGCTGCTGCCTTTCTGGGACACAGTGACTCAGAGACTCAGATTATTTCCTTCTTGCAACTCTAACATTTCAGCGTCTTATGACACCAATAAGGTAGTAAGATGAGTGCCCAGAAAATTAAAATAGTTTTAAATACACAGTCTGTCATCCTGGTATTTATCAATGTGTGGTTGCTTTTGTGAGTTTTGGAAGCATTGATGAGACTTTATGGAACACCAAGTTGAATTTCAGAGCTCTCTGTACATTACATATTCAATAATAATTTTTGTACACAATTATAACTCTATTAAAATAATAGTAAAGGTGATCTCTCACAAAGGATATGTTGACCATCAGATTTAGGAACCAGAGGAAGAAAATTGCATGGGAAAGGATTGGGGGCCCTCAAGAGGAGTGTCGATCCAACAAAATGGTCTCAGTGAGTGCTTGCTTTCTAGTTACCTTTGCCTTGACTTCATTGTAACTGCAATGGTTAATTTCAGGTGTCAACTTCACGGGGTTAAGGGATAACCTCATAGCTGGTAAAACATTATTGCTGGATGCATCTGTGACAGAGATTAGCATTAGAATCTTTAGACTGAGTAAAGATCTGTCCTCCCCAATGTGGGTGGGTGCCATTCAGTGGCTTGGGGGTCTGGAGAGATCAAAAAGGAAGAGGAAGGGTGAATTCACTGTCGCTCTTCTGGAGCTGGGACATCTGTCTTCTCCTGCCCTCAGACATTGAAACTCCAGGTTCCCTGGCCTTCAACTTAGGGACTTATACCAGTGGCATCCCAGGTTCTCAGGCCTTCAGGCTTGGACTGAGAGTTACATGGTCAGCTGCTCTGTTTCTCAGGCCTTCAGACTTAGACTGAGCTATTCTGCTGGCTTCCCTCATTTTACAGCTTGCAAGATGGCATACTCTGGGACTTCTCAGCCTCTAAATGTGTGAGTCAATTCCCACAATAAATCTCCTCTTGTATCCTATATGTTCTGTTTCTCGGGCGAATCCTGACTCAGTAACCTACAGGACAGAGTCTCTGGTTACTCCTCTGACGGGGCCTCCTGCTTACTTGTGCTGGGCCTGCACGTTCCTGACTTGGGCTCGGACCTCAGCCTACAGCCCTGATCCCAGCCTTCATTCTACATCCTTGGTTCAGTCACTTGCTTACGTGGCCTTCCCAGTATCTGACCGGTGTCTGCATCACTGCTGCCAGATGGCTTATGCTACCATATCCCCAAAACATGCTCAAAGACATCACTCTAGCAATTCTTCTCCTCTCCTGTATCATCAATATTCCTCTCTCTTCTGAATATTTCTGAAAGCATGCAAATAGTCTGTTATTTCTCCCATCCTAAAAGGAAGAAAGAAAACCTCTCTTGACCCCAATTTCCTCCTCCCCATTACTGCAAAATATCTTAAAATTTAAAAATGTAATTTCTCTTCTTCTGTTTTCACCTGAATCTACCCCAATTAGGCTTTGACCCCTCACTACTCTGCTGAAACTGTACTGGTCAAGGTCACCTTTAATTTCCATGTTGCTAAATCCAGTGGTTATTCTCAGTTTTTATCTTACTTAAAATCTCAATAGCACTCGACACACAGCTAATCACACCCTTCTCTGTAAACTGTTTCTCCTCTTGGCTTCAAAGACACTATACTTACCTGGTTTTCCTCCTACCTTTCTAAATGCTCCTTCTCAGTCTCTTTTTTTGCCTTTTTCTCCTTATTTTTCTGTCTTCTAAATGTTGGAGTACCCCAGGCTTCAGCGCTTGAGCTTCTTGAGCTTCTTTATTTCTTTCTATAGTCATGCCATAGGTGATGTGCTGATATCATCCAAGTCCATATCGCTAACCAGGATGTCTTCCCTGACCCATAAAAATATATCATGTAGCCTACTCGATATCTCCACTTGGATGTCTAACAAGGATTGCAAATTTCACATCTCCAAAGCTAAGCTATGGGTCCTTCTCCAAACCAGCTTCTCTCACACTTTTCTCCATTTCAGTTAATGCAACTTCATTCTTTAAATTGCTAGGATAAAAACAAAAACAAAACTTGATACTCAGCCTTAACTTCTCTTTTTCTCACAATCATCTAATCCATCGGAAAATCCCGACAAATTCTTCCAAAATTTGACTACTTCTCATCAGTCCCGTCATGTCTTACCTGTGTAGTGCAATAACTTCCTAACTGGTGTCCTGTTTCCATCTTTGTCCATCCTCTGCCCCAGCCTTCTCTTATCAGAGCAACCAGAGAGACCAGAAGAAAATAGAGATCAGATCATTTCACTCTTCTGCTATTGCTCTCATTGGCTTCCATCTCACTAAATAATGCCCAAAGTCATCATGCTCACCTGCAGGGCTCATTATGACCTGGTTCCCAATAACACATCTCTTCTTACCCTTGCTTTTCCCACTTGAGTACATTGCCTTACTGCTGTCTTTGGACATACCAGGCAGTCTTCCCCTTCTAGGCCTTGATCTTTCTGTTTCCTCTGCCTGGCATTCTAAATTTTCAGCTAATCTTATGGCTCACTTATTCACTTCCTTCGTAATTTTATTCTAATGAACCAACTCAGTGAGGCCTTCCTTGATCCCCTTATCTAAAATTGCAACCCTTTCCTCTTAGATTTCTATTCCTTTACTATGATTTATTTTTCTCCTTATCAGTATAATTTTCTTATGTATTATACCATATATTTGACCTATTTTGTCTTTCCCCTAGAATATAAGCTCTATAAGGGCAAGATATATGACCAATTTGCTTTCTGTTGTATCACTTATGGCTAAACCAACAGCTGACACATTGTAAGTGCTCAACAAGCATTTGTTGAATAAAAGAATGAATAGGTTATACAATTGTGTTCCCAATGTTAACTTGAAATTCTGCTATTCAGAATGTTTTCCAATAGAAACAATGCTATTGAGGGTAGGTAAGTCTTATAACATTTGCTCAAAATCTATCTAGGTTCTATAGTATGCCCAAAACTGAGGGGGTTAGTTGAGGTATCATGTGATGTCTACCAGGTAGCTGTTGCCAGTGAGATACACTTGGAAACAATTGATCACAATATAACATTGTGAGGCTTTAAGAAAGGAATTACAGAATCCAATGAGAAACTCAGAGGAAGGAGCAATAATTTTGGAGTTGGGGTAAATTTTACAGAAGTAACATTTGAACTGGGTCCATAGAGTCAACAAAAGTTTGCCAGAGAGAGAAGGAGGAGAAATATTAATAGGCAGAAAAAATAGCAAATCAGATGGTACAAGTATAAAAGTGTGTCTTACATTCATGGAAAGGAGAACACGTTTTCTGTGACTGGTGTATTGGTGAGAGAGGCATGTGGATCAAAGTTGTGAAAAATGCTAGGAACCAGGCTAGGGAGCTGAGTTTTATTCTGTTGGTGCTAAGAAAGGGTTTTGAATTAAATGAAGTCCTAGAGACTAGTAAAAGCAAAAGTTCACGTAGAAACTTTCTTTATGCTTTGTGGCTTGTCAGTTGTGGTTTTCAGGTTTTCTTTCATTTCTAGACAATTCCAAAATTGATTGGGCTGCTTCAAATCTTAGGTAATTACTAGTCTCTAAAATCTGACATACTTCTAATTCACTGTGATAAATAATATGCTCATTTATACCTTGTTTTGGAATATCTGACCTCTGGAAGTCCAAATTGGAATGTACTGAGTTTCACCCAACGATCACCTTTATGATATCCACACACACACTGGCTAAATACTGCCATGTTATCTTTCTAGCCATGGCCAATCAATAAAGTCAAATTTGATGTTTAAGAAGAGACTGGTGATCTGAATGAGAGCACAGGAGGTTTGCTTATCAAAAATGCAGGTAC
Organism: Homo sapiens; assembly: GCF_000001405.40. NCBI lineage: Eukaryota > Metazoa > Chordata > Mammalia > Primates > Hominidae > Homo > Homo sapiens. The sequence goes on along the minus strand of NC_000001.11, from coordinate 177,616,950 downwards.
CGCAGTCCTGAGAGAGACAGCTGAAAGAAAAGATGAGGAGATCGGGATTTCAAATTATCTTGAGCCTGAAGCCTGAATGTTGGGTCTGTACCAAGAAGAAAATATAAAAGTTAAATATAGAAAAGCTTCATATCCTGAGTTTAGTTTCAAAAATTTAACTATGTGAGTTGAGATTGAGAAGGACTTAGCTGGCAGCTAATGTGAGGCTTACTAAGTATCAGGTACTCTAAGGGCTTTCTCTGTGTTAAAGGCTTTCTCTGTATTAAATCATTTAATCCTTACAACATTGATTTGAGGTAAGGGTAATTATTCTCCCAGTGTACAGATGAGGAAACAAGCACTGAAATTTTCCTAACATCAGATATCAAAAAAGTGGTAGATGTGGGATTTGAACAAATGTTGCCAACAGTTCATATGAAAAGTTGTATTGGTTTTTTGGTAGGAATTCTAGGGTTTGTAAGAAACTGTCCAGTGGTTTATAAACTGTACTCCAGGGACCCTCAGGGCTTTCTGGGCAATCCCTTATATGCCCCCCGCTGGAGAGCAGTGGGGCATGGCACTGAGTGGGCAGGTAACACATGGGGCAGAGCACAATCAGCACATTTCCATTGCTTTTGTTTTCCTGGTTGAGGATTCACATATGATTTCATTTGAAGATGGAGTTAATACAACTTTTTTAAAAAAACGAAAACCATTGATCTGGTAGCCTAAGTCCTTGTATTGCAGATGATGAAGTCATGGCCTAAGAAATGAGTATAGCAGCGGAGCTATACTCCAGAGTGCAGTGGAGTTTCCCAAACAGGAAGCCATTCTTTGGCAGCAGTAAGAGGGGCACTGTGGGCCAGGCGCGGAGGCTCACGCCTGTAATCCCAGCACTTTGGGAGGCCGAGGCGGGCGGATCACCTGAGGTCAGGAGTTCAAGATCAGCCTGGCCAACAAAGTGAAACCCGGTCTCTACTAAAAATACAAAAATTAGCCAGGCGTGGTGGTGGGTGCTTGTAATCCCAGCTACTTGGCAGGTGGAGGCAGAAGAATTGCTTGAACCCAGGAGGCGAAGGTTGCAGTGAGCTGAGATCATGCCACTGCACTCCAGCCTGGGTGACAGAGTGAGACTCCATCTCAAAATAAATAAATAAAATAAAATAAAGGGGGAATTGTGTCCCACTTAGTGGGGATGAGTGTTCCCTCTTGTGTAATATTTAGAGTATTGTACTTAATTCTAGAGCCGCATTTTAAAGTTTTATTTTTCATTGAACATAATAATTGTACATATTTATGGGTTACAGTATGTTGTTTTGATACATGAATACAATGTGTAATGATCAAATCAGGGTAATTAGCATGCCCATCGCTGCAAACGTTTATCACTTATTTGTGGTGAGAACATTCAAAATTCTTTCTTCTAGCTATTTTGAAATATACAATATATTATTATTAACTATAGCCACCCTATTGTGCAATGGAACTCTAGAACTTGTTTTTCCTGTCTAAGTGTAACTTGATCCCAATTGACCAATGTCTCCATATACCATCCCTTACACTCCTCAGCCTCTGGTAACCACTATTCAACTCTCCTCTTCTATGAGATTAACTTTTTTAGATTCCACATACGAGTAAGTCCATGCAATATTTGTTTTTCTATGCCTGGCTTATTTCACTTAACATAATGTCCTCTAGGATTATCCCTGTTGCTACAAATGACAGGATTCCATTCTTTTTTATGGCTGAATATATTCCATTGTGCAAATATACCACATTTAAACAAATTCGTTCATCCATTTATGGGCCCTTAGGTTGATTCCATATCTTGGCTATTGTGAATAGTTCTATAATAAACATGGGAGTACAAATATCTCTTCAACATACTGATTTCATTTTCTTTGGATATACATCTATGTGCTTATGGTAGTTCTATTTTTCGTTTTTTGAGGAATCTCCATATTGTTTTCCATAATGGCTGTACTAATTGATATTCCCACCAACTATATGTAAGTGTTCCCTTTTCTCCGTGTGCTTGCCAGCATTTGTAATTTTTTGTCTTTTTGCTATAGCCAATTTTAATTGGAGATGAGATATATTATTATGGTTTGATTTTCATTTCCATGGTCATTAGTGACATTGAGCATTTAAAAATATACCTGTTAGCCAAGATTATGTCTCTTTTGAGAAATGTCTATTCAGATTTGAGTATGTTGAACCATCCTTGTATCCCTGGGATAAATCCTACTTGATCATGGTGAATAATCTTTTTGATGTGTTATTAACTCTGTAAATTGCTTAGGGTAGTATGGACATTTTAACAATGTTAAATCTTCCAATTTATGAACACAGGATACTTTCCTTTTATTTGTGTTCTCTTCAATTTCTTGCAACAAGCTTTCTACCCCTTTGCCTTTTTCTTGTTTTAGTATTCTGTTGAGGATTTTTACATCTATGTTCATCAGGGATATTGCCTGTAATTTTCTTTTTTGTGTCCTTTTCTGGTTTTGGAATCAGAGTATGCTGAACTCACAAAATGAGATTGGAAGAATCCCCTCAACTTCAGTTCTTTAGAATATTTTGAGAAGAATTGGTATTAATTCTTATTGTCCCACTCCCTCCTGGCCTGCAAAGTTTCTGCTAAGAAGTCTGCTGCCAAGCTTATTAGAACTCCCTTACATGTTATTTACTTATTTTCTCTCACTGCTTTCGGGATCCTCTATTTGTATTGAACCTTTAACAGGTTGACTATAACATGTCTTGAGATATTCTCATTTGGGTTGATCTTCCTGTTCTTGGATATTTATATTTTTCTCCAGGTTTGTAAAGTTTTCTTATTTTTTTTTTTAGTAAGCTTTCTACCCCTTTGTCTTTCTCAACTCTCTTTTGAACTCCAATGCCTCAACATTTGTTCTTTTGATGTTGTCTCATAAATTCTGTAAGCTGTCTTCATTACTTTTCATTCTTTTTTCTCCTTTGTATATTTTCAAATAGCCTGTCTTTGAGCTCACTGATTCTTTCTTCTGTTGATCAGTTCAGCTGTTGATGCTCCCTATTCCATTTCCCATTTTGTTTATTATAGTTTAAATCTCTGGGATTTCTATTAGTTTTTGAAAAATTATTTCAATTTCCCTGTTAAATTTCTTTGATAAATTTCTGAATTGTTTCCCTGTTTTTTTGAAGCTCATTGCGTTTCCCAAAATAGTGATTTTGAATTGTTTGCCTGAGAGATCACATATGTCCATAGATTTTAGGGTTAGTTTTTGGTGCCTTGTTTTGTCCATTTGGTGAGGCCATATTTCCCTGAATGTTCTCAATGCTGTGGACATGCAACAATGTCTATGCATTGAAGGGTTAGATATTTATTTGAGTCTTCACAGTGTGCCTTTGTTTGTGCTTGTCCTTCTTCACTAGGCCTTCTGGATATTCTAAGCAGACTGACTGTTGTTCTCCTTGAGCCTGTGACTACTGCACTCACCTCATCACTACTGGATGCTATAAGCTTAGGTTTGCTGTGAGTCTCATGTGGGCTCTGAGGTTGGGACAGCCCTCTGGCCCAGATGGACCTGGGGAAGACCCAAAGAGGGTACCCAGGCTGTCTGGGGAAGCTGGCCAGGGACCCAATCCTGCCACTGTCCCAGTGGCCCAGATGAATGTGCCTCCCAGCAATATCCCATGCAGGCGGGACAGTTGCCTGACTGCGTTGTGAGGGGTTGGAGCTGAGACTAGGCCCCCTCAGGATCTGCTGTAAGATGGAGGCTAGTGAGCCTGTTTTGCTGGCTCAGCCAGGTGTATTTCTCTCCACAGATTCCTGCACAGGTGACATTGTTCCCTGGCTGCAGTGAGAGGGGCTGGAGCTGAGACTGGGCCTTGTCAGGATCTGCTGTGGGAGAGAGGCTGGTGAGCCCATCTTGTTAGCTCAGATGCATGCATCTCCCAGCAGCTTCCTGCACAGGTGGGATAGTTATCCAACTGCAGCAGGAGGAGCCAGACCTGATACTGGGCCCCTTTAGGATCTGCTGTGGGACAGAGGATGGTGAACCCATCAGGAAGACTCAGACTGTTGGGCTGCAATATATGGGACTCTGCAATATATGAGTCTCTGTCTGGGACCTTGTAGGAGCAGTTCTAGGCTGAGACCTCAGCCTTGACAGGGCTGGAACTGAGCCACAGGATAACTTCAGGTTCACTGCCAAGACTAATGTCAATGGGCAGACAACCCCCTCTGCTGAGGCACTAGTGTGCATGCTTTCTGTTGGACTCCTTGGAAAATAGTTTTGATTGCAGATTCAAGGCCAAATTAGCCTGTAGCCAAATCCCTTAGGGAATGGAGCCATTTTCAGGCTTAAATCCAGGAGCACAATTGGTAGGTCTGCCACCTGGGTGCTGGTTTGCACTCTCAAAACAACCCTCCTAGATTTAAGCTCCACCAGCATTTCACAACCTCCTACCTGAATCTTGAGGCTCCCACAGGGAGACTTTTGTCTGTGGATGGGTGTAAAATTCTTGTTGTCGTTGGAGGATACAAGTGGGTAACTTTCTATTCTGCCATCTTGCTGATGTCATTCCTCTTATATAGGGACCACATTTTGACTGAGGTACAAAGTGGCCCTGAAGAAGGCAGTAGGCTGTTGTGGAGTCTGGAAACTCCATATGCAGAGTGACTTTAATTAATTAAGAATGTACAGCTTGGAAGGGCGACTAAGAGGGAAACTCAATAGTTGTCTTCAAATATGAAGAACCATTATATCCAGCAAGGAAAAGATTTGGGCTCAAAAAAGTTTTGGTCTCAAGATAAACATAAAATAGTGGTCTAGCAACAGAATTTTAAAAATGGAATAGGCATCTTGTAAGGGAGAGAGGTTGCTGTCATCAGATATATTCAACCCAGGTTGTGAGCCTTGTGTGGCTGTCCTAGCAGTGGTTCCTCTACTAGTTGGAAGGTTTGACTAGATGACTTCTGAGATCCCTTTAAACTCTAAGAATATATGATTCAAAGAGGTCCTCAGTCCAAGGGATAAGCCATTAAATCTTTACACTTCATTTGATGTTACAAATAGCATTTTAGATTATATTCTTTATCCAAGGTCATTTACCATAACCCTTTATATAAATCAACAGATGATACGATTTTAGCTATGACCAGATGATCTAACATATCAATTCTAAACATAGAATACACATCAGATTTGGTTCACAGATCAGAGAGTTTTAGAACTAAGAGGTGTGTGAGGTCCTTAGAGATTCTTTGGTAAAATCCTTTTATTGTACAGATGATAAAACTGTGGCTAAAATGCACCATGTCTGCCCCTCCCTTCAATAGATCTTTACAGGGGCATGAGAAATATCTTTCCCCTACAGGCTCAGTCCTGTTCATTCTCAATCTGATATGAGTGAGTGCAGGGCAGTGAGCAGCATTCTTTGACTCACATCTGGTTACGCTTAGAAGTTGAGTTATGAGAACTATAATTTATTAAGCACCAATTCTGTACCAAGTACTATAATGTTTGTTTTGCAAACAACAGGAAACAATTCTATGAGCAAAACTATTACCCTCCTTTAAAAAATGCGAGGCTGCAGAGAAGTGAGGCTTAGAGAGGTTGTGTGATTTACCCAAGGTCACCCAGGTAGTAAGGTGGCAGACTTAAGATTCAAATCCACAAAAGTCTGAACTGAAAGTGAGTACTGCATATTGTCATGCAGGCATAGACTTTACCGACTGGCCTTACCTGGAACATGTTTGTTTTTTGCCCATCTGATTGGATCTTCCTGGTGTGGGCAATCACCTGTATCATGCTTAATCTCTCTACTTCTTTTGGATTCTGGGTTTGAAAGACCTGATCTGCCCCTCAGAGCCAGTCTTGGCAACCAGGCTATCATTATAACTTTGTGGTTGTGATTCCCATATTTTTTGTTTGTTTGTTTTCTTTTTACCTTGAGTTAGAGCAGGTAAAGTAAATTGCCCAAGGATATAGAGAATAAATGAGAGAGCTGGGACCTGGACTAAAGACATCTTAGTGCTCAGTACAGTGCATTTCCTTTATGCTTTATTCCATATCCTCATAAAGCTTTAAATAAGATATATACTTTTTAAATTTTTTAATCCAAGCTACACAGACTAATGCAAAGTAAAAAGCCATGAGTCATGCTCCATTGTCTTCTAGCATTGACTGTTGCTGTGAAGGCATTTAAGGATAATGTGAGCTTCTAATCCTTTCGTAGATGATTAAATATTTTTCTCCTCGTATAATCTCAATCTGCAGATTCAAGCATTTCTCATTCATGAAAGATTTTTAAACGTATTTTTTTCTGGACTGTTTGGTGCATTCTATTCTTTAAGAAGACTGAATTGTGTATACATTGCACCTCCTTTTGTCTTCTGCATCTATTAGCTTCTCTTAAATCATTTTTATAAAATAGTTCTATTTATTTTTCTCTATCTTAGTTGTACTTAGAAATAATTTAAAATTTAATTGTAGATTATTTTATCTATACAAAACAAAATATGTAATATTAAGTTAAACATAATAGTAAAGTAAATGCCAATAAACCCACAAAGAACGTGTTCAAAAACTTGTATTTCCCTCCTAATCCTATCTCCTATCACTCAGAGGTAATCACAATATTAAACTTTTACTTGTAACCGACTTGTTTGGCTATATAGATTTAGCATATTATGTATGTATGTGTTTTCTTACAGAATATACATAAGTCATATATATGTATATACACACAATACATTATTTAATTTTACTTGCTCAGGGGATTTATTAAAATTAAAACCTATTTACATAATCTTGTCACCTACTTTTTCACATTACGTCATATTTCTATGGATTATATTTCTGTTAATATAAGTAGCTATCATTTCTTTATTTTTATTAAAACTTTAAAAAATTTTGTTAATATGCTACCACAACAATTTTTTTTAGGTTACTTGTTCTGTTATGAACAGTGTTGTAATAAATATGCTTGTGTATATTTCCTGATGCAAAAAGCCACATAGTGAAGTGTATTACTCTAGCTTATACCTAAGAATAGATGTACCCAGTTTTTACTTCATGTATTTACTTTAGGTATTTTGAAGTTCTGTTACTAGATGCATAGACATTTAGGATGTACTGTCTTCTTGGCAAAGTTCATAATATAATTCTTGTTCTTCATTCATAATATAATTCTTGTTCTGAAGTTCACTTTTCTAATATTAACGTAGCTACTTTAGATATTTTATTCTCATTGATGCATATCTTTTTTTCATTGTTTTACTTTTAGCCCAATTAAAGCCATTTAGTTTCTGATTAGTATTAGCATGATATGTCTTTTTCTATTCTTTTGCTTTCAAACTACCTGTGTCGTTGTGTTTAATGTTTCTTGTAATTGGTATGTTTAGACCATTTATTTTTAAGGTAATTCTATACTAGGGCTTCTTTGTTTTGTTTCTTGTTGTTATGTGGTATGTTCTCTATATACCAATTAGGTCAAGTTGGTTGATAGAATAGTTCAAGTCTTTCTTGGCTTTTAATTTTTTCTGGGCTCTTTGGGTTTCTAATGTATTTTTCTTTGTGTTTCCATGTGAATTTTGGAGTTATATAACATTTCTTGACAAGCTGCTGATGTTTTAATTGAGATTGCATGAATCTTTATATAAAATAGAGGACAATTGATATTTTGTGGTAATAAGTATCTTTATGAATATGGTATAAATTTCTGTTTATGTAGTATTTTTTATTGTCTTTTACTTTTTGTTTATAATTTTTCCCTGAAAACGTTACCTATGTTTTGCTAGATTTATTTCTGGATACATTATATATCTTGATGATATTTAGAATGATATATTTTCAAAATATTTTTTGTTTATTGCTGTTACATGCAACTGCAATATTTGTGCATGGATTTTAGTCTAGCCCCTGTGAAATTTTCTGATTAATTCAAGTAATTTATGTGTATATTATTTGGGTTTGTATGCAGATAATCATAGTTTCTGTGAATAATGATAGCTTTGCTTCTATCACTCCAATGTTTACAGTTTTTATTTTCTTTACTACTGTTGGGCTGGTTAGCCTCTCCTCTGGTGCTGAATAAGAGTCCTTTTATTTGAAAAACTTATCCTGTTACTGACTTTACAGAAAATAATTCTAACGTTTCTCCACAGAGGCAATGTTTCTTCTAGATTTTTGGTGGGATGCCATTTACCTGATTTAGGAAGTTTTCTTGTATTTCTACTTTGTTAAGGCTTTTATTGTGAATACATACTGATTTTTTGTCAAAGCTTTTTTCATTTATTGAGATGATCATGTGCCTTTTCTCTTGAAGGCTGTTCATGTGGTGATTACATTAAAACACTCTACAATGACAAGCCATCTTTGTGTCCTAAAATAAATCCAATTTGGTAAATATGTATTATCTTTTAAAAATACAGTTATAAATTCAGTATAGCTTCATTACTATTTTGGTAAATATATTTATCAGTGAAATTTATCTTCAATTGCTTTTTCTTATATTTCCATGTCTGTTTTCAGAATTAAGTTCATACTAGTTTCATAGAGTGAACTGGCCGTCTACTATATACCAGAAATTGTAGGAATTGGGGATACAGCATAGAGTAAAACAGACAAAAATCCCTTTCCTTTTGTACCTTACATTTTATCGTTCTTGAATATTTGGTAGAATTTGCCTATGAAACAGTTTGGGAGTAGTGTTTTCTTTGTGGAACATTTTTAAATTGCTGACCCAATGTCTTTTATGTGAATTGTTTCCCTATTCTTTTTTGAGCCAGTTTTGGTAAGTTGTATTTATCGAGGAATTTGTCAATTTTCTCAACATTTTAAAATATATTGGTATGAAGTTAGCAATAATAATACATAGCGCCTTTGCTGTATCATTGTGTTCCTTTTTTATTTCAAACATTAATTTCTTTTGTTTACAGCTTGTCTTGTTTTTTGAATTTTAATTTTGTACATATTTTGCATAAGTCATATATTTACAGGGTTAGAATTCAGAAGGTAGAGAAGTATATACAGTGGAAAAATCTCTCATTCTTGTCTTCCTGCTGTTTTGTTGTCCTTTAACAACTCACATTATTAATTTCTTGTGTATTCTTCTAAATAAGAATGCACAATATAAAAGCTTAGTGTGTAATCGTTTTCATAAATGTTCTTGGTATATTTGCAAAAACATATGTTATCCAATTGTTGGTTGCATGTTCTATATATGTTTCATATAGCCCAAGCTTGTTAATCATGTTATCAAAATATTTCATACTCTTTTGATTTGAGAGATGTATTAATATTGCCCAATGACATAGTAGACATTCTTTCTTTCTGTAGTTCTTTCATTTTTTCTTTATATATTCAAAATTATTTTATTGGATGTATTCAAATATAAAATTATTTTTATCTTTCTGGAGAAATGAACATTTTACCATTATGCAATGATTCTCTTTATCTCTAGTATGCCTTTTGATTTAAAGTCTATTTTTGCCTGATATGAACACAGCTATACTATTTTTCTCTTAGTTAACGTTTGCTACTTTTATAATTTTTCTATATTTTACTTTCAACCTTTCTGTGTCTTCATATTTTAGATATAAACATGAAGCTTTAAACACATAGCTTTAAAACTTTTTTGTCTGACAAGCTATACCTTTTAACTAGAGAGTTTATTTTTTATCTATTCTAATTGCTAATATAGTTAGATTTACTTGATCGATTTTATCTGATACTTTCTATTTGTTTTGCTTTTGCTGTGTTCTTTTTCCTTCTTCTTTCTTGCCTTTATTTGGATTAGTTTAAATATTCTTCCCCTCTCTGCTGGTTTGGCAAATATTTATTTTGATTTAGTTCTTTTGGTGGCTACCTTTGAAACTTTAAAATGTATACTTAACAGTGTAAAGTTAATTAATATTTTTACCTTCCTCTCAAATGAGAGTTTAGAATGGTTTAATTCTAGTCACCCCTAAACAGCTTCTAGATCTCTCCTCTTAGCTCTCTCTTTTTAAATTAGCATTATAAATTAGACACTTTATTATGGTTTTAAAGAGTCAGTTTTTATTTAAATTTATCCATATGTTCATTTTTATTTCATTCGTATCCCTTCCTGTATGTCAGAACTTCTTTTAGCTATTTTCTCTCTCTAGTTGGAGATTAATAGTGATAAATTCTTTCAGACTTTTATAGCTGAATATATTTCTATTTCATCTGTGTTCCTGAAATATAACTCATATTGGTATACACTTTTGAGCTGATACAGTAAAACTCCAACAGAGTGCAATAAGCATGACCCCAAACATTCATTTTTATAAAATGCAGGGTCACTTTATTTTATGATGAATGAAAAGATTTGGTTGAGCCTAGCTGGCTGAGAGTTCCTGAGCCTTAGTCATGTGACCCAAATCTGTCTAGACATCAGTAACAGTAACAATCTGGGGGGTGGCCATTCTGTAATTCAGCTTAAATATTGATGGAGACAATTCTGGGTCCCCCAGCTGGCTGAGACTTCCAAGAGAGTAACAGTGTTTGTAAGGATCTTCTAGTTAGCTGGGGAGATTGAGATTCACCTTTTTCCTACTCCCCCCACCTCTTTACCACGTGATAAGAACTTGAACCAGAGGAGAAGCCTATCTCCAGTTGTATTTACATAAATATTTACTTTCTGAAGAAGTGTGATGTTGCCTGGGGTTTTACTGTACTTATTGTTTTTTGTCATTACTTAGGAGTGACTACAATATTAGATTGTCTTCCAGCTTCACTGCTGCTGTTGAGATGTTAGCTACCAATTTAATTGTGATGACTATGCTGGTAATCTGTCTAATCTCTGATTGCTTTTGAGGTCTTCAATTTATCTGTGGTGTACTGTAGTTTTACTGTGATGAATTTTAGATTTGTTGGAAAAATGAGGTTTGATGTTTTTCAGCAGTTCTGGACAATTGTTACTCATTAGCTTTTGAATATTATTTTTTACTTTCTGGTATCAATGGCATTCTTGAACTCTGATAAATTTATGTTACATCTGACTCCAAACTCTTGTTTCTTAATTTCTCTTTTATATTTTCTAATTTTAAATATCTTTAAGTAACATTCTACACTTTTATTATTCTCTAATTCTCTTTTGGACTTTTTTTTTTCTATTGAGCTTTTCTTTTCTAAAAATACAGAGGTATAATTAACATATACTAAAGTGAGCCGTTCTTTTGTACTTAGTTTGATGAGTTTTAGCAATTGAATATAGTCAGTAACAACTACCCAGAACAAAATAGAGAACATTACCGTCACCCCAGAAAATTTCCTGGTGCCTCTTTTCAGTCACTTCTATTGAACTTTTCAGTTATTTTATTGTTAACTTCAAGAAGTTATATTTGGTCATTTTTCAAATCTGGTCATTTAAAAAAATTTCTCAACAACTATTGTGATAGTATATCTGGTCATTTTTGATAGTCCATTGCTCCTTAATTATTTTCAAAATTATTTTCTCTAATTCCTTTTTAAATTGGTTCTCTTTTTTTAACTTTTATCTTAAGTTCAGGGTTACATGTGCAGGTTTGTTATGTAGTTAAACTCATATCATGGGGGTTTTGTGTATAGATTATTTAGTCATTCAGGTACAAAGCCTAGTATCCAATAGATATTTTTTTCTGGTTCTCTTCCTCCTCTCAATCCTCCACCCTCAAGTAGATGCCAGCGTGTGTTGTTCCCTTCTTTGTTGCCATGTGTTCTCATTATTTAGCTTCCATTTATAAGTGACAACACGCAATGCTGATTTTCTGTTCCTGTGTTAGTTTGCTAAGGATAATGGCCTTCAGCTCCATCTGTGTCCCTGCAAAGGACCTGATCTCATTCTTTTTTATGGCTGCATAGTATTCCATGTTGTATATGTACCACGTTTTCTTTATCCCGTCTACTGTTGATGGGCATTTAGGTTGATTTGCCCTCTATGTACACAAACTACAAAATCTAGAAGAAATGGGTAAGTTCTTCACACACACCCTCCCAAGACTGAACCAATAAGAAATTGAATCCCTGAACAGACCAATAACAAACTCCAAAATCAAATCAGTGATAAAAACTTACCAACCAAACAAAGATCAGGACCAGATGGATTAAGAGCTAAATTCTACCAGATATATGAGGAACTAGTAGCATTCCTACTGAAAGTACTCCAAAAAATTGAGGAAGAGTGACTCTTCCCCAACTCATTCTAGTTCTTTATACATACCAAAAATAGTTATTCATCCTGTATCTGATACTTCCAATATCTGGAGTCTGTTTTCTTGTTGTCACTGTGGCTTTTAGTTGACTTTCATTAATGGTGGCTTTTTACCTCTGACTTTTGTGACTTTCATTGTAAACTTATATTTATTGGAACACATTTTCTGGGAGTTTTATCAAACCTGAACTAAAGATCTTTTTTTCCCCCTAGAACATTTTGTGTTTGCTTTCATTGTTTTACAATATTTTTTTGAAATTTTGCATTTCTCCTTTGAATATTAAGTATCTTTTTATCAAGAGGGAGATCAGTTGTTCATAAGTTTTTGAGGCTAAGGAGAATTATTTATTTAAAATAACATTTCTCCTCTTTTGATAATTCTTCTTTGAATGTAAAATATAATCTTCACGTGCTTTTATTGATATTCTTTTACTCAGTTCTTTCATTTGCTCTGGGAGTTGTAACTTCCCATAATTTTTGTTTTTTTAGATGTTGGTTCAGCTTAGAGTAAGGAATCAGAAATTACAGGATTTCTACATTGTGATCTAGTGATTACAATATCTTCTTCATCCTGTTTCACCTCTAGTGATCTTCCTTGGCTGGGGATTATGTCAGAGACAATAAAAATGGGGTGTCAGCATTGTTTCTTCTTAAATTTCCTCTCCCCTGAGTACTATTGTATTTATCTGCTTCTCCCAAACATTTTAAACCAATGATTCATTAACCAGCCTTTCCTAGATAATTGCTTTTTAAGAATCTTATTTAAGAACTGAGGGGCTATGGCAGCTTCTATAATCCTCCTTCATCTTAGTCCAGGCTTTTCATTATTTGGCATATATGCTTGATTGTTTATAGTTGTTTGCTTATTTCACAGATGATGAGAGTTTTAAAAAGTTCTTTTAAAAAATTGTTTTTGTGAGTTTGGGAGGCTCAAGGAGTAAAAATGCCCTTACATTGCTGGCTTTACATGGAAATCCCCTTATCATGTTTTAATAGGTTAAAATTTAAAAATGAAATAATCAATTTGGGAATAAGAACTATTGGAGAAGCCAAATAAACACTTTTTTTTTTTTTTTTTTTTTTTTTTTTGAGACGGAGTCTCGCTCTGTCGCCCAGGCTGGAGTGCAGTGGCGGGATCTCGGCTCACTGCAAGCTCCGCCTCCTGGGTTCACGCCATTCTCCTGCCTCAGCCTCCCAAGTAGCTGGGACTACAGGCGCCCGCCACTACGCCCGGCTAATTTTTTGTATTTTTAGTAGAGACGGGGTTTCACCGTTTTAGCCGGGATGGTCTCGATCTCCTGACCTCGTGATCCGCCCGCCTCGGCCTCCCAAAGTGCTGGAATTACAGGCGTGAGCCACCGCACCCGGCCAAACACTTTTTTAAAAATATTTTTTATCTTAATACCTGTTTTAGGCCAGGCACGGTGTCTCACGATTGCAATTATAGTGCTTTGAGAGGCCAAGGCGGGAGGATTGCTTGAGGCCAAGAGTTGGAGACCAGCCTGGGAAACACAGTGAGACCTCCCATAACTACAAAAAAATTTTTAAAAAATCAGCCAGACCTGGTGGTGTGTGCCTATCAACCCAACTACTAAGGAGGCTGAAGTGGGAGGATCACTTGAGTCCAGGAGTTTAAGGCTATAGTGAGCTGTGTTTGTGCCACTGCACTCCAACCTGGGCAACAAAGTGAGACCTTGTCTCAAAACATACTATATATATATATATATATATATATATATATATATATATATATATATATATGTTTGTTTCAACTCTTGCTTGGTGTTACCTCTCTCTCCTTCACTAACTACACAAAGTAGTTGACAGCATGTTGACTACTATTAAAGCCTGGTTAAGTCAGATCATCCTGGTTTGCTTTGCTATATATCTTTACGGCAGAGATGGGAAACTTTAAATGAAAATTTATGCTTGTCCTTCCATATCGTTGAGTTGTCACTGTAAAGGAGCTCCACATCCAGATTATACTTCCCAGTTCCTCTGCACCTAGGGAGGGCATGCGTCTAGTTCTCACCAGTGAAATAAAAACAAAAGTAATGATGTCATTTCCAGGTCTAGGATATTAAGAAGGGATATGACTTTTCTGTCTTCTATTTTTCCTCTTGCCAGAGTAGTAAAAAAGGTTATAAGGCTCTAGAGGAATAACAATGCCACAAGATGGGAGGAACTTGGGTCTTTCAATCACCAAATGGAGAAAAGAAAGTTACCTACCAGGAATACCTACATTGGAATGCTGTTTAAGTGAGAAATACACTTTTATTTTGTAAGGCTGCCGAAATTTGGAAATTGGTTCATAATATCTGCTCGCATTACCTTAACTTACATAATCTGGGTGTCTTTATACTGAAAAGATTTATGTCTTTTTTCATATGGTGGTCAGAAATACTAGGAGATCTCACTAGATGTTTTATGCTGCATGATTCTAAGAATATCAAGGCTTCCATTATCTTTATATTCATCTAATTTTGCACCACTGAATGAAGTTGCCTTCTGACACATGGCTTTATAAAGTGGTGTGTGCCTTTTTAAGGTTTTATTTTATTTTATTTTTGTCTGTTGCATGCAAGATGATTCTCTAATATAGTAATTAAGAAGGTGGCTCATGCCTGTAATCCTAGCACTTTGGGAGGCCAAGGTGGTTGGATCGCCTGAGGTCAGGAGTTCAAGACCAGCCTGATCAATATGGAGAAACCGTGTCTCTACTAAAAATACAAAATTAGCCTGGCATGGTGGTGCATACCTGTAATCCCAGCTACTCCAGAAGCTGAGGCAGGAGAATCGCTTGAACCCAGGAGACGGAGGTTGCGGTGAGCTGAGATTGCACCATTGCACTCCAGCCTGGGCAACAAGAGCAAAACTCCATCTCAAAAAAAAAAAAATGCATTTCTATGCAGTCCACAGCATTTCTATATAAAGGCAAGAATGCCATCATCTTAACTTCTTCTTGAGACATGTTACAAGATGCTTTTTGAAAGACCTAGAACTTCCAGATGTTATGTCTGCTATATTTTCCTGCACAAAAAGTTCTTTTTAATTTCTTCTGGAGACTTGATACATGGTCTAGTGCCATGATTTTGAACCCTGCAATGTTCTCATCCAAGGATTTTGATTAAGTGTGATGTTCCTCTCACTTTCTATCTAGTTCTGAAATAAGAGCACAGTGGGTCTCTGGCAGAGATCCCTCTATCCATGCAATAATAGTGTATCATGACAATTTTAGGAGAGGATAATCTGACTATTACTCAATTGTGGATTTTAGCTGTAATTGTATGTAAAGAAAGATTTCACTGGGTTTCACAGGTTCCAGGTTTGAAAGTTAGTAAGTAAGGAAGAAGAGGAGCTGGAAACCCCACTAGCTGTTCTGAGGTGAGAGGGCCATTGGATTCTATTTCTCTGACATTCAGAACTCTTCCTGTAGTCTTTGCTTACACCAGGCTGAGTGGAAGATGAAGGCGAAAATGGATTAGTTGACAGCAGCCAGGAATTTCCTTATATGCTTTTACACAGTGACTGAATAAGCATGGGTTACTGTTCCTGGCACTGAGACTTAGCAGGTGCAAACAGGAAAGTGAGGAGCTTGTCCTGAGAATGGCAGAGGACACTGGTGGAGCTTGGCACAAAAGACTTAGCTTGTGGTTCTGCTGTGCCCTGGCAGTTTGTCTTGGCAGGTCTCCCTTGAGCAGCTAAGATGACCTGCATGCTCCCTAAAACTGGTGCAGAGGGAGTCTGTGCTGTTTCCTGCCTCCTTCAGGTTTATGAAGGGGCCACCTACTCATTATTTTAAAGTTTCAAATGTTTGACTCATGAATTCATATAGAAGCATTTCCCACTGGTCTGACATGGCATGGGGGTTCATTAAGCCTGCAGAAAGAGGCACACTGTTTGGCTGTTTCTTACAGCTGGGCTAGAAGGCCACAGTGTGCTCATTTTGAGCATAAACTTGGAGGGTCTGCCAACTGAAATGGAATCAAAGACTTCTGTGGCCTAAGATTTGTTTACTTTTGGCATTGTCCAAGGTTTTCTGGCTCTCTGGTTGTTAGGGAGGCAAGAGATTCTGAATGGTCATGACCGAGAGTCAGGTTTAGCACTGGAAAGAATTATATGCAAGCAAGATTAGCAACATCCTGACTCTTATCCCTGAAACATGCAGGGGGAAGGGCTGGGCCAGCTGTCTAAGACATCCCCTGAAACCCCCAGTGCAGCTGGATTTCTTCTTCTTTGTGCCAACAGGGCCTATCATTATAAGATCACACTGCTTCAAGGCCATGTGACAAGCATAGTATGGGGCAAATAATACAGTAAACGAGAATGAAAAAGGAACTGCATTCTCTTTTCTTTCATTCTCTTTGCAGAAATCCTGCAAGTGTTATGCTAAAATATACTTTTGATTTGAATATAAATAGCCCCCTTTTTCTAATCCAGATGCAGCCCTGTGCCTCTCTGCACAGGGTTGGTGATTCTCTGTTGCATCTTGGGAGTAATAAGAAGATTCCACTGGAAAAAATGCAGGCAAATCAGCCCAGCTGAGATTACATAAAGGAGGAAGGAAAATTGGAGAAAGTGTGTAATAAACCTCAATATCTAGTTGAGTGTGATTTTTAACAAAAGCCTTTTGCATTTAGCTTAATGACTTAAGATCTTCAGATAGTAGCTAAATGCGTTTTATTCAGACTCTTCCAGCTCTGGGCAAGAGTTGTTACGGTAGGCAAGGCAATTCTTCTGGAAATAAGTAAGTTACTAAAACCAGAGGCTTAGGGGTGGATTTCAGCTGCTTGGTGATTCGTATTTAGAATTTCAGAGGCTTTGGCCTTGCTAATAAGTGGCTGGGCATCTTATGGGGAAGTTCTACTTTACAGATATAGGAGAGGGACCTGTTCTTTTGAAAGGTCTCGTGAATTTTTATCCTTATATTTAGCCTCTGCCATAGCCTCACCTCCACTATTCTTTGACTCCAAGCCTGCCAATGTGTTTTGTATTTATCTTCTGCTTTGCTTCTCGAACGCTACCCATAACTCTTTTCCTCCTGCCCTTAGATATTTTGGCCTTGTAGAGAAACATTTCCCAAATACATTCTCATCATATCTATGAGATGCTGCACAATAAAAGACTTCATGGTCAATTGAGATTGAGAAATGATACATACTACACACTTTTCTTGGAAACTTAAAATGCACTTTTAAATAGGTGCTAGAGGAAAGTTATTTACACTTATTTAAGTACATATATATGTATATGTTTATTTAATAGCAACATGTTTATTAGCCTCCCAAGAATTAATAGTTCTCAGAATTTGCTTTGGGCATTTCCACTATAATGTCTGCAAACTGCGAAACCTGTCTAGACTGCTAGACATGCAAGTTACTGAGAAATGGTCATGGATCATCAAACCCTCTGAAAAGGCTTTTTTGAAGGCAAAGGATGGTATGGGCCAATCCTGTAAATAGAAATGAAAGGAATAAAATGTTCGGTAAAGCATAGACTGGCTAGAATAAGCTGGGTTGGCTGCTGTCCACGATGGAGAGGTGCTGAAACAGAGATTTCCCCCTGGTGCTATTAAAAATGGATTCCCGGCAGAGCTCTTAAAAAGTAACTGCTCAGGCCAGGTGCCGTGGCTCACGCCTGTAATCCCAGCACTTTGGGAGGCCGAGGCGGGCGGATCACGAGGTCAGGAGTTCGAGACCATCCTGGCTAACATGGTGAAACCCCGTCTCTACTAAAAAATACAAAAAAATTAGCTGGGCGTGGTGGCGGGCGCCTGTAGTCCCAGCTACTCGGGAGGCTGAGGCAGGAGAATGGCGTGAACCCGGGAGGTGGAGCTTGCAGTGAGCCGAGATCGCGCCACTGCATTCCAGCCTGGGCGATAGAGTGAGACTCGGTCTCAAAAAAAAAAAAAAAAAAAAAAAAAAAAAAAGTAACTGCTTAGAAAGTGCTGCATGAGACAGCTAGATACAAACCCAGTGTAGCACAACTGCACAAGAGACAACATGCGGGAAAAGCTACATACTGGACAGTGAATTAACAGAAATAGGGTTTGATTTCACTACTCCCGTAATCGGGTGTGGAAGCCTGGGCAAGCCATTTAATCTCTCCATGTCTTATTTGTAAAATAAGATAATTGGATGGGATGCAAGTTCATTCAAAGTTCTAAACATCATAATCCATAATGACTTTCTAAGTAGGTCTTTATGTGAGCACAGGAGAAATCAAACCAATGTGTATTTGCCCCAGGCCCCTGGGCTTCTCTGGTCCCTTTTATTTGGGAGGTGATATGCTTCACAACTATATGTGTTGCACTAATTCATAAAGGTATTCCATCCCGAGTCAATAACGAACTATAGATTTGTGAAAGGAGAGAGTCCAAGATGTTACAATCATCTTGGAAGCTTCAGTTACCTCTCTTGAGAGGAAGGTTCTTTTTCTAAGGAGGCTGCTTTTAATCATGTGCTCAGCAAACATTTAATTAATAACTATCTATTAATATTATGTACTAGGCTCTGTTCTAGGCACTTGGGATACTTTGGATGTGTGTGTGGAGGAGAAACACAAAAGATAAAATTTCTCTACTCTCATAGAGTTTATATTCTAATAAAGAGAGACAGATAATAAACATTAAGCCTAATAAGTAATGTATATAGCAAAGTGTAAATTATATAGTATATTAGAAGATGACAAATACTACTGACAAGAAACAAGAACAAGTGTAAGGAGACATGGAGAATTTTAATTATAAATTGAGTAGTTAGTGTAAGCCTCACTGAGAAAGGGATCTTTGGACAAAGACCCAAACAAGGTGAAAGAGTGAACACATGCCTGTCTAGAGGAAGAAAGATGCAGGCAGAGAAAACATCCAGTGCAGAGGAAGAGCGTGCCTGGCAGCTTCCAGGAACAGCAAGGGGACCTGTGAAGCTATAGTGGTGTGAGTGAGTGGGTGTGTCACAAAGGGGAAGTCCCAGCTGCTTTGATACAAAGACCCACTGAATATACTTAGAACAAATTTCATGTTCATCAGCAGCAAAACCTGGTTTTAGACCTCTTTGTCTTGTAGGAAGCCTCCTATCAGACTCTCTGCCTGGCCTGAGATATCCAGTTAACACCTGCAATTCAGAATACCCTCTCACCCAGCAATAAAGCATCCAGCCTTTGCATCTGTAACAACCTCCTCTGTAATTTGTGCATTCTATGGTGAGTTTAAATGCTGACTCTATCATTATCTGAGTTTATTACCATTTCCATTTGCATATGTTTAATGGGGGAGGGGGAAGAGTGGGCAGAAAACCTCTACACAGATTCCAGCTTGGAAGTCTGCATGTCTCTCCTCATCCTTACTTCCCCTTCCTGCCACCTTCTCTTCTAATCCTCTGCCTTCTTTGGGCCTGGGCCAGGGCCAGCCGTACTTAAATTAAGAATAGGTAAATGTTCCCACTAGCTCTGTTGCCCTCTGCTGTGCCTGCCTACTCCCCTGTTCTTGCTGTGCATCTCTCCCAGCACTCCTGACTTTCAACTATTCAGTGCAGTACAGTGAACCTGTCTCCCTTCCTGCCCCATGAACCATCAATACTGGTTCTCAATTAGGAACTGATAAATTTGCTCACATTAATATGTCTAGAGGTTATCTCTTTTGGGGTGGGATTCTGCTTTGTGACATAGGGTATAGAAGCATTAGGGAGGATTATCAGAGTCCTGGAACCCTGAAAATTATTACCAAATATTAGGCAGTCACCTATTCAGAGAGTCAACCCTGGCCCCTGCTGCCCACTCAACTCCCAGTTCAGCTTTACCTACTTTCCCTAAATTACCTTTCTGCACAGGAATTCACTGCCTTTTCTTGTTGGAGGGGTTGGCTAGGAAAACTTCTGTACATTGTAAGATCTATAGTGAAATGTCAGCATGAGCCTCTGAATTGATGTTGGGAGCCAGGAAGCAGCCCAAGCCCCAAGGGAGGGGAGGAATAAATTGTTGCCCAGTGGCCAGCAACTTGTTTTATTTTACAAGACTGTGTTTTCCATGTTGCTTGCATTTTGAAATAGCGTGCACAGGTGCCCCAGTTTGATTCAATTTCAGCCCTCACCATGATTTATGGTCCCACCTGATCACATCCAGATCACTTTGCTGTTTGCCCTTGTCTGCTGCGCTGCAGTTCATGAGTGGGGAGCCAGAGCCAGACATTTTAAGGATTCCAAGTGAACAAACATGTCTGTTTCTCCCTCACATTTTTACCCATGTAGGTTTTAACATAATCAGCAATGAGTCCAATCTGCATTTCTTTGAAAAGAGGCACTGCCAGCCTTCAGAGAATATTAAACTGAATGGAAAGATTATAGTTGTTAGAGATGCAAAACCCTTGAAAGAGCTAAAGTGAGTAAAATGTCATTTTGTGACCCATTTATGGCCTTGTGCATCCATATTCTTGCCATTACTACCCTCATTACCACCATCACCATCATCATGTTAACATAGTAGCCGTCAATTATTGAATACTTATTATTTTGTCATTTTGACAATTATTTTGTAAGAATAGACTTCTTAAAATCTCAACCACCTTAAGAAGATACTGTTATTATCCCCATATTACAGATTTTTAAAAAACAGAAAGATTGAGAGGTTTAGTAACTTGCCCAAGGTCAAAGTCAACCAAATAGCCACAAGTCTGTATAATTAAATAAAGATAAATAGTTAAAATGTGTATGTACAAATAAAGATGGCTTTCTAGGTAGTAATTCACTCTAGGCAAGATTAAGAAGGCTTCTTGTTGAGCAGAACACCGTGTACATTACCAACGCTAGGTCAGGACTCCAGCTATTAATACATGGAAGGTAACAAAGATCACCATGATGTTGGCCACTAGGAATAGAAGTTCAAATCCTTTTACCCACTGCTTCTTGGTAATGTAGTCACCAAGGAAACATAATACAGTCAAGCATGGATGGAACAATGCTTTAATCACATAGAGAAGAGAAAGAACAAGATCAGCTCCAATAGTATGTGTTGGTCCCCCACGGATAGTGGATCCCTCTAGCAGCCTAAGCGGGGCAATTGGGTCATGAGCAGTCCTCACAATCTTAATAGGACATGTACCCCTCCCATGTGTACTCTGAAGTACTGAAAGCTGGGGGCGTGCCTGAGGGCCATTGACTTACAGACGTAAACAGAACAAAGAAGCATATATTGAGCTTGAAACAGTGAAAGCTATTCCCATACAAGGTAATAATGCTTGCACAGGCTGTGTGAGCTCTTTATCTCCTGGTAAGGAAGGGTTCCAGGTCCAAGACACATTCTTATGTGGCTACTGGAGGTGCAAAGACTGCATGCAGGAGACTGCCTTGCCAACATTTATTTAGGTAGCAAGCTTTTCTGGTGCCTTCAGGGAGAATTTTGCCACATGTTAACTACTCAGAAACAGATCTCCTGCTTAAATGAGCCATCCCTGAATCACCCTTAGCCCAACCTCTCCTCTCTCTTTGTTGGGTCTTTTTCTCTATTGTATCCCAATACTATTGTATCCCAGTAGTGACATGTGCCTGGCTCCTGGGTAGGTGCCTATGGACAAAGAATGCAAAGACTTCCTTGTTGGTGAATCTAAATACCACCTCCTCTGAGAAGCCTCCTTATCACCAAGCCATAGTGCTCCTTTCTCTGTGCCTGCAATGCACATTGTTTCTAGTTCAAGTACTAGTACTATAGTATTAATAATATGTGCTGTTAATATCTTTAATAATACTGTTTGGATAGCCCTGTTTACTCTTCCCAATAGCCCTGCAAGGTAGGTACTATTGCTATCCTCATTATACAGGTGAGGAACTGAGGCACAGAGGAAGAGTAACTTGCTCAAGATCATCCAGCTAGTAAGTGGCAGAGCCAGGATCCTGGATCCAGGCAGTTTGTTGCCAGCATCCAGGCCTTAATCACATCCCTTCCACAGTGGTCACCTTTACTTGCTCATGTGGCTGTTTTCTAATTAGGTTGCAACCTCAAAGGCAGGGTTTGAGACTTGTGCGTATCTTTGTCCTCAGCTCCAGGCCAATTGCCTGGCACCTAGCAGGCACTCAGGAATTATTTGGCATGGGACTGAATGAAAGATAGGTGTTCACCAGGTAAGGACTTGGGGGCAGCTTGGGGCAGACCACCCTGGATTGTTTCATTGCTTTAAGGTACTTAACTGCTAACTGGACCCTTTGACTCAGGGCAGAGAGAGTGTTAGAGGCAGAGGAAGTATTTAAGGACAGGCCTTGTCTGCCTCATTTTATCCTAATCAGTTAGTTCGGATCTTCTTTGACACTGTCCTTGTTTTCAGAAGAAAAAGGGATTTAGGGTGCTTCTTACCTTTAAAAAGAAGCTTTTTTTTCCATTTGCTTCTACAGAACTGCCCTGGTTTTTCCCCACTGGGATTGCATTTATCTCACCCCCATTTGTTCTCCATTAATATCTCCACAGTGGCAATTATTACCCCTCATCCAAGCCTGTGTGTGTCTGTCTGCCTTTCCCACCTCCACCCTGACTGTGAACTTCTTGAGGCAATGACCTCAAGAAGAATGACTTGTCTTAGTCATCGTGTATCTTGTCCAGCACAGGGCCTGGCCCATCAGAAGCCCTCAAACCATGCTTCTTAAATGAAAAATGCTTAGCCATTGGTAGATCTGTGGTGCAGGAAAGTACAGGAATGAAGTAATTGCCCAGCTTTTTTTTTTTTTTTTTTTTTTTTTTTTAAAGAAGAGACTGATCTTTGGCCCAAGGAACCAAGAATCATTTAGGACTTGTTTCTCATCATCTTTCCTCTCTCTTTCCCTCCAGCTCTTGTCATTTGATAAGTGATGCAGAAAAATTCTTCTCTCAGGATTGGTTAAGAGAGGCTGAAAAGGTAGTTGGACTGGGTGGGGGGCAGGGAGTTGGAGGAAACATAAAACAATAAAGATGATTTAATTTATATCTGATCATAGCAACCAGCTGGCTATGCCATCAATTATTACACCCTAGTAGTTATTAAAGAGCACCTCTGTCATAGGCACCTTATTAGCTAGGGATTTATGGAGTACAGAGGCACAGGAGGAAATATTGATATTTCACTCACAACATCACCTGTGGATGCCTGGGTTGTCTGTCTCTCAGCCCTATCTCTTCTCATATGTCCTCATTCTTAGGCCCGATAGCCTCAGGTTCAACTCCCAGAATGTTTTTCTCCTAAAGTATGCATAATGTAGACAATTTCACTCACTTGTGCTTTGATCCATTGTGCATCTGTTTCAATACCTATGGCTATAATATTCCTGCTTTCCAGGAAGAAGGTGTTCTGGGCTCATTCAAATATTTCTAGAGTTTTCTGTGTCATAAATTACTTCCGTTGATAGGGTTCTGGTTTCGCCTACCTTTTAATAGAGAAAATAAAAACCTAGACATTGGATTTCATTTTAGCCAGGTCTCATGTTGCTGCATGAGTCCTGGAACCTGAGCCTTTAGATCCCTGACCTATGCATCATCTTTCCTCCTTGAAAGCCCCATTCCAAATAGATCTCAGCCCTGGTTTCTGGACTGAATGCAAATAAATAAGTTATTCTTGGATGTCTTGACATTAATGACACATTTCTTTTAAACACAATTGGATGCTTTATTCATTCCTAGAAGCAATTTATTCCCAATTATAACGAATTATTTTGTGTGATGCCAGAAATAAAAAAACAAAAACAAATTGCATTTTTAAATTTAAAACGTGTGTAGGGAAAAATAATGATATGGAGCCAATTATGTCAATTCAAGTCAGTCGCAGAATTTTTCCTTTGAAGATAAGATTTTTAAAGAACTGAAAGTTTCCACATTTTGATCCCTTGAAGTACCAAAGTGACAACACAGGCAGGAGAAGATGACACAAGAAAAGCGGCAATTAGTTACTTACCCAGAAATGCAGAGCTAGGTGTTATTAATGAGTGGCTAGATTACACTTGACATTTTACAAAGTGACTTACAATCACACCTGCATGCATGCACGCACACACATGTGTATAGAAACTGCCTGTGGAACAGAATAAGAGAAGAGGACAGAACTGGGTCTCTTCCTTAGGGACAACATGTACTGTAAATAGTGCCTGTGTTGGTGAGGATGGAATAAAAAAAGTACAAGCGTGAATGGGTGGATGAGGAGTTAAATCCACAAATGACAATTAGCTGGCTAGGTTTATATGCATACCCACATATCAAATCTATCATTTCAGACATGCGTATGCATTTAAATCTTTTTATGATGCCTCAACAGGTCTAGATTGCTATTGCTACTCTGATCTTAAAGCTGGGGAAATCAAGCTATGGGAATAACATCCATAGTAGCATTAGACTTTGGAGCTCCAGATTTTTATGCTTTCACTTGCCTGCTGAGCTTCATGGTCTCTCAAACAGCAGCCGGGCAAGGTGGGTGGTTGTTTCATTGTTTATTAATGACTCTGGAGAGTCCTGGGTGTGTTCCTGTCACAAAACATGTGTCAAAGCCTATTACAGCTGAAAAGAACTTACAGGCTGTGGGTCCAATCCCTTCCTTCTAAAGACAGGGAACCTGTGTCAGAGAGAGGCCAGATCTGCTTTAAGTCTCATGACTTCTCAGTGCCTGAAGTCAGATCTGCCCACCCAGAGCTCTTTCTGCCACTGCATGGCACTTGCTAAGCTTGCAGTGTGCCCTGCTGGCATTGCTGTTACTGGTGATAAAGGTGATGAGCATGCGCCACCCTCCTTCACTCCCGTTTTCTTGAATGTGGCTCTCAGTATGGCTTTACATATCCTGTGGTTGAAATTAACCTCCCTACATGGTTCCCCTGATTCTAGAGCAATCAAGTATACTGCTTTCCTATCATAATAGGTCAGGGGCTGTTCCTGCCTGGACACTGAGTACAGAATGCAGTGTAGAGTTTTCAAAGTGGAAGGCTCAGTCACTGAGGAAATATGCATTGAGTGCCCACGATGCCCCAGGTCCCCTTCATGCACTGGAAATGCAGCAGGGAATGAGATGAAGTCCCACCCTTGTGGATTTTATTTTCTCAGAGAATCCACAGCAACCACTGGCTGGAGATGAGGAGCGGCTGCTCTTTTAGGAGGCCTGCGGTCCCTGTGGTTCATCACCATGGCTCTGCCTTCACTCCAGATACTGGTTTCTAATAATACCTACCGACTTCCTTATTTCAGTTCCATGCCTGACCTCTGTGAGATTTTGAGTTGTGCCCTCTGCAGAGCCACAACTTTACCCTGAAACAGTAAGAGCCTGCAGCTTTCGGCAGTTAGAACAAGCATGATCTCAGGCCCCCACCCCTATGTGGCCTGCCATTGTTGCTGGCACTTAGAGGATGAAGTAAATCGGGTTTAGTGATCAGAACAGATGTGTAAGGAGACAAATTTCGACTAAGCAGGGGATGCTGCAGGTCATCACTGAGGGACGTCAGAGGTGCGGAAGTCAGCGGGGGAGGGAGGGTGACTCTAATCGGAGAGAGTGATTACGGAATCCGATTAGCCGCTCATTTTCATTTGCAGAAGGAACATTCAATTCACTTAACGCCACTCTACAGATCCTTCTTCTCTCATCTGTACCCAGAGGAAAACAAATTCCAGTGTAATAGAGCATTTGGACAGCAGCAGACCACAGCAGAGGGAGCATGTGGCTAGAAGTGAGGAGGCCTGGGTCCGAGGCTTGGCTCTGCCTCTATGAGTTTCGTGACCCCGGGCACCTTGCCTCATCCCTAAAGGACCTGGGCTCATCTGCTAAATATGGAAATTGAATTAAATCATTTTAAAGGTCTCCTTAATCCCAAAATTCTATATTTGTTTTTCAGTGCATATCTTCATATAACAGCTTAATAAGGTATGCAATTATAATTTTGGAATTCCTCACTACAACTCTGCCAATAAAACTCTGAGCTTTGGAGTCAGATAAACCTGTATTTCAGTGATGACCCTACCTACTTAACTTTAAGCCAGTTACTTAATCTTTCCAATCCTCAATTTATAAAATTAGGACAATAATAATAATATTTGTTTTACAGAATTGTTTTGTGGATTAAATGGGCTAATATATTCAAAGTAGTTAATATAGCATTTGGGACATGGTAAAATTCACTAAATGTTTACCTGTTATTATTTCGTTGCCCTGTTTACTACAAAGTTTTAGAATAAGTCGGATATTTTATCTAAAAATTTAAAATAATGTGGTAGGGGGACCTCCTTTTAAAAAACTGCTTGGATGACATGGCTGAAGAGGTTTAATGGTGGGTAGGCTAAGTAATGGACTAAGACTGAAATAGCTCCATGGAAATAAAGCATTTAGTGTGGGGATAAATGAAGTTGCCACCCAGAACTAACAGCCAGAGTCCTGGCTGGGCTGTAATTAATGGATATGCTGGCCATGATTTATAAGGATATTTTAAGAAGTGACTGTATTGCGCAGAGCCCTGGGTTTTATGCCCGAGTTGAAGTAAGATCAATGGGAAATTCATTAGGCCCAAGATTTAATGGGTAGGAATGAAGTTTCTTCCCCCAGCATTAGGGCTTTTGGTATGATGGCTACCAGGGATGCTTCCTCTGGGATGGAGGCCACGGGGATATGGAAAAAGTTGTTGAGCACTTGGAGCCAGAAAAGGAATGATAATGATGCTCCACATCTCTTTCCCTGTGTTAGAAAATGCAGAGAGGGACTCCCAGCCCAGACTTTTCTAGAGAGCTTTCTGGGGCTTACTGGCTGGAGGCTAGGGATGGTTTCCTCCACCTTCCTTTTTTTTTGTTGTTGTTTATTTTGTTTGTTTTGCCTGCCTCCCATATGTCAAGGTGTCAGCCTTCCTTTTTGAGCAGGACATTGAGCAGAACTGCACTGAGCACAGTGCACATCTGCTGACAGGAGTTTGGTTACCCTGAGGATGTGTGTGCTGAGCACCTGAGATGGTGAATCAGCAAATGCAGGCCTCTGCAGGTGGTTTTGGCTGACAGCAATATCTAGCATTGGTGCACAGGTGGTCCATCTGCACCCTGAGACCCTGCAGTGTGCTGGAATTTGCTCTGTGACTTGCCTTGTTTTTACCATCAGCAAAGGGAGGTGGTACATCCTGTCCTTCTAAGACCTCTGTTCTGTGATGGAATTTGGTGATAAAAGCCCATACATGCTTTCAGTTCTTCCTTTGCTTTGCTCTCAAGGAGAACTGAAAGATCAGATCCTGGCTTGCTGAGTCTCCCTGTACTTTACTTCTGATTATGACAGGCCAGAGAAACGTCAAACTCAGGCTCACCCCTGGGGAAGGTGATTATCCATCTTCCCTTGGTCCATGCTCAGTGCTTTGATGCTTTGATGCTACAGCAGCTTTGTTCATATTGTTCCTTCTGCCTGGATGTCCTCCCAGTAGCTCGGCTTAGCTCCCTTAAGGGCTTGTGCCTGTACTGGCAGTAACCTTACCTGCATGTAAACCTGGCGTTGTTTGTTCTCTGGCTTTATCACCTGGCTCACCCAATGTTATTTGTTTGTACTTTTTGTAGCAGGTTGGCCCTTTCTGTTTCCTAGTCCATCCATTCTTTAATCCTGCCTCTTGTAAATATTTTCTTCATGAAACACTTATCAATTACTTCTGAGTTTTAATGACAGGCTTTTAGCTTTATTTTCTGGATATGCTTATATTTTTCCTCAATGATGGTTTACTTAATGAGCAGAGCACCTGGTGTTGATACCTCTTTCTCCATCAGTCCCAAGGATATACTCCTTGCAGTTGTATGGAATTTTATATTTTATTAATCATTATAAAATAATTACTATTTGTTGTGTGCCTGCTTTGTATCAAGTACTGTGCTCAACACTTTGTATACATTATTTTATACCATGTATCATTCCTTTATAATGCCCATTTTTCAAGCAAACTATGACTCGAGGAGTTTTAGGCTGTCTACAGTCGCACAATTAATAAGCATACTCATATTTAGTAGACTCCAAAGCCCATTTTTAAATTATCACACTATACTTCACATTCAAAATCTAATTTGATCCCCACAATAATACTATAAGATAGCTATCATTATGTCTATTTTACAGATGAAGAAAACAGAGGCCCAGGAAATTTAGGTGACTTGACTAATCCAATTAGAGAACAGAAAATTAGAACTTGAGTACAGGTATTTTGATTCTAATTTCGGTTCCTAATCCATTGATTCATGGAGCTAGCCTCTAGGACATTGAGGCTTCTGTGTTTTTCTCATTTTCTGCAACCTGTAATCTCTGGCATCATATTTTTTTCAATTCCATTTCCGCTGCCTCTTCCTCCTCTTACTGAGACTCAGGTTAGGGGTGCTAAGCCTCACTCTCATGAAGAAATGAGGAAAGTGGGGCATTATCCTACAGACAGAGCATCTAAGTGAATTTTATCTCAACCAGTTTTCTCTGCTTGGTACCAAGAAGACAACACAATAGAATTGTCTTGCTATTAAATGCAAGGAAGAGATAATCTGTGTAAAGCCAAGTTATCTTCTGTCTGAGACGTTAGGGAATTAATTACACAATGAACAAGCTACTTGCTTTGTTGAGTGAGTACTTATTGCATAACCACTGAATACCAAAGTAAGTTTTAGGTACCATAGGGCAAGGGCACAAAGAAATGACTAGACCACAATAAATAGCTGCTGAAGATCTAGGAATAACCAAGACATAAACTTGTCTTATTGATCATAATCAGTGATGGGAGGGATCGGGGGAGATAGACATGTGTTAAATGTTATTATATTACAAAGTTGCATCCAAGGATCAAGTCTGTTAGTCATCCCTCTTTTTCTTTTCCCTGGCATGGTCCGTGACACTTAGACACTGTCCCCAAATGAGAGTGAATGAATAAGCCATGCAAATAGAGAAGACAATGTCTAAGACTTCCTTTGATAGATATGGAGAAAAGGGATTGAAAAAAGGCTGTGCAGATGAGGTTATATTTAAACTATGTCTCTGCAATGTGTAAGAATTTATTTTGGGGAGAAGGTTGAAGAGAGGGAGAATATTGTAGACAGAATGCAGAATACTGTAAGAATATGACTTGTGGGGGCTGGGCACAGTGGCTCACGCCTGTAATCCCAGCACTTTGGGAGGCTGAGGCGGGCAGATCACAAGGTCAGGAGTTCAAGACCAGCCTGGCCAACATGATGAAACCCCATCTCTACCAAAAATACAAAAATTAGCTGGGTGTGGTGGTGTGTGCCTGTAATCCCAGGTACTCGGGGGGCTGAGGCAGGACAATTGTTTGAATCCGGGAGGTGGAGGTTGCAGTGAGCCAAGATCATACCACTGTACTCCAGCCTGGGTGACACAGCAAGACTCAGTCTCGGGAAAAAAAAAAAAAAAAAAAAGAATATAACTCATGGGAACTGTGTGGCTGGAAGGGAATTGGGGCCAGGTTATGACGGGCCTTTGGTGTCATGCTAAAGGACTTGAAATTGATTTTTAAATGATGGGAACCAGATAATGTATTAAGTGGAGCAAACGACAGTATCAGGCCTGCATGGAAAGGAGGGGAGAAGGTGGAGGCAGGTGTCCACGGGGACACGGGCAGGGCCTACTGTTTCACTGCAGCCTCCCAGGTGCTTGCATAGCACAGTGCAGGATGACATCTGGATAGATGCAACCAAATTGATGAAGATGTATTAACTGAGATGGGAAATTTGGAATGAAGAGGAATTGTGAGGATGGGAGCAACGGAAAAATGGGATGAGGATATCATGAATTTCAAATGCATTATGTTGAATTTGAGATGCCTCTGGGACATCAGGATGGATGTATTTAGGAGACAAGTTGTAATATGGGACTGGATTTTCAGAGAGAAGTGCTATCTAGAAATTTATATTTAGAAATTATCAGCATGTAAGAATTGTGCACTGTGGGTATGAGTGAAGGCACTTTTGGAGAGTATTAAGGCTTGTAAAATGCCTTCCTGGAGTTAACTGTCTCATAGACTGATAAGGCAGTTTAGAGTATTGAGTTCCCTTTGTCTAAAGCATCTTTTCTGGTAATATTGAAAAGATCCATTTTATCTCTGACTCAGTGGGATAGAACATCTTGAGATTGTTTTCATGAACTTTAAAGGGAATCTCTGATTCATTCCTTCTTCCTCACTAATACCATTCAGATCAATTCAGTTCAACACTCTGGCCAAGCCTCTAGTACATGAGTCATTATGAGGCATGAACCCTCTCTCCAAGGAATTTCCAACATTTTAGAGAACAGTCAGCAAGAGTGCAAATGACTATAATAGGAGGTAGAATAAAGTAAGTACCAAGTACATTAACAAATGCTACAAACGTATAAAAGATGAAAGAATTAGTTGTTTGCAAAAGTCAGGAAATGCTTCATAGAGAAGGTGGTCTTGAAGAATGAACAGATTTTTGATCAGCAGAGATAACAGAGATTAGTGATAGAAAAAAATAAAATCAAAGTGACAGAGGGGATTAAGTTCAGATAGTTTGTAGGGGAACACTGGAAGGTAAACTCGAGAAGACAGATTAAGGCCTTGAATGCCAGGGTGGAGAGATTGTATTTGATTTCATAGTTCAAAGAGCTCAAGCTCTGTTTCAACAATATTTCAGAGGTCAATACCAGGCCTTCCCCAATTTCAGAACAAATGGGTATTAGAAGGGCTGTGACCCTTTTTCAAGGAGAAAGTTAATTGATTGGTATTACAGAGTTACCATATATGGCCAACCCAAAATTGAAAATCCTCTTCTGAAGACAGATACTGTTTGTTTAGAACTAAGCCACAGCCCAAATTCCCCTTCCCTTAGATTCAGATCTGTATTTTCTTAGCACAAGAGTCCCTTGAGGGGCCTGCTCTTGCTTTTTCTCAGCAGTCATTTGTTATCTTAAATATTGGCATCTTCTAGATAAGAGTTTTCTAAATCACATTTACAGAAGGCTTGTAAACACTCCTCATGTTTGGAACAGGTTTCTTCATTGACCTTGTGCCATTGAAGTGCTTCAAGCTACCTCA
Organism: Homo sapiens; assembly: GCF_000001405.40. Taxonomy (NCBI): domain Eukaryota; kingdom Metazoa; phylum Chordata; class Mammalia; order Primates; family Hominidae; genus Homo; species Homo sapiens. Next base: position 177,585,790 of record NC_000001.11, on the reverse strand, counting down.
GGGCATTAAATTCCCTGAAGCTTTACCATGGAAACATACTCTCAGGTCATAACTCTTTCCTTTGCCTGGGCGTGGGCCTCAAACGTTTATGTGGCTGCTTCAGCTCACATAACCAGTCCAACAGGATTTTCAGTAAAACCTGAGCTGCCATAGAGACACAATATTTCTTTTCCTAATTGCTCATAATTTCATCCTATTTCTTCTAACAGCAATTGAAGATGACATTACACTCCCTTTTATGTCAGTTGATGATGCACAATTCTCTCTTGGAACAGCTAACGACTGTATTTACTAACACATTAAAAAACACTGATGTGTATTCAGGCCAGAGCCATTTTTACACCAGTATTTTATGTGTGTGTCAGATGGTGGAATGTTGAAAAGGGGTTTCACTATTATAATAAGCATCTCCCACTCTTGCAGATAGAATGGCATGTGAATAACTAGATGTCCTGGTTATTCCCTGTTTATACCAACCTCCATGGACATCTACTCTGGCCTCAGATCCATTCTTTGCTCTCCTGCCTTGCTCTGTACTTGGGAGGCTGTCCAGTGTGGACTGCATCACCTGGATTCCTTTGCCTACTGGCCCCCGATTGGGTTTGGCCAGTGGGAGGCACCAGCAAGAAATCAGAGGTTGGGAGAAGAGAAAGATTATGGCATTTCTTTCTTGCTCTCACCCTGCTTTGGTGTGGTGTTTCTGGCAGCCACCACACCTGATGTTGATTATAGCCTTCACTGGGTTCTGATAACACTAATTCCTGCACTTGTCCTTTGCCTTTCTGCCTTGGAAGTGTAGTGGCTTTCATCAGTTGCCAGTTTCTTAGTGCCTCAGCTTCCTCGCCCATCCCTTGGTAGGTAATTCCATCTAGGTCTCTTCACTTGAGCCATTTGGGTGAATTACATTTCCCATTGGGATTCTGTTGGAAACACCAATTACAGTTTCCAAATAAGTTATTTGGCAAATGACCTCTCCGTTTACCTTGTTCATAACTGGCCTGGACCTTTTTTTCACGGTCCTCAAGGGGCTCACTATGGAAATATCACCAGAAGTAATTAATTATAGAAAATTGAAGCTTACTTCCTAAAAATGAGTCTAGAATACTCTACTTTAAATGGAGACACAATATATTGTAGTTTTTATATACATAGCTTATGGGAGCACATAAAATGGCAAAGTTTCAATGTGAATAATGTGTTCACTGGTGGAAAAAAGGTCAGGAGAAGAGGCAGAGTGGATCAGCTCTATGTGATTCAGTGGACTTATAAGTGAGAAAGGAGAAGGTGAGGTAGATAGAACGTTGAAACATATTAAAAACTTGTCCTACATGTACTAGTTTCTCATAAAGAATTGCTGCTACTGATCTGCATGATTTGGATGGGATAGGATGCTATCAATTATATCCAATACCAAGTGCTCTTTTGTAAGAAATGTACAGATTGCTCAGCATGAGGATTTGGGGAATATAGCTCCATTCTCAATTCTACCACTATGAGAGCTTGGCCAAGTCATTGTGCCTCAATTTTACCATAGGCAAGTGGGGATAATTATAACCATTTTAGCTATTTCACATTTTTAGCTATTTGATGGGGCTCATGAGGACCCAGAGCTCAAATGTAAACTATCAAACCCTTTTGCTTGTACAGTGTCCTGTACATAGAGAGTGCTTGATACATATTGTGGACTGGATTTATTTTATCTAGATTGGTTTGGGTATAATTAGCATTTTTAGTGACTGTGATGACATGGACCAAAACACCTGGGTGACTTTTCCTATGGCACCTTCATTTCAATTGGATAACAGATAAATTTGTAGACAGGCTCTCACATTCAGAACAAGGTCTAAGAGTGATGGATGATACCCACTAGGCTTCCATAATGATTAACAGTACAAAATGTGCTGGAATCTCTATTGTGTTCAATGACTCTGTAGAACAAGTAATGAGGCAGTATGCAGAAAACTCTGAATTTGGTAGAAATAATAGCAGGCTTTTAATGAAGAAAAATGAATGTAATTGGGGTCATCTCTTCTTGCCAAAAATGGGAAGAGGGGATATTTAACTGTGAGAAAAAAGATATAAAGTCATTGAAATAACAAACTCTGGCATTGGAAAAATTATCACGAATTGCTTGACTTTGGAAAAGCTTTTTTATTTTAAATAAACAACAACAACAACAACAACAACAACAACAACAAAACCTCTGAGTCTTGCCTCTCCCATTTGTAAAATGGATGTAAAATACCAAGGATATCAAAATATCCTTGCTGAGGATCTATATTATTATGCTTAGTGTCAAGCACAGTGCCTGGCATAGAGAACCTGCTTAATAACAATTATTATTAATGAAAACAATAATCTGCCTACAATTTGCCATTCTTTCCCCAGAGTGTAGAGGATACACTCTGATGAGGTTAGATTATACTATGCTAAATTAACAAACAAACCCTGAATTATTTGTGGCTTTACATGACAAAGTTTTATTCATTGCCCATGTCATAGTCTAACATGGACTAGGTGGCTGTCCTTTAGGAGGTGACTCAGGGATCTGACATTCTTCCATCTTGTAGTTATGCCAGTTGAGATGCGTGGTTTCAAAGGAAAGAGAAGAAAGGGCTGGAAGATACTGGCATGATGCTTTTAAGGGCCAGGACTAGAAGGGGCTCATGTCTCTTCCATCTACCTTTCATTGGTCAAAACTTAGTTGCATGGCCTCTGACCTAATTGCAAGAGAGGCTGAAAAATTTAGCTTTCCTCTGTCCTCAGGAAAATAAAAGTGATATTTCTCTGCCACACGTAACAGGTGAAAGACTTGTCCTAAGAAAATTGATTGTTAAAATAATTCTTTTTTCATCTTTGATGGTTACCTATTTTTTTAAAAAAATTTAGATTCAAGGGGTACATGTGTAGGTTTGTTACATGAATATTTTGTGTGATGCTGGGCTTGAGCTTTTATCAAACCCATCACCCAAATAGTGAACATAGTACCTGATAAGTAGTTTTTCAGTCCTTGTCCCCCTTCCCCCGTCCTCTCTTTTGGAATACCTGGTGTCTATTGTTTCCATCTTTATGTCCATGTGTACCCAATTTTAAGCTCCCACTTATAAGTGAGAAAACGCAGTATTTGGCTTTCTGTTTCTGGTTTAATTTGTTTAGGATAATGGCCCCCAGCTGTATCCATGTTGTTGCAAAGGACATAATTTCATTCTTTTTATGGCTGTGTAGTATTTCATGGTGTGTATATACCACATTTTCTTGATCCCATCCATAACCGATGGGCATTTAGGTTGATTCCAAGCCTTTGCTATTGTGAATAGTGCTGTAATTAACGTGTGAGTTTAGGTGTCTTTTTGATAGAATGCTTTATCTTCCTTTGGGTATATACCTAGTAGTGGGATTTCTAGGTTGAATGGTAATTCTATTTTTAGTTCTTTGAGAAATCCTCCAAATTTTTATATCATAGCATGTCCAGGACCTTGTTTGTAAATTTCTCAGCCTTTGGAAAAGATCAAGCATGTTCTAGTCTGTCATAAATGGTGAAGCTTAAGGGGGCTGAGCCTTAAGCCTCTTTCTGCCCCTGCTCGGGACAAGCAGTGGTAGAGGAAGAAGTAGAAGTTATTGGCCTTGAGGATGGGGAACATGTGATGAGTAGTTGTTTGGCTGCAGGGACCTCCAGGAAGAGCAGTAATGTAAATCTGCTTTGGGCTTTAGTAGATGAAGCAAGAAGTCCATATGATCCTCAGAGATTAGGGAAAAAAATAATCTCTGTGATCTGGGGTTATGATGGCAGGTAAAGGAAGGAAAGCTGTTGGCTCCCTTGTTGAGAATGAACCTGTAGTGACCAGGTACCATCAGTCATGACTAGGAATAAAATATCAGAAAATAGTGATTAGAAAACCCAGGAAGATCCTTCAACTTGGAAAAAAAATAGTTTTGTTTTGTACCTTTTGAAAAAGTATGTTGGCCCAACTATCTTTTATAACTTTTTTTTTTTTTACTACCAATAACATGTACATTTGAGCTATTACTAGTGTAGTACCTAGATTTTCTGTTTGGCCTTTTATCAATGATACATTTTTGTATAAAGTGCATGGAAAATTTGGGCCCTAAACTCATAAGCCTTGCTCACTTCTAACTATGTGTTTATGCTGATTCTCTTTCTTAAACTCCTTATCTATTTAACTACTTTCTTTCTTAAGCCTCTAACTCAAGTACTACCTCTTCCATGAAGCCTTCCTTGGTGATTTTTTCTATAGAGTCTATAGCTAATAAACTGTAACAGCACATATTGTCCACAGGACATTACTGGATGTTTAATCATATATCACCTTGAAACATTTATTGGTTCGTTTCATGTTTATTATTTATTGAGCTTCCATTATGATCATGTCTGGACTCTGTACCCTGAGGCCCAGTGCAAAGCACATAATAGATGGTCCATAAATGCATATCATGTTGAATGTATGCCATGGCCCAGACAAGTTAGGGGTAGAGGCTGTGTAAGAAATGAAAGCATGCCCCAAACAGTTGGGTTTATAAGAATTCAGATTTGGGGATATAGTATTGGGGTCATCTCTGTTGGCTCTTTTCTGCATCATTGAGAGGAGAGATGTCATTCATAGATGCACCATCCTTCTTTTTTTCTGGTAAGTGAAGTGGCAGAGAATTAAGCTGGAATCTAAACAACTCCAGAAACATCCATTTGCCTCTCTCTTATTGGGAGAATGAATCACGCTTGCCTACTTTGTGAGTTTAAGAAAAAAATGTTCTCTATAGACAATTTTTTCTGTGGTGGTTTTATTATTATTCTTGGGATGGCAGGAAATATAAATAGATCTTCACTCTCATAGGAAATAGAGTTTGTGAGGAAACCTAAAGACTGGAGAGAGAGAACTTGTAGGGCAGACTGTTAGTATACCAAACTAGCAGTCCAATGTCCATGGTACTCACTAGGTTTTAAATGCTGTAGCTGACCTGGTGTCAGCCCAGTGTAATCTCACGAACTCACATACTCTCCAGAGCAGCAACTTCCTTTAGACCCTGATCAACACCAGAGGGAACAACTTGACCAGTCATCTGCAAATTCAGATTTATTTACTGTCACTTTGAATAAAAACACAGTATCTTTTGTGTGCCAGGTTGATATGGCTAGGCTTTCTGCCCCCATCCAAATCTCATCTTGAGTTATAATCCCCATGATCCCCAAGTGTCAAGGGAGAGACCACGTGGAGGTAATTGGCTCATGGGGGTGGTTTCCCCATGCTGTTCTCTTGATAGTGAGTGAGTTCTCATGAGATCTGATGGTTTCATAAGTGTTTGGTAGTTCCTTCTGTGTTCATTCCCCTTGCTTCCACCTTTGAAGATGGTGCCTTGCTTCCCCTTCACCTTCTGCCATAATCGTAAGTTTCCTGAGGCCTCCCCAGCCATGTTGTACTGTGAGTTGATAAACCTCTTTCCTTTATAAGTTACCCAGTTTCAGGTAGTTATTTATAGCCGTGTGAAAATGAACTAATACATAGGTACTGGGGAGAGAAAGCTAATTTGAGCCCTAGTGAAAAGTTGTATCAGAGAAAATTAATAAAATCATAGTGTATAGAGTCAGAGCTAAGACTCAGAATACCAGGGCTTTAGATTTTACTTGCTGTGTATTTTGAGCTATCATTTTTTGAACACTTACTATGCATCAGACACTATGCTAAATTTTTGCATGTATTATCTCATTTAATCTGTACAATATTTCTGTTCCCTTCATTTATTCATTCAGCAAATATGCATTGAGCAGCTACTATGTGCCTGGCAACATTCTAGGCCTGGAGAATACAAAAATGTATATTATGGACAACATTCCACTTATCTGGATTTTATAACTTGGCAGCTGAGAAAGCTAATAAGCAAAATAAATATGTAAAATAGACAGCATGTTAGATGATTAGGTATAAGAGAAAACATATGGCAGAGAAGGAGGACAGGGTGGTTGGAAAGCCTCAGAGAGAAGGTGAACTTTGAGTAAAGACCTAGAGGAGGTAAAGGAATGGGCCGTCAGAGTATTTGAGGAAAGAGGACTACAGAGAAAGTTGAAAATGCAAAGCTCTGGAGAACAGCAAGGAGGCCATCATATGGCTATAGTGGAAAGAGTAGAAAGCACAGTTCAGGGAGGCAACATCATAAAGGCCTTGGATGCCACCGTAAAGAAGCTGGCTTTTACAGTGGGTGAGATGGGAAGATGTTGGAGGGTTTGAGCAGAAAGGAGACATGATCTGACTCACTCTGGCTAGTGACTTGACTATGGCAGGCTGTGCAGAGAGTCAGGAAATGAATGAAATTATCTGCATAAGAGATGATTGTGGCTTAGTCTGGGGTCCTAGCAGTGGATTGGTGAACAGAGGCTGGGTTTAGGGTATATTTTAAAGGTAGAATCAAAAGGATTTCCTGGCAGATTGGATATAGGGTATAAGACAAGGATGATAATAAGGCTGTAAGTCTAATCCATTGGAAGAATGGAGGTGCCAGTTAGCAAGATCAGTAATAGGATAGACGAGCAGATTTAAGGGAAATGATTAGGAGCTCCATTCTAGATATATTCACTTTTAGATACTGGTGAGTTATCCAGGTGTAGACATGGAGTGGGGAATGTGCAAATACGAAGTTCAGGAACAGGTTCTCATTAGAAATATAAATTTTAGCATCCCCAACATATGGATAGTTCCTTGTCAATCTAGAGGTCCTGATTTACGTAAATAATTGTTGATGTACTTTTTGGCTGTTGGTAAATACACACAAGCACATATATACACACATACTCTTTTTATACTTCTAAGGGAAACTGAGGCAGAGAGTTCTCCCAAGTTGCCCTAAGGCATGTGTTTAGTACATGGGAGATCAAGAATGCAAGCAAAGATTAGCTTCTATGTCATCTCTCACCCTCTTGAATCTACCACTTTGCTTTCTTCTCTGCCAATCAAAGAGCTTGAAGCCATACATTAAGGAAGACAGTTTGCTTTCATGAGATCCTGAAAGTAGCAGTTTCCTTGTCAATCTAGCACTCCTGATTTACATAACTAATTGTTGGTGTATTTTATTGGCTGCTGATAAATATACACAAGCACGTGTACACACACATTTACTGGATTTTCTAAATCCTGCTTTTTCTCTTACAGCTTAGGTGAATCTGTCCAGGGTATTGACATGGATAGTGTTTAAAGCCATGAGCCTGGCTCACCAAGGGAGATAAGAAAACTAAGATTTAAAGCAGTTGAATACCTCATCCAAGATTATATCGTAAGTCAGTAATAGAGTAGGGTCTCAAATGCCGATCCATCTGACCACAAACCTGTGCTCTCCACCGGTATAGTATCCTGGGTATCCTGCCTTCTTTGAGGCTGATAGTGAATAAGTTTCCTGGATGTGACTGATTGGAGGGTGGGGGCTGATGACAGAAGAGAATGATCCACTGTAGTCTGGAGGAATCCAGCATTGATAAGCCAAAAATATTTCTTCTTATTCTACAACTCTCTGGAGAGCATTGGCAATATGTCTTGCATTTTTAAAGTACTTATGGTAGATTGCATTAACAACTCTAACTCTTAACGCCTTCCTACATCCATGTCCTTTACCATAGAACATTTCAGTTTCATTCACTGCAGATTCCCCAGTGTGACTTATTTTGGCCAGTGGGATGCTAGCATGGCATGATGTGAGCAAAGGACTGAGAAGCTCTTGAGTGACTGAGTTTGCTCTCTTATACTTTTCATTTATCAGTGGACAAAGATCTCTGGGCTAGCCTACTGATTCCAGAAGGAGGATGAGTGACATGTGGACTAGAGCTGATTTGTCCTATTGAGCCCTACCTAGGTCAGTTGATCCCATTCTGACCATCAGACATGTGAATGAATCCAGCTGAGATCATGTGAGCTGCCTGCCAAATCCAGTCAGGCTCAGCCTGGATCAACCCAACCCATAGATCAGTGAATATAGGCTATTGTCTTAAGCTGCAGAGTTTTGAAGGTGGTTTGTTATGCAGCCATATTTTTTTCAGCAATAGCTAACTGACACAGCATGTTGCAAAGCACTTCCATGAACATTGCATCCTGTGAACCTCATAGTAGTTTTATGAGATAGAAGATTTTACTCTCTTTATACTTCTAAGGGAAACTGAGGCTCAGAGATTTCTTCTGAATTGTCCTAAGGCATCTATTTAGTACATGAGAGATCAAGAATGCAAGCAAAGATTAGCTTCTATGTCGTCTCTCACCCTCTTGAACCTACCACTTTGCTTTCTTCTCTGCCAATCAAAGAGCTTGAAGCCAGATACTTAGGAAGAGAGTTTGCTTTCATGAGATCCTGAAAGCAGCAGTTTCCTTGTCAGTCTAGAGCTCCTGATTTACATAACTAATTGTTGATGTATTTTTATTGGCTGTTAGTAAATACACACAAGCACATGTATACATACTTACTTGGTCTTCTAAATCCTGCTTTTCTCTTGCAGCTTGGGTGAATCTGTTCAGGGAAATGACAGGGTTTAGGAGGCATCTTCACTCTAACCTTAAGGAGGAACCACCCAATGCTTGAAAGTCTGTGATTGAAAACTTTCCCTCAGCTTCCCATAGCCTTTGTTTCTACCCATCCCACATACTTTGTATCAAAGACCAAAGACATTTCTGTTTCCCAAAGTAGCTCTCTTTAGAGCATGCTGAATTTCAAGAAGAAACTTATGTGAAAGGGTTGTGTCCACTTTATGATCAACTGCTTGTGAGAATTAAAGCCATCTTTGAATTTCCTGCCAAGAAAGAAGTGGCTAAATTGTTGCTTAGGGCAGCCTTTATTTTTATTTGTGTTCACAGAATGCTCCAAATCATAATAAAATCCATCCATTACTTCAGACAGATGAAAACAGTTCCTTCTAAAAAGAGGCTAATGTTTTTAAAAGACAGTAAGAGAAGAATGTCAGCTCCCCATGGCTGCAGTAGAAAGTGCTGGATGAGAGGAGCATCTCCAGAGCATGGAAGACAAAGCAGCTTTATCCTCAACTTTTCCACCTCAATTTCCATTTTCCTCCAAGGCAAAACTCCCACTCCTGGCAGGTGAGCCTCCTCGCTGCACCTTCTCCATCACACCTGGTGTTGTCTTACTTTTGTGGTTTTGTTTATACCATTCTCCTGCCCCAGTGTCATTTCCCAGCCACCCCAATTAATGAGAACCTACCGTGTGCCAGCTGCTGTTCTAGGTACTGTGCAAAAATAAAATAAAGGGACAAGAATCCCTCCTTGTATGCAGCTTGTGTTAACTGAAGAAAGAATGACTATAAACAAGTAACATATCTTTGGCATCAGTTGGTGTTAAGAGTTATAAAGATGACACAGAGGGGATATTAGAGAATCTTGGTTGGGGGAGGTAGATTTGCAATTTTAAATAGGGTGGTCAGAGCCTCACTGAGAAGATGCCATTTGAATAAGTATCCTGAGGGGGTGAGGGTGAGTGATGCAGATATCTGAGGGGACTCCAAGAGTGTGCCTGGTATGTTTGGAGGCTATTAAGAGGCAGAATAAGGTTTAAACAGAGTGGATAGGGGTTAGAGGGAAGTAGTAGTAGATCAGGTGAGAGAATTAATGGAGGGCCAGGTCATCTGAGCCTTGTAGAGTACTGTATGGAATGAAATGAGAAGCCAGAGGAGTGGCATGACTTAAGTTGTAATTGGACCATCCTAGCTATCAGGACAAGCTCAAAAGCTGAGAGACTAATTAAGAGACAATTACAATTATCCAGGTGGGAGATGATGGAGACTTGGACAAGAATGGTCATAATGGAGGTAAGGAGAAATAACAGATTCCATATATATTTTGAAGGTAGAGTCCATAGAATTTTGATGAAGTATGAAATAATAAAGAGTTAGGAATGACCCCAGGGTTTATAGACCCACAGTGTGACATCTGTCCACCCTTATGGATCAGCTTTGGCATCTCTTACTCTACAAAGACTTTCTTGAACCCTCCAGGAATCTCTCTGTCTCTCTTCTAGGCAAACATCATTTATGGGCCACTTAGCAAATACTGCCCTGAACCAAGTTTTCTTTTTTAATGCTTCTGTGTCTAGCCTTCCTAAGAAGTCTGAAAATGGTTAATGAGCCAAAACTGTGTCCAGTACTTCTCAGTATCTCCCAAAGTTCAAGAAACTGTGTGTAGCATAAAAGGAATATAACTTATATTCTAATTATTAGTTGTTACAGGATTGTGTGGGCTAGTATTATTACCCAGGAGGCTTGTCATTGTCATAGGGTTGGGAGTATGCACGTGTGAAGAATCCTGAATCTGGATACAAAGGTAGTGGACCTAGGGTCGTGCAAGTACGGCGGCCAGACTAGTCTCTCGGGTGAGAGTCACAGAAAGCCTGCTACTTCCTACCAGAATTCACTCTGGTGTGTTTGTACAGTGTTACATAGGGAATGTTCTAACAGTGGTAGATGAAGAGAAAAATATAAAAATAAAACAACAACAACAAAAAGGCCCCAAGCAAGGGCTACAGTGATTTTTAAGCTTCTATTAGTTTTAATGCTTTAAGGGTTGTTAAAAGGTCCTATTTACCTTAAAAGAGTCCCTGAAAACTTTGGGGACCAACCTTTTTTTAGTTTTGTTTTTGAGAAAGTTACTATTTATTATCCTGGAATCTTGTGTGTGTGTGTGTATGTGTGTTTGTGTGTCTACTTAGACTTCAAGACTGATGGGTCACTTTTGATCTACCACCAGGTCCAAATAGCCAGGTAAGGAGGCAGATGGACAAAGCTCTAGGAGTTGAGGGACATATGACTACTCAGTATTTGTTGATTAGTTGGTAAATGATCCTCAGGACTGGGGAGTCAGGTCCTAGTCTCAGAGTCAATGGATAGTCTTACAAAAAGTGGAACCTCTTTATGGGCTATTCAGCTTGTAGACCAGTATTTTTTCAAACTCTATTGAGATTTCTTAATAGGTTATGAGATCAATTCAGTGGGTTGCAATCAGCATTAACAAATGGAATAAAATAGAATACAAAACATCAAAATGCCTTCATGAAGTAATCATGGTCCTATTTTGTGAAACTTTTTGTTTTACTTTTTTGTATTTATGGTGTGTTTGTGTGTGTCCTAGATGACTATGGGAAATATATTTCAAAGTATATAAAATATATTTCAGAAAAGAAAAACACTATTCAAGACAATTCGGAGGCAAATGTAAGATTTAATTTAGAGGGAGGCCCTTCATTGCTGGAGCCTTTGTATCCCTAGTGTGCCAAACACACTGAGTCCTGAGGGTCCTGGGAGGTAGCCAGGCTCCATGGGCCATACTCACCCATGAATCTGTTAAAGGGAATGGCTGTTGTCTAACTTTCACTTTCAGAAAATACACACACATGTGCCAGCACATATACACATCCTCATCTGGAACATATTTCCTTCCCCTCACCCCATTCCTCCTAGAGACATCCCTAAGCCCCAGTAGGTTTTCAGAACTTAGCGTTTGTCCAATAATAAAATTCAAGAAAAGGGAGCTGTCACTTTCTTGCCTGAAGCTGCCTATAAGCCTGCATTAAAAAGGTCTTCTCCTTCCTCCCTACCATATACGACTGTGTGCTGGAGCTCTGCATGAGCCTTTATTAAGCATGCACTTTTAAGCAAGGAGCATTGACTTCCCCTTAATTGAGGCATAATAATTAGAGCATTAGCACATTAGGAGGGTGAGACAGCATGTTTAGCTTTTGTGATTAATTATCTGAGAATTGTAATAAGTTGTTAAGACATTAATTACCCTAGCATGTTTACTGCTCTAGGTTGCACAGGCAATGCTTTGCCATGTCAAGTTGTGGCATGTCTAAAGATGCAGCTGTGGTGGGAGGCATAGGTGGGTCGGGTGCCATAGGTGTTCCTGTGGAGCACCACAGCCCCATCCAAGACAGCCTGAGTCAAGAGCTGCCCCTTTTCTTCCTGGTCATCTGTGGACTCAGCATGTAGAATAATTATTTTTTCTTTTATTGTAGATTAAATGAAATGAAGACACTGAGCTCTGCAAGTACACTGCTTTTTGAATCCCAGAGGTCAGTAAAAATGTAAAACTTGGCAGGTCTTGGGCAAATATAGGCTTTGGGATCTTCTGCGCAGGCTACCTGATATGGTTTGGATCTGTATCCCCACCCAAATCTCATGTTGAATTATAATTCCCAGTGTTAGATGTGGGGCCTGTAGGGAGGTTATTGAAGTATGGGGGTGGTTTCTTATGGTTTAACACCATCTACCTTGCTGTTGTCATGGCAAGTGTGAGTTATCATGAGATCTGGTTGTTTAAAAGTATAGCACTTCTCCCTACCTCCTCCTGCTTTGGCCATGTAAGATGTGTTCGCCTCCCCTTCACTTTTGGCCTTGTTTGTAAATTTCCTGAGGCTTCCTCAGAAGCTGAGCAGACGCCAGCATCATGCTTCCTGTACAGCCTGTAGAACTGTGAGCCAATTAAACTTCTTTTCTTTGTAAATTGCCCAGTCTGAGATATTTGTTTAGCAGTACTAGAATGGACTAATACGCTACCCTACAAGGGTGAGTCTCTCTGTTGTGTGGGCAGCAGACCTGCATGAAGGAAGAGGAGACAACAGCTGGCAGAGCCTGGGCACATGAACTGGGTAGGAGCAGGGACAGAGGGCGAAGGCTCTGGACAGAAGCCTAAGGGAGTCGGCACTTCCACACTGTTTCCCATGTTGTGGGTTGTGGCCACCCATGATGAAAAGGCATAAACTTAAACCATGTGTGCAGAAAATAATGGCAGCAAACAACTGACTATAATTTTAAAAGATAAATATAATTTAAAAGGATAAATAATAAAATCCAGAATAATGATGCTGTTGTTACTAATTGTAATTAAGTGAGAAAGCAGCTTAGGGAACCTAACTGAAGGGGTTATTTATTAATAATTGTTTTAGGCACTTTGTATAGACTTCCTTGGCAAGCAGTTACCTGTTCCTGCAGAGAGAGGAGGTCACTGTGAGAAGCCCAAGAAATGCATGGAATATGCATTTTGCCCTAAAGCTGAATAGTCATGTGTTAAAAAAAAAAATTTGGCTTAAGCCAAATATTACCATTAGAGAATAAACTTCTGGGTTACAAGAATAAAAAACAGATTTTATTTAAAAAATTTCGTTATTCCAAAAATTTTATTCATAAAAATTTTAGGAGTCAAATTTTAAAAAGTTTGACGATATGGTGCAGAAGCAACAAACTCTCTACTCTGCTATCCACTGGCTAGACTATGAGATGATTGTGTTGTACAACTACCATCCTAAAGCCATGCTCATACTCTGCTGAGTTGGGTCGCAGAGTAGGAATCATGACCTAAAAGAAAGTAACTAAACACAAATACATTTCTTCAAGATTATTTTGTTTAATGTTATAAATGCTAAATTTTCAAAAAAATTAGCAAAGATTAGAAATATGATTTTATCCAGTCTCTATTACTCTGCTTGAATTGTTATTTACATTGTAATAAACATTTGTGGTTGCAAAAAGGATACAATGCCCTTCCTAAAGTTGTCTAGATAATACACTCCTATCAACTCCCCATTAATTTTCTTGTATTTTGCAATTTTAAAGTTCTAAATAATTGGTTTTGTTAATAAATTTAACAACTTTCACAATCACTATTAATTTGTGTAGCATGTTACTCTTGTGATAATAAATGTATATTTTAAATGTAACTGACATAATTGTAACACATAAAGCACATAAAATTTCACTCCAAGGTCCATATGGAATGCCTTTCTATATTTGAAGGTAAATAGTCAGATGTTAACAGTAAATTCAAAGGACATGGCTTGTTTATTTTGCTGACAGGGTTACCCTGACTAGAAAAGCTAGTGACCTAGACGATTGCACAATTACTGATCACACCCACATCCAGGGGTCCCAGAAATGATGTTTACATTGGCCTTCAGTTTCTTTTAGCCTTGCAGTGGCTACAGTTCAAACAGAATAGCAGATTTTGGCCAAGCACCAAGGTTGAAGGCTGACTGGTGCTTCCTAATCCCATTTATAAAAATTCAACACAGCTTCTGCATAGGGTAAGTTACCATCATCAAGAGTCAAGAGTTCGGGGCCGGTGTCCTCTGGGCGGGGTTGAGAAGGTATTGTTTAAATAAAGGGAACTCATATCCGAAACCACACAGAGAGTTAGGTAGAACCTGGACCCAGCTTCTCACTCTGATCACCTTGACATATTGATAAAAGGAAAGCCTCTCCCCTCATCCTACTCTGGACTGATGAAGGGAGTAGAGGAAGGGGGTCTGTCAGCCTAACCTGGAGCTGGTGGAAGTCATGAGCCTTCAGAGCCCCAAGATAGCCTATAGCTGGAGACATGTGGAGGAGAGGCAGAGTCTTCTTTCCTTCCATTCCATACCTCCTCACTCCAGAAAGCTTCTTCCCTAGCTCCCTGAGAATGTTCACTTCCAAATATGGAGTGGTTCTTTCTGAGCCTGTTTACCTTGGGAGTTGTTAGGGTCTGTGTTGCCAGGCTGGCTCAAGGTGAGGTTTTCTAAACTGCAGAGCACCCTGCTGACCTCCAGGCAAAGACCGAATGGGCTTCAGATCCTCTGGAGCATACATTCCTTCTCAGCTCAGAGCTTTCCCCCTCACTTTCCTATTCTTTCTGGCTGCCTCATTCTGCTCAGAACATTAAATGTGGTAGAGTTTGGTTAAATCCCACTAGACCATCACTAGAGCTCGGAAGGTGGAAGTTGTTATTAAATACATTTCGAGGCTTCTACACATATTTGAGTATAGTAAACATTAAAAATTAATGCCTCTAATAATAAAACCCAGAATAATGATGCTGTTTTTACTAATTGTAATTTATTGCAAACTAGTGGCATGTTAAGTGCTCTGAAGAACATAAAGGTTAAAAGCAGCCTCTTTTGAATAGTTGAGTGGGATGAATAATTTCCCTCCTCCTGATATTACCTGCACATTGATGCTTATAGAGCTATCAGCAGGACCACCTTCTTACTGATTGTAGGCCAAGTCTGCCCCTTTGACAGTGGCGGAGGAAGAAGAGAGTCTTTGAACCATTTAAAGGCGATGATGATAATCATTCCCTTTTGTGATCTATGAGATTCTGATTCACATGGCTGGTATCAAATGGCGTTAGATACTATTAGTTACCTTTTCATGTATCCATCAGTCTCTCTACTGGCGTAATATGCCCCTTGAGATTTAAACCATTTTATGTCTCCTAGTGACTTAATCTCCAGTGTCTTAATTTGCTTTATTGTAAGAGTTCTTAAAATGGAATGTGTGTGTGCGTGTGTGTGTGTGTGCGCGTGCCTGTTTTTTGGTCCCTATTAAACTGTGCATTCTTTGAGGTTCAAGTCAATGTCTTATTTATCTTTATATCCACTTTTCTTAGCAGTGTCCTATCCTCCCTACCTACAAATATTACTTAATGGATTAAATATTAGGCTATGTTAACTTTTCTCATAGTTCTGATATCCTTACACATTAATTTGATGTGTGATTCTCCATTTAATCACTTATTCAATCATCCATTCATTTATGAAATATTGATTTCTTTCTTTATGTTAAACACTGTGCTAAATGCCAAGGATACAGGCAAATCAGACAAGTCTGTGACCTCTTCAAATTTATTTTCTAGTTAGATAGACAACAATCAAGTAGGCATATGAACAGGCAGGCTAACTTCAGACCACTGTTAAGTGTGGGTAAGTAAATTAGGACTAAAGGGTGAGTTAGGGGAAGAAGACCACTTCAAGGAGAATACTAAGAGAAAATCTCTGATAGGGAGATGGCCTGGGCATGCCCTGTAGATGTTCTTGGAGGATGCTAGGAGGAGGCCGAAATCATTTAGCCTGCTAAATTTGCTCTAATTTATTTATTCATTCATTTCCTAATTCATTTGCCATTTGTTGAGCTCATGAGTGTGGGGCTCTGAATTTGGATCCAAGGATCCAGAGGTGAATATGACATAATACTTGCCTTTGAGGAATGCACAATCTGGTGATGGCGAGTGATACGAAGACATATATAGTAGATTCCATTGAGCACCAGAGTGAAGGGAGCAGGATTATGACTCACTTTATATTTGTTCAGCTCCTGGCCCAGGGCCCTCAGTGACCATTTGTGGAACCACATTGAATGGAATGGGTGGACTAGAAGCTGCAGATAAGAAAGAGGATGCAGGCTGAGAGGTAGAGGGGTAGAAGTCACTGCAAACTTGGGCAGCTTAATGCTTTAAATAGGGCTCCAGTCAGGAGCTGTATGGCAGTCTTGTTCTTCGTTTGAATTTACTCCCTGCAAATTTAATTGCTGAAGTCCTTCAGAAAGCAGCAGGGAAGTATTACTTTCCCAGAAGACATTCTGATTTAGTGAGGTTTGTGGTACCACATATTTCTCAGAGGAGAAATGAGATTTTACACCCTTCATATTTCTCACAGAGCAAATTAGAGTGCTTAAGTCATATACATACATTATATGTGTGCGTATACATATGTGTCTATGTGTGTGTGTGTGTGTATATGCGTGTATATATGTATATATATGTGTGTGTGTATATATATGATTACACATATTTGGTTGTTTGATTGATTTGAGGTCTAGAACCAACAAAGGAAATAGATTTTGGGTTTCTAAAAGGGTCTATTCTTTGTCTCCTAAAAGAAGGTGTGCCACAAGAATGTCAAAAGACAGTTTAAAAGGAGAAATGCAGGGTTATGTGTTCCTCCTGGTTATTGCACATAAATCGTTTCCTTGCTTGAAAGATCATGTTCCGTGGGGACCAGCAAGTAACTGGCTTAATATTGTTGGTCCCTGTGCCATAGAGTGAATTGAGTTCTTCCCCCTAGTGGTGGGGTGATTGTGTCTAGAATACCAAGCACAGGAGGTGGGCATTAATTAGGGCTTACCGCCTATAATTGGAGCTGCCATTATTTCTCCTTCCATTCTCCAAGCTTGAGACTGTCAGAAGGCTCGTTTTCACTGAAGCATCATAATTAACGCTGAATCTAATGTGAAAGGCAGATGAGGTTGAAGCCCAAAATAACTCAGAGCTACCCAAGGGTGTATGTGTGCAGAGCTGTGGGGAGCAGGAGTGGGGAAAGAAGAGGCTGGCATTTAAGTTGACCTCCAAATGTTTTCCTTTTGGAGAGGGAGTTTGGGGATCAACACTGCTGTCGCCCCTTCAGGTTCCTGGAATGAGTACTCTAAAATACTGAAATATGCAGAGTGACTGGTATTTCAGAATCCTGGGCCCTGGAAGCCACGGGAACCATACACGACAAGTCTCAGAAGCTCTGCTTTCATTTTTTCTTGTATGTAAGGGCAGATTTCCTCCCTCATGAAGCTGACATCTTTTTTGGATGGAAGCACAGAGACCAGGGAAGGCTGGTAAATGTAATAATGTCTGCAAAGCCGTCGGAGTGCCTTGGAAGAAAATTCAAGGTATTTCTCTTATTACAGCTGGTCTTCCAATTCCCCTGAACTCTGAGAATCCATTTAAGTGATTACTTCATGAGGAGGCTAACAGAAAAGCAAGACTAATATATTTCTTCACTTGGCAGCTCCCACACAGCAAAGGACCCTAGGTGCACTTACAATCACTATCATATTCTCACTCTTTCCCCCTCGGTTCTGCTTAGAACATAATGAACTAAATACCTGCGATTTATCTCTTAGGAAGACCGAATTTTGTAAACCTTCCTGCAGGTGGCTTGCAGCACCCCTTGTACATATGCATAAATGTTTACTTTATGGTGTGACATTGGAGAACTGTGAGAAAGGTAAGATAGGGGGAGTATGTTTGCCACATCCTGACCCCAGGCTCCCACTTAAGAGAGAGGGACCATAGGAAAAGAGAAAACTGGAACTGTCGAATGGTCTGGGTTCTCTAAGTCAGACTTCCTTGAGGATGCTTATTTGGAGTATTAAGACATGAAGTCTTTGGCTTAATTTCCATCCTGAGCCATTTATTGAGAGGGGATCCCTAAATGTATGCAATTTTTCTCTTCCCATCAAAGATAAGTGTCACATAATGCTAGAATGTAAAAAGAAAAAAGATAATGATTGCTAAGTTGCTTGGAGGATGATGGACATGTTGGGGATATTGTCTTATTAAATTTGCTCCTACAGGTTGCTCCCTTGACTTGGGAACATTAAACCATGCAGCCTCCTCTGGTGAAGATGGGAAATGGCACCCAGCGTATTCACAGCTGACTGCAGATTCACAAATGCTGGAGGCACCCACATGCAGAAAACAGCTGCTTTGTTTCTGTAGACTGTTTTCATGCCCTAGTGGGTTTTCTTTTTTCTGGATCCTCTTTCATTTGAGCAGTAACCTATTGTGTCATTAAGTTGCTTCAGCATAGATTTCTCTGGATATTTTGGATTTTTATTCTGATGCTTGACCATGTTGGCAATCAAGTGCTATTAAAATGGGCTTGAATTATTATAGAGCCATTGTTTTCCAGTTTTCACACTCCCATTGAAATTTAGTAATTTACCTGGCTGAAATACTTGAAAGTGCAAGTAGCATCAGCCAAAGCCAGTCAACGTAAACATGTTAGAGGTGCTTGAGGGAGAGTCACTGGGTAGCTGTGAACATGAGTGTGGGCACCTTTGGGGCTCAGGGGCTATATGCAGCCAGGGTTGGTTGAAGAATGGTGCTTAGCTGATACACACTGGCTAGTGTGGATCCACTGAACCTGTTCTGATGGGTGTGGACCTGATGTGGTTTCATTGCTTGAGTAGCACGTCTGCATGCACCTGGTATTTTGTTTTTGGTGGTGGCAGCAAGATGTTTTTAGGGAAAGATGGTATTACTCTGCATATACCATATACTGAATCCTAAAAGATTGGAGATAAGGTACCAGATCTCTATACTTTCTTCATAATAAATCTTTAGTGAGACATACTCTTTACTATGTTTTTTGCCAGATTTTCTAAAACGTTGAAAGTGGAGAAACATGGGAAAATGGACTGCTTTCAGGAAACCTCAAGTTTTATATATAGAGAACAGGACAGACCTGTGGGAAGAGATTAACAGATAGGGCTGTAAACAGGCCAGTTGTGACGGACTTTGAACACCATGTCGAAGTTGTATGGGAAAGAACACCAAGGTCTTAGGTTAAAGTCTCAGCTCCATTGTTTAACCACCTATGAGGCTCTGGAAAAGAACATCAGCTCTCTATTTTCAGTTTGTTAATCTGTCAGATGGGGAAAAATATCACTAAAAAGACATAGATACTTTCCATATTTTTGCTCTGTTAGCCTCAGACTGTTAGGTTAGATCCTTTCATGGTTGTAGGAAGGCTGTTGCAGCCCCTTGCATTACATAATTACACGTTATGAAGGGCTGTGTTGGTCTGAAGGCCACCACAGGAGTACTGTATTTCACAGAGTCTAAGATGTCATTGACTATAAAATGCACCATTGTTTTGTATACCACTGTGAAAGAAATAGCACAACCAATTAGATTAAGACACACTATTGGTTGTAAAATGCATTCTTAGTTACCTGATTAGTGAAATACAATATGCAATATATTTCACTAGTGTTTTTAAGAATGTCTCTGTATCCTTGTTAACTTTCTGTCTCGTTGATCTGTCTAATGTTGACAGTGGGGTGTTAAAGTCTCCCATTATTATTGTGTGGGAGTCTAAGTCTCTTTGTAGGTCACTCAGGACTTGCTTTATGAATCTGGGTGCTCCTGTATTGGGTGCATATATATTTAGGATAGTTAGCTCTTCTTGTTGAAATGATCCCTTTACCATTATGTAATGGCCTTCTTTGTCTCTTTTGATCTTTGTTTGCTTAAAGTCTGTTTTATCAGAGACTAGGATTGCAACCCCTGCCTTTTTTTTGTTTTCCATTTGCTTGGTAGATCTTCCTCCATCCTTTTATTTTGAGCCTATGTGTGTCTCTGCATGTGAGATGGGTTTCCTGAATACAGCACACTGATGGGTCTTGACTCTTTATCCAATTTGCCAGTCTGTGTCTTTTAATTGGAGCATTTAGTCCATTTACCTTTAAAGTTAATATTGTTATGTGTGAAGTTGATCCTGTCATTATGATGTTAGCTGGTTATTTTGCTCGTTAGTTGATGCAGTTTCTTCCTAGCCTCGATGGTCTTTACAATTTGGCATGATTTTGCAGTGGCTGGTACCGGTTGTTCCTTTCCATGTTTAGTGCTTCCTTCAGGAGCTCTTTTAGGGCAGGCCTGGTGGTGACAAAAACTCTCAGCATTTGCTTGTCTGTAAAGGATTTTATTTCTCCTTCACTTATGAAGCTTAGTTTGGCTGGATATGAAATTCTGGGTTGAAAATTCTTTTCTTTAAGAATGTTGAATATTGGCCCCCACTGCTTCTGGCTTGTAGAGTTTCTGCCGAGAGATCCGCTGTTAGTCTGATGGGCTTCCCTTTGTGGGTAACCCGACCTTTCTCTCTGGCTGCCCTTAACATTTTTTCCTTCATTTCAACTTTGGTGAATCTGACAATTATGTGTCTTGGAGTTGCTCTTCTCAAGGAGTATCTTTGTGGCATTCTCTGTATTTCCTGAATCTGAACGTTGGCCTGCCTTGCTAGATTGGGGAAGTTCTCTTGGAT
This sequence comes from Homo sapiens, assembly GCF_000001405.40. Lineage (NCBI taxonomy): Eukaryota > Metazoa > Chordata > Mammalia > Primates > Hominidae > Homo > Homo sapiens. The sequence continues at coordinate 177,565,174 of NC_000001.11, read as the reverse complement.
AATATCCTGCCGAGTGTTTTCCAACTTGGTTCCATTCTCCCCATCACTTTCAGGTACACCAATCAGATGTAGATTTGGTCTTTTCACATAGTCCCATATTTCTTGGAGGCTTTGTTCGTTTCTTTTTATTCTTTTTTCTCTAAACTTCCCTTCTTGCTTCATTTCATTCATTTCATCTTCCATCGCTGATACCCTTTCTTCCAGTTGATCGCATTGGCTCCTGAGGCTTCTGCATTCTTCACGTAGTTCTCGAGCCTTGGCTTTCAGCTCCATCAGTTCCTTTAAGCACTTCTCTGTATTGGTTATTCTAGTTATACATTCGTCTAAATTTTTTTCAAAGTTTTCAACTTCTTTGCCTTTGGTTTGAATTTCCTCCTATAGCTCAGAGTAGTTTGATCGTCTGAAGCCTTCTTCTCTCAACTCGTCAAAGTCATTCTCCGTCCAGCTTTGTTCCGTTGCCGATGAGGAGCTGCGTTCCTTTGGAGGAGGAGAGGCGCTCTGCTTTTTAGAGTTTCCAGTTTTTCTGCTCTGTTTTTTCCCCATCTTTGTGGTTTTATCTACTTTTGGTCTTTGATGATGGTGATGTACAGATGGGTTTTTGGTGTGGATGTCCTTTCTGTTTATTAGTTTTCCTTCTAACAGTCAGGACCCTCAGCTGCAGGTCTGTTGGAGTTTGCTAGAGGTCCACTCCAGACCCTGTTTGCCTGGGTACCAGCAGCGGTGGCTGCAGAACAGCAGATTTTCATGAACTGCAAATGCTGCTGTCTGCTCGTTCCTCTGGAAGTTTTGTCTCAGAGGAGTACCCGGCCGTGTGAGGTGTCAGTCTGCCCCTACTGGGGGGTGCCTCCCAGTTAGGCTGCTCGGGGGTCAGGGGTCAGGGACCCACTTGAGGAGGCAGTCTGCCCGTTCTCAGATCTCCAGCTGTGTGCTGGGAGAACCACTGCTCTCTTCAAAGCTGTCAGACAGGGACACTTAAGTCTGCAGAGGTTACTGCTGTCTTTTTGTTTGTCTGTGCCCTGCCCCAAAAGTGGGCGAAGGACATGAACAGAGACTTCTCAAAAGAAGACATTTATGCAGCCAAAAAAGACATGAAAAAATGCTCACCATCACTGGCCATCAGAGAAATGCAAATCAAAACCACAATGAGATACCATCTCACACCTGTTAGAATGACAATCATTAAAAAGTCAGGAAACAACAGGTGCTGGAGAGGATGTGGAGAAATAGGAATACTTTTACACTGTTGGTGGGACTGTAAACTAGTTCAACCCTTGTGGAAGTCAGTGTGGCGATTCCTCAGGGATCTAGAACTAGAAATACCATTTGACCCAGCCATCCATTACTGGGTATATACCCAAAGGACTATAAATCATGCTGCTATAAAGACACATGCACATGTATGTTTATTGGGGCACTATTCACAATAGCAAAGACTTGGAACCAACCCAGATGTCCAACAATGATAGACTGGATTAAGAAAATGTGGCACATATACACCATGGAATACTATGCAGCCATAAGAAATGATGAGTTCATGTCCTTTGTAGGGACATGGATGAAACTGGAAATCATCATTCTCAGTAAACTATCACAGGAACAAAAAACCAAACACCGCATATTCTCACTCATAGGTGGGAATTGAACAATGAGAACACATGGACACAGGAAGGGGAACATCACACTCTGGGGACTGTTGTGGGTTGCGGGGATGGGGGAGGGATAGCTTTAGGAGATATACCTAATGCTAAATGATGAGTTAATGGGTGCAGCACACCAGCATGGCACATGTATACATATGTAACTAACCTGCACATTGTGCACATGTACCCTAAAACTTAAAGTATAATAATAATAATAATAAAAGAATGTCTCTGTAAGCTTTTACCATACCATTCCCCCTTGGCCAGCAGACTTCCCACATCCCAGCACTTAAGCTACCTCTGGAATTACCACTGTATCTGCCCTATCTCATGAATGTCTTCCTATTCTCTTGTCTCCTGGGCCTTTGGATGTTTGCACCATTGCAGCTGCTGCTGGAGCTACAGCACCCTGGGCCAGTTCTGTGCAAGTGAACACCACTTTGCTAAGTCTTTGGCTATTCCCATCACTTCTGCACTTAGAAGACGCACCATATTAGCAGTTACTTTTTTAATGGGGCAAACATTTACTAGTGGGAGACAGAGAGTGGTAAGAGACTTGTGGAAAAATTCCTTTTCTCTTTCCCCTGTGATAGGCTGTTCTGAAGCATGGATTTTTGATGTAGCTTGTCTAAAGACATCTCAAGTAGCTGAGTGAATTTGTTTCACTTTGCGAAATGGTGGCAACCTGGAAAAGCATCAATTTTTGTTTACTTCTCATTATTACCTGTCTCACTGCCTCCTTCCTTCACTCCCTAGGCCTTGCAATGCACCTCCCCAAAATAGCACTTAACCCTTGCCTCAGACTGTCTTCTATGGAAACAGGCTGCCACAGTCACCACATTACTTCAAGCCAATCAGTATTAATTCTGGTTACTTAGAGGAAAATGAGCTCTAGAAGAAAACCAGGGCTCCTGCCAGTACAAAAGAGAAATGATGTGGCTATTGAGTGGACAATCGACAGTGTTTGATTAGTACCTGTCCTGCTACACTGGGTTGTTTTAAGAGTTAAATGAGATAATGAGATGTGAATGTGCTCATTTAAATATTAAATAACATAAACATGTAGAGTTGTCATTAGACTTAGATCATTTACAAGTTCTAGAAACTTATCAGTTCACTCATTTAGCAAAAATTATTTAATGAGCACCTACTATATGCCAGTCGTGGTGCATACATGACTACATGAATACAATAGTTTTCCCCATATAGTAGCTTCTTGTCTGTGGGGCATATGAACAAGTAAATTACATGTACTACAATTTTTTAAAGGGAAATAGAGAGTGTGTTATAAGAATGAGGGAGGCAAATCTAACCCATATTTGGGAAGTCAGACAAAACTTCCTAGATAAAGTGATATATATGCTAAAACCTGGAGGATGACTAGGCATAGGTGATGGGTGGAGAGGTGTGCTAGGTAGAAAGAAAAGCATATACAGAGGTGAAGGGGCGAGTGAAGGCATGGCATTATTTATCATGGCTGGGATGGTAGAGGCCAATTTATAAAGTGTGAGTTGTAGGAAATTTGGATTTAATAATGAGGATGATGAAGAGCCATTGAAATGTTTAAGAAGGCTTGTTTCAATAATGATAGAATGAATGGACTATTTTGGGCAGGGAAGACAGAATGGGAAGCAAATAAGGAAATTGAGATACCACTATGTAATGTAGCATTTCTTTTTGTTTCATTTAATTTTGAATTTTTATTAGTATGAATTTTCTTCATAATTTAGGGTTTTATGAATATTACAGACCCTACATTTCCCAAATCGTAGAATGTGAAAGTCAAGGTTGACACTTTCAGGTAAATGATGGAAGGAATCTTTGTGGTCTTTACCCCACACAATCACCTGCTTAATGGTTCTCACTTCCCTTTTTATCTGTGCTGTTAGTTCTGATTAGATCAAGGGATACCAATAAATGCAAGGTCAATAATGTGACTCCCCAGGGGAGCTAATTACCCCTGCAGAGAAAACCACAGGCTTAATCTCAATACATGGCTGATCATCTGCAGCCATGAGCCATTGGACATGGGCATATCCACAGGTTCCTTCCTTCCTTCCTTCTTTCTTTCCTTCCTTCCTCCCTTCCTTCTTTCCTTCTTTCCTTCCTTCCTTCCTTCCTGTCTTAGCAAAGGCTGACAAAATAAAATACCACAAGCTTTCTTCAAGGATGGCCCCCACCTCTGAAACACTGGGCAGGATCATCCTGGCCTGGGAAAACCAAAGAGGTGGCCCCACCCTTTGAAACCAAGGAGGAAACAGTCTTGCTTCTGGGCCTGTGGTGAGAGTGGCATTCCTTATGATCTCTGAATCTTTGGGATCAATTTTTCCTTTTCCTTGAAGAATAGTGTGTGCTCACAGCCAAATAGCTCTGTGGTCTGGTCTTGTAGAATCTAGGAAATCTGACAGAATTCCTTCATTACATTCTGCTTTCTCTATTTCCTTTGGATTAAACTAGCCATGTCTTTGCTGGTATAATCCCATCTCTATTCCTGGCTTCGTTAAAATGGCCAGTTAAGTTCATGAGTTACACTCATGATCTCTTTATCAAATGGTTGTTCATCTATAACCTTAGTCTCCTCTTCAGAACAAGATTTCTCATTTTTTTGCAATATGGATAGGCATATTGCAAAATACATAGGGGTAGAATTTTTTAAATCTTCAAGCTCTGGTTCATTTTCCATAACTATTATTTTTTCCAATTAATCTCTCTCTTATCACATTTTACTATTAGTAGTCAGAAGGAACCAAGCTACTCTTTCAACACTTTGCTTAGAAATCTCCTCAGCTTAATATCCAATTTTATCACTCATGAGTTCTACTTTCCACAAAACACTAAAACACAGTTCAGCCTAGTTCTTTGCCACCTCATAACAAGGATCACCTTTCCTCCATTTTCCAATAAAATATTCTTAATTTTTTCTCTGAGACTACACCAGAATAGACTTCAATGCCTATATTTCTGGCATACTCCTAAAAATTCTTCCAATCTCTATCCATTACCCAGTTTCAAAGCTACCTTCACATTTTTACATATTTATTACAGTAGTACCCTACTTCTTGGTACCCAAATCTGTCTTAGTCAGCTCGGGCTGCTGTAACAAAATACCATAGAGTGGGAGGTTAAATTACAGACGTTTATTTTCTCACACTGTTCAGAAAGCTTGACTAATGTCAAGGTGCCAGCTGACTTGGTTCCTGGTGAGGGCTCTCTTCCTGGTTTGCAGAGAATTGCCTTCTTGCTGTGAAGAAAGGCTCACATGGCCTTTCTTGAATGTGTGAGGAGAAAGGATGTGAGCAATTTCTCTGGTGGCTCTTCTTATAAGAATACTAATTCCATCATGAAGGCCTCAACCTAATGACCTTATCTAACCCTAACTACCTTCCAAAGGTTCTATCTCCAAATACCATCATATTGTGGGTTAGGGTTTCAGCATTCATATTTTGGGAGGCAGACAAGCATTCAATTTATAACCCACCCTTTCTCCCTTTTTCTTTCTTTCCTTCCTTCCTTCCTTCCATCCATCCATCCATCCATCCATCCATCCATCCATCCATCTTTTTTTAAAAATTTAACCTGCATTTATTGAACATCTGTGGATGAGCTAAACTGTTAGGTGCCATTGGCATGAAGATCAACTAATATAGGCCTTGCTTCAAGGAGGTCTAGTAAGGAAAGAGAGATGAAAAAAATAAAAAATGCCAGCCTAGTATGAGTGCTGTAAGAGAGTTATGTATGAAGTGCTATGAAAGTGCAGAGAAGAAATATATAGCTTCATAAATATAAACTCTTGACTCAGGTGTTGAAGGTAAGATTAGGCTTGGTACTAGAGGTAGAGGGAATCACACAAGAATACTAAAAGGGTGTGTGGCATCATGGTATGTGTAGCAAACAGAAAGCTTTCAATAAATGAAAAGACATGAATGACTTTGGGGAGAGTCAACAAATTGAGGCTGGAAAGATGTGGATCATGAATGCTCTTCTGTGTCATGGTACAAAATTTGAATTTATCTTGAAAGTATTATGAGGCTCTGAAGGTTTTAAACAGAGGAGTGACATAAAGAGATTTGCATTTTTGGAATGTGGTTGCATTTAGGAGTATGTGTGTTGGGTACACAGGCAAGGTTGAAAGCAAGAGACAATTATGATGGAATTTATTTCAAATCTGCTCTCAGTGTTGTTTGTCTCAGTGATGAGGAATCAGTAGAAGCACTTATTTTTGCCTATACAGGATGTTACATGCATATGGAGAAGGAAAGCTAAACTACTGAGGTTTGGATAAGGGCATAAATATAGACAATATTCAAGAGAAGATCCTCACCATATGTGAGAGATAGGTTCTAGAAGACTTGGTTTCTTGGTGACTAAGAAAATTTATAAATTCAATGATGATAATAAAACTTCCACTTATTTTAACCACTTATTTATCAAGTACATAATTTTCCCCCTTTAATTGCCAAGATCAAGAATATCAACTATTCTAAAATGTTGCATATTGATTTTGTGAAAGGGCCTTATTTCCCTATAACAGAGAGAACATGGCTTGTCACAGTTGATGGTGACAAATATTAAAGGTCATGAACTATGAGCATTTGTGATGGCGTATCTTGGCATATTTTTAAAAGTTTTCCTCTGTCCTTGAGTTAAAACCAAGGAGTGAATGGAAATGTCATTACACTTTCTAAACTTTCCTGAAGACTTTCCATTTCGGATTCATAAGATTAACCTTGATGTAACTCAAACATTCCTTTTTTCTTTGAATAAACATTTATTCATTTACTATCATATAGACATTGTAATGGATGATTTTCTTCTCATCTTGTTCAGAAAAAAAAAAACATACTGTTCATTCATTGTCCCTCCCTGAATGGAGGAAGGACATTTAATTTGCATGCCACTTTCATTTGCCAGAAGTCAGTAACCTCCAGTATTTTTAGCTCCTTTTGAAAGTCCATTAGTAATGTTGCTTTTTCTTGAGACCTTTCCTGCTTTATGTACTGACATCAGCATTTTTTCTGGTTTCTGCTAAGACCTATGAGAGAGTTGCTGGGGCGGCTCCTTTTTCATTCATGTTCCTATTCATAAACTCTTCCTAGATTTTCTTAAGCCTCTTCCTATCTTTGACTTTTTATTTATTAACTCTTGTTCTCATTTTATTCTTTCTTAATATCAGAGTTGCTTCTAGGATATGTGTGTTTCCAAATAGCCACTTATATGCTTCACAAGTTCAAGATCTCACACCTGTATTCTCTTCAGTGATTGTGTGACTACCTCCTAGATGTAGAACATGAGAGCTGTGTGGGATTAATGCTGTACTGTGACATACAGAATTTGTAGGCACACAGTGATGAATGCTATATTCAAAAGAGCTATAATTCTATTTGACAGAATATGATTGCCTGATTTAAACCCAGGCAAATTATAGGGTAAAAACAACTTGTGGTGGAAATGTCTTAATAGTTTATTTATTAAACACTTAAGGGGAATTTAAAAACTTACTGAATAAAAGAATGGGTGGTGTCAAGTCTATTTGCTTCATCAATTGAAGCTTGAGGCTCACTGTGGTGGGGGTCAGAGAAAAGAAAATCTATGAAATAATTTTCATCCATCTAGTTGCTACACTTTCTCTTTTCTGCCAAGAGAGCTGACAACTATTAGGCTCAAGTATGACACATGATGCATCAAAGAGTTAAAGAGAAAAGCACTGGTTACATATTGACAAATTGAAATAAGACAAAATTTTGTCCCACATAACAGATTCTTAACTTCAATTTTTAGCTGAGGACATTTACTATGGGGGGCAAGAATAGTCACAGATGATTAAGCATTCAAGTAATGACAGAAGGTCTTCCAGGAAGTCCAGACAACATTTATTTCTCATCTATAATCAGGAAAGACTTAAAGTGAAAGAACACTAAATAAAGTGACTATCTTGTGGAGCAACAGTAGACATTTGATGAATTATACAGGCAAAGTCACATGACCTGCTAGTTTATTTTGTAAATATTTGTGCAGTAGCAATTAAGAGGTAGAAGTAGAAATGGAAAAGTTATGGAAATAGAAAGACAGTGAACTTCCGCATATCCTGATGGTGTAGCTGCCTTGGCTATCGTGTATAGTGCTGCAATGAACATGGGATTGCAAACATTTCTTCAACAAACTGATTTCAAATCTTTTAGTATTCAGAAGTGGGATTGCTGGATTATATGGTAATTCTATTTTAAGTTTCTTGAGGGAGTTCCATAATGTTTTTCGTAATATCTGTACCAATTTACATTCCCACCAATAGTGTACAAGGATTCTGTCTTAGTCTGTTTTCTGTTGCTATAACTTAATATCTGAGACTAGGTAATTTATTTTAAACAGAGGTTTGTTTTGGCTCACAGTTCTGGAGGCTGGGAAGTTCAAAATTGGGCAGCAGCATCAGGTAAGCTGCTAGTGAGAGCTTCATACTGCATAATAACATGGCAGAAGGCATCACAGGGTGAGGGGGCAAGAATGTGACAGCTCAAGTCTGTCTTCTTCCTAAAAAGCCACCAGTCTCATTCCCATGATAACCTATTAATCCATTAACTCATTAACCCATGAATGAATTAATTCATTCATGACGCCTTTGTCCACATCATTTGTTAAAGACTTTCTGTCAATATTGCCACACTGAGAGTTAAGGTTCAACGTGAGTTCTGGAAAGAAAAAATATTCAAACCGTAACAGGTAAACTTTTATCCACATCCTTGCCCCAACACTTATATCTTGTCTTTTTTATAATAGCTGCTATGGTTTGAATGTACCCGCAACAAAGCACGTATTGAAAACTTAATCCCCAATGCAACAGTGTTGAGAGGTAGCTACTAATGGGAGGTGTTTATGTCATCAAGGCTCTACTCTCATGAATGGAATGAAGCCAATTATAAAAGGTTTTGAGGCTGTGAGTTTGACCCTTTGCTCCCCTGCTCTTTACCTCTCTTGCCTTGCCAGGGGATGATGTAGCAAGAAGGACCTCACCAGATGCTGGCACCTTGATGTTAGACTTCCCAGTCTCCACAATGGTGAGAAATAAATTTCTATTGTTCATAAATTACTCAGTTTTTGGTATTCTGTTATAGCAACACAAAACAAATGAAGACAGAAACAGGTACCAGAAGTGGGGTGTTCTGTAACCAATTTCTAAAAATGTGGAACAGCTTTGGAATGGAGTAATGGGTAGAGGCTGGAAGAATTTGGAGGAGCATGCTAGAAAAAGCCTAGATTGCCATGAATGGTGTATTATGGCAATTCTGGTAAGATCTCAGAAGAAAAAAGCTGTAGAAAGAGCCTACGTCTTCTGAGGCATTATTTAAATGACTGTGATCAGAATGTTGGTAAAAATATGGGCAGTAAAGGCTTTTCTGATGTCTCAGATGGAAATGAGGAATAAGGTATTCAAAACTTATATAAAGGATACTCTTGTTATGCAGCTGTCAATAACTTGGTGGAATTATGTTCATGCCTTAGAAATTTTATGGAAGGCAGAACTAGGACCTTGAGGGCAAAGTTTCCAGAGGGGTACCTCAAGGACCTCAGTATTTGCTGCCCAGAGCTACCTTGGAACTCTTCTCTTTGCATTCCAGTGCAGGACTCCTTGGTTGCCCCAGCTGTGGCAAAAGTAGGCTCAGATGCAGCTTGTGCTGCCACTCTGGAGAGGGCAAGTGATCATTCTTGGTGGGGTCCACATGGTGCTGACTCTGTGGTGCAGAGTGTATGCCCTGTGGGGCCATTGTAGCCTCCACCCATTTCAAAGAATGTTGCAGACAGGCTGGGAGCCAGTCAGAAACTTGCTGAAGGGTCAGAGGACTTTTGAGAACCCACACTAAGGCAATGCTTAGTAAAACTGTGAGAGTGGGGCCACCATCAAGATCCCAGAATTATACAGCTACCAGAATGGTATACTAACCTGGTAGAGCTGCAGGTATGAAACTCCAGCCCGTGAGCTGTTGTGTGGGCAGAGTCTAGCAAAACCATAGAGGCAGAGCTGCCTAAGACTTTGGGGGTCCAAATTCTCCCCTCCCCATTGCACCTTTGAATGCAGTGCCCTTCCTGCCCCATGTGGTACATTTGGTACCCAGGAAGTGTACTGGGCAGATTTGGCATCCATCACACTGAAGTTTGAATCCAGACATTGTCCCCACCTCAAGAAGGTGGCACAGGAAGTGAAAGATTGTTTTTCTTGGTGAGTTTTGGTCTTACTTGGGACCAGTTACCCATTTTTTCCTGCCTCTTTTCCCCTTTTGGGTTGGAAATATATATCCTATGCCTGTCCCACCACTGTATTGTGGAAGTAAATAATTATTTTTATTTCACAGGCCCACTTTCTTTCTTACTGAAAGTCTATCACTAACCTCTCCTGTAGTGCAGGTCTGCTTGTGATAAATTATTTCAGCTTATTTGTGTCTGAAAAAAATCTTTGTTTTGCCTTCAGTTTGACAGATACTTTCACTGGGTATAGAATTCTGTCTTGACAGATTTTTCTTTCAGCTTTTAAAATATATTCTGCTACTATTCTTTCTCATATTGTTTCTAACAAGACATCTGTTGTCAGTCTTTTTTTTTCAGTATTATGTGCCTTGGTGTGGGTTTCTGTTTATTTTTCATACCTGGGATTTATTGAGCTTCTTGGATCTGTGGATAGTTTTTATCACATATGGAAAAAACCTGCCCTTATTTCTTCAAATATTTTTTGTGTAACCCTATTTTACCTTTTTTCCCAAGGGCTCGAATTACATGAAAATCAGATGGCTGAGGGTGCTTGATGTTCTTTATTTTTATCGTTTTCTTTCTCAGTGTTACCTTTAGTTAGTTTCTATTGCTATGTTTTCAATTTATTTTTCCTTTGGAATCTAATCTGCTTTTAATCCCATCCAGTGCACTTTTCATCCCACATACTGTAGATTTATCTGTAGAAGTTCAATCTAGATTTTTAAAATGTCCTCCATGTTTCTACTTGTCATTTGCAATCTTTCCTCTATGTATTTGAACAAATGGAACATAGTTATAACAATTATTTTAATGTCATTGTCTACTAATTGTATCGTTCATGTTATTTATGTATCTGTTTCCATTGATTCTTTTTTTCTTTTCCTTATTAGAGGCTTTATTTTTCAGCTTCTTTGCATATCTTCTAATTTTTGATTGGATGACAGCCATTTTGCATTTTACTTTGATAAAATGCTGGATTATAAAATACCTAGCATTTATATTTGTAAATATAATTGTATATTTGTATTAATAAATATAATATTTCTCAACTTTATTCAGTTATTTGAAAATCATATAATCTTTCTGAGGCATGATTTTAAGCTTTTTTAGGTGGCATTAGAGAAGATTTAATCCAGGGATGGCTTTCCCCCACTCCTATGGCAATGTCCACATGAATTGTAACATTTCCTACTCTGGATGATGGGAACATAAACCACATCTGGCTATATGTAAATTCTGAATATTTTCCCTCTGTTGCTTTTGGGTGCTTCTTTCCCTAGACTTGGGTGTTTTCTTTACTGATCCTCTGATCAGTACTCAGCTGAGGACTTGAGATGGAGTCTCTGCAGTTCTCTAGATTTATTTTTCAGTGAATATTTCTCCTGTCTAGTACATTGCCATTTGAACTTGGACACATTGGCTTCCCTAGTCTCATATCTGTATTTCTTTAACCTAAGAAATTTTCTGGGCTTTGTCTGGGTTTTCCCTCCCCTCCCCTGCATTCTAAAAACTCTCTCTAAGGTAATTATCCCCTTATTTGTTTACCTTTTCTCATAGATTACTGTCTTATACTGCCTGATATCCTGTATCTTGAAAATTGTTGTTTCATATATTTTGTTCATTTTTGTTTGTTTGTTTTGGGTGAAGGTTAAACCTACTCCCTGTTACTCCATGTTGGCTCCAGTGACAGTATATTTTGAGATACTTTCAGTTGTACAGAAAGGTTTCAAAAATATTTTAAGGTATCTGTCATATACCTTTTACTCATTTTAGCCAATTGTTTATATTTTACCATTTTCTCTGTCCCTCTGTGTATGAATGTGTGTGTGTGTTTGTATTCTTTTCCTGGAAAAAAAATTTCTGAGTAAGTTCAAGATACGCTCCTTTATGTCTAACTATGTCCGTGTGTATATACTACGAACAAAGTCATTTTGTTGCATAACCAGATTAGAGTTATAAAAATCAGGAAATTTGATATTAATATAATACTGTCATCTTATTTTAATCAATTGTTCTAATAAATTCCTATATAACTATTGATTTCTCAAAATCTAGGATTAACTCCAGGATTCTGCATTACATTTAGTTGCCACATCTTTTTAGTGTCTAATTTGGAACAGCTCTTCAGTCTGCATTTGTGCTTCTTGACCTTGATATTTTTGAAGATTTCAAGCCAGTTGCTTTGTAGAATGTTTCTCAATATTTATTTGCCTGGTATTTCTTCATGATTAGACCTAGTATATATTTTTGGCAAGAATATTATGAAGTGATGATATATTCTTCTCACTGAATTTTATTAGAAGGCACATCATAAATTTGCTTCCAAATATCTGTTACCTTTAATATTAGGTTGGTGCAAAAGTAAATTGGTTTTTCCCATTAAAAGTAATGGCAAAAACTGCATTTACTTTTGCACCAACCTAATAACTTGGATAAAATAATGTTTATTCAGTTTCTCCACTTTATTTCTCTGTGAGGCAAATAGCCAAAGCAATTCTGAGTAAAATGAATAAAGTTGGAGGGATCATACTACCTGGCATCGAAATATACTACAAAGCCATAGTAACCGAAACAGCATGGTACTGATATAAAAATGGAAACACAGACCAATAAGACAGACTCAAAAACTCAGAAATAAATTCACAAGTTTATAGCCATTTTTTACAAAGGTGCCGAGAACATACATTGGAGAAAGGACACCCTCTTTAATAAATGAGATGGGGAAAACTGAATGTCCATGTACAGAAGATCAAACTAGACCTCCATCTCTCACCATATGCAAAAATCTACACAAAATAGATTAAAGACTTAAATGAAAACCCAAAACTATAAAACTATTAGAGGAAAACATAGAGGAAGCACTTCCAAATATTGATCTAGGCAAGTATTTTACTGCTAAGACTTCAAAACACAGGCAACAACAAGAAAAATAGACAAATGGAACTACAGTAAACTAAAAGTCTTCTTCACAGTGAGAAAATAATAAACAGAGTGAAGAGAAAACCTGTAGAATGGGAGAAAATATTTGCCAACTATTCATCTAACAAGGGACTAATATCCATAATATACAAGGTACGCAAACAACTAAACATAAAAAAATTCCATTATAATGTGGGCAAAGATTATGAATAGACATTTCTCAAAAGACATATAAATGACCAAGTATATGAAAAAATGCTCACCATCACTAATCATCCTGAAAATGTAAATCAAAACCACAATGACATATTATCTCACCAGTTAAAATGGCTGTTGTCAAAAAGACAAAAAATAACAAATGTTGGCAAGGATGCAAAGCAATGGGAGCACTTGCACTGTTTGTGGGAATGTAAGTGAGTACAGCCATTATGAAAAACAGTATGGAGGTTAAAAAACTAAAAATGGAACTGCCATACAATCCAGTGATCTCACTACCGGGTATTTATGCAAAGGAAAGATAACCAGTATACCAAAAGAATACCTACACACCATGTTTATTGCAGCATTAGTCACAATAGTCAAGATATGGACTCAACCAGTGTCCATAAATAGATAAGTGGATAAAGATAATTTAATATATGTAAACAATGTAATACTATTCATCCATAAAAAGGATAAAATCCCGTCATTTGTAGCAGCATGAATGGAACTGGAGGTCTTATTAAGTGACAGAAGCCAGGCACAGAAAGAGAAATTTTACATGATCTTACTCATGTGTGGGAGCTACAAATTTGGTCTCACGAGAAGAGTAGAATGATGGTTACCAAAGGCTGGCACGTGTTGGGGGAGACTGGAGAGATGTTGGTTAATGAGTACAAATACACAGTTAGATAAAATAAGTTCTAGTGTTCAATAACACACTAGTATGACTATAGTTAACAATACTTTATTTTATATTTCAAAATATCTGGAAGAGAAAATCTGAAATGTTCCCAACATAAAGAAACAAGAAATGTTTGAGGTTATGGGTATCCTAAATATTCTGATTCTATAATTATACATTATATACATGTATAAAAATATCACATACCCCAAAAAGATGTACAATAATTGTGTGTCAATAAAATATTCCTGTTTGTAATGAATAAGAATTTTGGTTACATATTTTAAGAATTATAAATATACAATTCTTCTCAAATTTTCACCCACCAGTTTTGGCATCCAATGGTGATTTTCTAACTCCATCATTCTTTCTATATTTATTAGTTAGCTTATATTATAAAGACAAACATTCCTTGCCCTCTCCATTTATGTATTTTTATGGTAGACTCATTATAAAAATGGCAGATTTTTATTTTATTGCTGTGTTATAATCCATTATTATTTATTTTGATACTCAAATTGTATCAGATTTGACCAGTGGGGGGAGTCCTTTTAGCTGCTCCTGTGATTTTTTGATATTTCTTCATGTTCCTTTTTGTTTTGTTTTTTTTTTTTTGAGCCGGAGTCTCACTCTGTTGCCCAGGCTGGAGTGCAGTGGTGCGATTTCGGCTCACTGCAATCTCCACCTCCTGGGTTCAAGCGATTCTCCTGCCTCAACCTCCTGAGTCGCTGGGATTACAGGCTCCTGTCACCATGCCCAGCTAATTTTTGTACTTTAGTAGACAGTGGGTTTCACCATGTTGGCCAGGCTGGTCTTGAACTCCTGACCTCAGGTGATCCACCTGACTTGGCCTCCCAAAGTGCTGGGATTACAGGCATGAGCCACCACACCCAGCCTTCATGTTCCTTTGAGTATTTTCTTAGTTTATAGCATCATGACATAGTTCAGGCTTTGTTTACACTATGTAAGAGGAAATATTTTATATTTCATGGAAAATATGTAAATATTAAATTAAGAGTTAAGGTGATAACTTACGATGTTATAAATTAATATTATACATTACAATGTTGATTATAATTCCCAGGGCAACCACTCAAAACCACTCAGAACTGTATACTAAAAAAAAAAAGGGAATTAAAATGATACAGTAGGCCGAGCTTGGTGGCTCACGACTCTAATCCCAGCACACTGGGAGGCCGAGGCGGGTGGATCACCTGAGGTCAGAAATTCGAGACCAGCCTGGCCAGACTGGCCAACAAGGTGAAACCCCGTCTCTACTAAAAATACAAAAAATTAGCTGGGTATGGCAGCGGGCACCTGTAATTCCAGCTACTTGGGAGGCTGAGGCAAGAGAATCACTTGAATCTGGGAGGTGGTGGTGGCAGTGAGCCGAGATCACACCACTGCACTCCAGCCTGGGCAACAAGAGTGAAACTCTGTCTCAAAAAAAAAAAAAAAAAAAAAAAAAAAAAAAAAAATATATATATATATATATATATATATATATATATATATATATATATATATATATGATATAATAGAAAATATCTGTTTAGCACAAAAAAAGACTAATGGATGAATTGAGAGACATAACTGATTTGACATATAGCAAACAAATAGAAAAATGTCAGAAATAAGTTCTTTTTATCAATTACTATGTTAAATATATATAGATTAGACTCTTCAATTAAAAAAATAAGTAAAATGGATAAAAATTATGATTCAATTTTATACTGTCTACAAGAGGCTTGGATACACAAATTGTTGGAAAATGAAAGGCTAGAAAGAGATATTGCATGTAAATAGTATCCAAAAGAAAGCTGGAGTAGCCATAGTAATATTGAAAAAAAAAAAAACAAAAATCGTTATTAGAGACAAGGAAGGACATTATGCAATGATAAAAGTATCAAGGGCAAAACAATTATAAACATACATACACTTAACAACAGATTCCCAAATGCAGGAAGAAAAATGGACAGAATTGAAGGAAGAAACAGGCAGTTCAAATATAAAGTTGGAGACTTCAGCATTTTCCCCATTGAGTATGATGTTAGCTATGAGCTTGTCATATATGGTCTTTATTATGTTAAGGTAATTCCCTTCTACACCTGATTTGTTAAGAGTTTTTATTATGAAAGGGTGTTGAATTTTGTCAAATTTTTTTTGCATCTACATATGTGATTATATAATTTTTGTCTTTCATTTGTTAATGTGGCATATAACATTATTGATTTGTATATACGTAATCAGTTTTGCATTCCAGGGACAAACCCTACTTGGGGGTAATGGTATATGATCCTTTTAATGTGCTGTTAAATTTGATTTTGCTAGTATTTTGTTGAGAATTTTTCCATCTATGGTCGTCGGGAATATTAACTTGTAATTTTCATTTATTTTAGTGTCCTTATCTGGCTTTGGTGGGAAGGTAATTCTGGCCTTTTGAAATGAGATTGGAAGTATCCTTTCTTCAATTTTCTGAAAAAGTGTGAGAAGGATTGGCATTACTTTTTTAAAAATGCTTGGCAATATGCACCTCTGAAGCCATCTGTTCTTCGGCTTTTGTTTGTTGAGAAGTTTTTGATTATTGCTTCAATCTTCTTACTGGTTATTGGTCTGTTCATATTTTCTATTTCTTCATAATTCCATCTTGGTATGTTGTATGTTTCTAGATATTTATTCAGTTTTTCTAGGTTATTCAATTTTTTGATGTATAGTAGTTCATAGTAGTCTCTCATGATCCTTTCTGTTTCTTTAGAAAACTACTATTCTTTTTAGCTTCTATTTCATTTCATTTCATTTCATTTCATTTATTTCTACTCTAATATTCATTGTTTTCTTCCTTATGCAAACTGTGGGGTTAATTTGTCCTTTTTCTAGTTCCTAGAGGTGGTTGTTTGAGATATTTCTTTTTTTAAATGTAGGCGTTTATCACCATAAACTTCCCTCTTAGAATTGCCTTTGCTGCCTTACATAAGCTTTGGTATGTTGTTTTCCTTTTTATTTGTCTGAATACATTTTTTGATTTCTCCTTTAATGTATTCTGTGACCCACTGGTTATTCAAGAGTGCAGTGTTTAATTTCCAGGTAATTTGTACAATTTTCTAGTTTTTCTTCTGTTACTGATTTTTAATTTTATATTATTCTTGTAAAATATATTTGATATAATTTCAGTCTTTTAAATTATATTTTGAGACTTGTCTTATGGTCTAATATAAGATCTATCCTGGAGAATGTTCTATGTGTGCTTGAGAAGAATGTGTATTTTGCAACTCTTGGAAGCAGTATTCTGTATGTATGCTATTTACATTTACTCTGAAGTGTACTTCAAATCTGCTGTTTTCCTATTGATATTCTGTCTGAATAACCTATTCATTATTGAAAGTGGAGTTGTGAAATTACTTACTATTATTGTAGTGCTATCTTTGTCTCCTTTAAGTTCTGTTAATATTTACGTTATATATTTAAGCGCTTCAGTGTTAGGTGCATGGATATTTACAACTCTATATCCTCTTGATAAATTTATCATTATAAAGTAACTTTTTTTTTGCCTTTTGTGACAGATTTTGACTGGAAATCTATTTTGTCTGATGTAACTATGCTTACCTCTGTTCATTTTTGATTACCATTTCCATGAAATAACTTTGTCCATCCCTTCACTTTTAGTCTATGTGTGTCCTTAAAGGTAAAGTGAGTATCTCGTAGGAGCAGATAGTTCGATCTTGTTTTTACTCAGTCACTCTGTCTTTTGATTGAAGAATTTAATCCCTTAACATTTAAAGTAATTATTGATAGGTAAGTATTGATAGGCAATGCCATTTTGTTAATTATTTTTTGACTGTTTTGTAGTTCTTTTGTTCCTTTCTTCCACTCTTGCCTTGTTCCTTTGCCATTTGTTAATTTTTGGCAATGTTATGCTTTGATTTATTTCTCTTTTGTGTCTCTACTAGCGGTTTATTTTGTGATTATCACAAGGCTTACCAAAAATATAAGTCTATTTTAAGCTGATAACAACTTAACTTTAGTTGTATTTAAAATCTAAATTTTTATTTTCCCCACTCCACGTTGTATGTTACTGATGTCATAGTTTACATATTTTTATTATGTATTGTGTAATCATTAACAAATTATTGGTTATTGTTATTTGTAATATTTTTTCTTTTAGCTTTTATATTAGAATTAAACATGATTTACGTGTCATAATTACAATATTAGGGCATTTACAATTTGAGCATGTATTTCATTTTACAAGTGAGTTTTATACTTTTATATGTTTTTATGTTGTTACCTAGCATATGTCTTAGCCATTTCAGGCTGCTATTATAAAATACCTTAAAATGCTTAGCTTATAAACAAGAAAAGTGTTTTCCTAACAGTTCTGAAGCCAGGGAATCACTGGCAGATTTGGTGTTTAGTGAATGCCTACTATCTGCTTCATAGACGATGCCTCTAGCTTTGTCTTCACATGGCTGAAGGAACAAAAAACCTTCTTCAGGCTTCTTTTTATGAGGGCACAGATCTTATTTATGAGGGGTTTTCCCTTATGACTTAATCACTTCCTCTTAACACTATCACATTGGGGGTCAATATCTTTTAATACACTTATATTAAGGATTAGCTTTATACATATGGATTTTGTGAGGGAAGATGGGGATACAAATATTCAGTTCATAGCAGATTCCATTTGTTATAACTTGGAGAACTTTCTTTAGCATTTCTTGTAAGTTAGGTCTAGTGCAGATGAACTCCTTCAGCATTTTTGGGGGGTGAGGGGTGGTCTGGGAATGTCTTCATTTCTGAAGGACAGCTTTTTATTGGTTATAGTATTCTTGGGTGTAAGCTTTTTTTTTTTTTCCCCCAGCACTTTGGGTATATTTTCCCACTCCTTTCTGGCCTGCAAAGCTTCTGTTGAGAAATCTACTGATAGCCTAATAGGAATTGCCTTGTAATATGATGAGTCACTTTTTCCTTGATGCTTTAAAAATTCTCTCTTTGTCTTTGACTTTTGACAATTAGATTATTGTATGCTTTGGTGTAATCTTCTTTGGTTTGATCTTTCTTGGGATTCTTTGAGTTTCATATATGTGAATGTCTATATCCCAGCCAAGATTTGATATGTTTTTAGTCATTATTTTAAAAAATAAGCCTTCTGCCCTTTTCTATATTCCTTTTTCTTCTAGAATTTCTATAACTCATATATTTGTTCACTTGATGTTGTCATATAAGTCTTGTATGCTTTCTTCACTTTTTCATTCTTTTTTCTCTTATCCCTCCAAATGAATAATTTTAATTATCTGTCTTGAAGTTCATTAATTCTTTCTTTTACATGATTGAGCCTGCTGTTGAAACTCTTTTTCCAGTTTTTCTCTCCTGTCGTTGTATTTTTATCTCCAGAATTTGTTTTGTTCTTTTTTAATGGTTTAGTTTCTATTTTTATTAATCTCATTTTGTTCATACATTGTTTTTCTGATTTCATTTAGTGTTCTGTCTGTGTTCTCTTGTATCTCATTGAAATCCCCAATGTGATTCCTCTAACTCTTTTTCAGGCAACTCATAGAACTTCATTTTCTATGGTTAATTACTGGAACTTTCTTGTGATGGTATCATGATTCTTTATTTTCCACATAGTCTTGTATTGGTGTGTGCATTTGATAGAGCAAATGTCTCTTCCAGTCATTATAGACTCGTTTGGCTGATTGTAATCTAGATTAAGTATCCACAGACTATGGTTTATGGGCCTAATCTGGCCTGCAAACTGTTTTTGTATGGCCCAAAATGTATAATTTTTTTGTTACTTTTTTAAAAAATTGAAGAAGAGGAAGAGGAATAAAGAAGAGGAGGAAAAAGAGGGATAGAGGAGACTATTTGTGGCTTGCAATCCCTAAAATAACTATCTGAGTAGTTACAGAAAATGTTTGTGATCTCTGTTCTGGGTCTTGGTCCTTATATCTAAACTGTTGACTTTTTGAAGTCATCAATGAATATAGAGGTGCTCAGTAATGTCTCTTTACTCTGGGTGGGTTGGAACTCCAGTATTTCCCAGTGCTCGATGACTTCTGGTGTCACCATGCAGTTTTTTCCCTCTGTAACAGCTGCTCTGTAATAGGCCTCATGGAATTTCACCTTGAGCAAGTTCAGTCCAGCCCTTGTGTATAAACTGAAGGAGAGCCATCTTTCAGATCTTGAGGCCCTAACATCTGTGTAGTTTGTTCCTCTTTTATATCCTGTCCCACAAATTTCAGCTAGCTCAGCTACCATAAATCTCTGCCTTCTAAGCAGTAAGACCTTTATTATGCTTTGACTCTACCTCTCTGCACCATAGTAAAACAGAGCTGTTGTGAACAAATATTCAACTCGAATGTTTTCCTTCTCTCAAGGCTCACTATTTTGCTCTGTTTTTCATGCCTATAATTCCCTCATATGTTTTGTCCAGTTTTATAGTTATATAGGATGAAATGGTAAGTCCAGTTTTAGTTATTTGAACCTGTCCTAAAGTGAAAGATTAGGTCTTTATTTTTAATATTCATTCAAGTATGAGAGATGAAGTTTTGGACTTACAAGAGTCACATAGCTGGGATTAATATCTTCTTCCAACACACACACGCACATATAAAGTAGGAACCCTTAAAAATGCTATAACCTCAGTGAAATTATACTGTATAAAAACAATCTTCTCAGGAGCATCAGAAGATGACAAAGACATCTTTAAGTGTCTGCCTGGCTTTTGGGTGAAAAAGAGTCTCTCGATATATTGTAAGCATAGGCCTTAAAATCACAGGGGTAAAGTTTTGAATTTACGTTAGGTTCTTGTCCTGAGAGATATCAAATTAAGAAATTAACACAAAATTCAGTCTCATGCTGGTGATATTCTGAGGATTACTGATAGAATCAAATATAAAATCATTCTTGAGGAATAAATTCTCAACCTTGGGTATACTGTATTTTCACATATAGAGGTCTACTGAAGATTAAATAAAAATTTATGTGATACATGAGGAAATAATCTACCATATGAAGCATCAGCAGATACAGCAAACGTCACAGAATTTGATTATTAACAATTTTGAGTTACTGAACAATTTGAGAGATACATCTAAAATGATTAAATTAATGCAAAAAATAAAGCATAGAACAAGACTCTATGAAAGAAAAAGACCAGTTTAAAAAAGGAATTAGTTAAAGCTTACAAATAAAAAATAATTGCATAAGATACAACCTAATACTTTGATAAATAAAAAGATCCTGCCTAGTTGAACAGACAACTAGTGAAATGCAAAAAAGCAAATGGACATTCAGTGGGATAGAAAAATTTTGAAAATCTGGCCAGGCATTGTGGCTCATGCCTTGTAATCCTCAGGAGGCTGAGGCATGAGAATTGCTTGAACCTGGGAGGTGGAGGTTGCAGTGAGCCCAGATCACGCCATTGCACTCCAGTCTGGGCTACAGAGCAAGACTCTGTCTCAAGAAAAAAAAAAAAGAAAAGTTTGGAAAATCTGAAAGAAAGGTCAAGAATTATAGAGAAGTGAATATTCAGTTAAAAATGATCAATGTAATATTTCTGAAAGATACTAAAATCAGAATAAGTAAATTTAAAAATGATAAATGCACAGCAAATAAGGAATTGGATAGAAGATGGTTAATGAAGAGAAATAATAAATAAGATGAAATAAGTGTTAACTAATTTAGTGTATATGAGGAAGGCAAAGTGTAAGTAATGCAACTGGAGTAAATAAAAAACAAGAATGTTGTTCATAGAAGAGTGACTCTGAAAGTCTTTGGAATTGGAGGCATCAGATACATCTGAAGACTGAGCATGGTGCAGGCTGAAACCAGAATTTTGGAAAGTCACTGTAAGTAACACTTAGAACTCCAGCTCTTTTCTACAGCTGACAAGACAATGCTCCCCTCAACTCCCTAGCAGAGGACTAGGAAGTTATTCTTTGAAAAGATTGTAATAGAGAAAGTCAGAACTCAGGAATACAAAGTGTAGCTGAGGTTGGGTATGAGATTTGTACAGAGCATATGGGTATTAAGTGAAAGTCTATAAAGTGAATGATGAAGTTTCCACCTCAGCTACCAAAGCACTAACAGCTGGGCACATACAATGTTTGGAAATACAGTTTTATGTGCATAGTGCCTACGTGCACTAGCCCTCAACTGTTTGGTCAATAGAGAGTACTGGATATACCTCTGGTTACTCATCTCCTAATAACCTCAGCTGTTTTAGCACTCCTGAAATTAGAGTTGAGCTTTAGCCCATCCTCCAACATGGTGGGAGTCACAGCAACTCCAGCACTGAGGTCCAATCCAATCAGACTCACAGAGGCTCTTCACAAAGGCTCCATAAATCTGTGTATTTCTTCCATTTTCTGCCCGACGATTGCTAGTAGAGCAGGATATTTCTAGGGATGAGACAGTTGGGCAGCTGACAAGAGTTGTATTCAATTTATATGTTGAACAAAAATTAAGCATTGGTGAACATAAGGAAAAGAAAAATGAAGTTTTATGAACAAAACTACTATAAACTTTGTTTTATTATCTTGGATAAGTTCCAGAAGTGGTATTTCTGGGTCATAAGATAGATGTATGTTTACTTTTATCACAAATGGCTTGATCTTTTGGTTGAACTGTTTAATATTCCCTCTACAATGTATAAGAGTTCTGAGTTGCCAATATTGGGTGTTGTCTGTCTTTATTTAACAGTTTTAGTGGTATATGATTTTATTTCATGGTGCTTACAACTGCATTTTCTTGAGGCCTAAAGAGACTGAACTCTTTATCATGTATTTATTGGGCATTTGTACATCCTCCTTTGTGATGTGTCAGTTAAAATCTACTTATTTCTTATTTGAGAGTTTTCTTTTTAATAAATTTGTGTTATTTTTTAATTTTTAAATATATTACTCTTTTTTCTTGTTTGTTTTAACTTTTAAGTTCAGGGGTACATGTGCATGTTTGTTATACAGGTAAACTTGTGTCATGGGGTTTGTTGTACAGATTATTTCATCACTCAGGTATTAAGCCTAGTACCCATTAATTATTTTTCCCAATCCTGTCCCTCTTCCCAGTCTCCACCCTGCAATAGGCCCCTTTGTGTGTCCATGTGTTCTTATCATTTAGCTCCCACTTATAAGAGAAAACATGTGGTATTTTGTTTTCTATTCCTCTGTTTGTTTGCTAAGGATAATGGCCTCCAGCTCCATCCATGTCCCTGCAAAGAACATGATCTTGTTCTTTTTTATGGCTGCATAGTATTCCGTGGTGTATATCTACCACATTTTCTTTATCCAGTATCATTGATGGACATTTAGGGTGATTCCATTTCTTTGCTATTGTGAATAATGCTGCAATGAACATATGCACGCATGTGTCTTTATAATAGAATAATTTATATTCCTTTGGTTATATATCCAATAATGGGATTGCTAGATCAAATGGTATTTCTGTTTTTAGGTCTTTGAGGAATTGCCACAGTCTTCTACAATGGCTGAAGTAATTTATATGCCCACCAGCAATGTATGAAAGTCCCCCTTTCTCTACCATCTTGCCAGCATCTGTTATTTTTTTTGACTTTTTAATAACTGCCAATCTGACTGGTGTGAGATGGTAGCTCATTGAGGTTTTGATTTGCATTTCTCTAATGATTAGTAATGGTAAGCTTTTTTCCCATATGATTGTTGGCTACATGTAAAAGTATCTGATTTTGTCCTTTGCCCACTTTTTAATGGGGTTGCTTGTTTTTTTCTTATAAAATTTAAGTTCCTTATAGATGCTAGATATTAGACCTTTGTCAGATGCATAGTTTTCAAAAATTTTCTCCCATTCTGTAGGTTGTCTGTTCACTCTGCTGGTAGTTTCCTTTGCTGTGCAGAAGTTCTTCAGTTTAATTAGATCCCATTTGTCAATTTTTGGTTTTGTTGCAGTTGCTTTTGGCATCTTCATCATGAAATCTTTTCCTGTTCCTATGTCCAGAATGGTAGTGCCTAGGTTGTCCTCAAGGATTTTTATAGTTTTGGCTTTTACATTTAAGTCTTTAATTCATCTTGAGTTAATTTTTGTATATAGTATAACAAAGGGGTTCAGTTCCAGCCTTCTGCATGTGGCTAGCCGGTTATTCCAGCCCGTTATTGAACAGGGAATAGTTACCTCATTGCTTGTTTTTGTCAAGTTTGTCAAAGATCAGATAGTCATAGGTGTGCAGCCTTATTTCTGGATTCTCTATTCCATTCCATTGGTTTATGTGTTTGTTCTTGGTTTTGTTTACTGTAGCCTGTAGTAGCCATGCTGTTTTGTTTACTGTAGCCCCGTAGCATAGTTTGAAGTTGAGTAGTGTGATGCTCCAAGCTTTGTGCTTTTTGCTTAGGATTGCCTTGGCTATTCAGTCTCTTTTTTTGGTTCCATAGAATTTAAAAATAGTTTGCTAGTTCTGTGAATAATCATGATGGTTGTTTAATAGGCATAGCATTGAATCTGTAAATTGCTTTGGGCAGTAAGGCCATTTTTACAATATTGATTCTTTCTATCCATTAGCATGGAATGTTTTTCCATTTGTTTGTGTAATCTGTGATTTCTTTGAGCAGTGTTTTGTGAAAGATCTGTAGAGATCTTTCCCCTCCCTTGTTGGCTGTATTCCTAGATAATTTATTCTTTTTGTGGCAATTATGAATGGGACTGCATTTCTGATTTGGCTCTTGGCTTGACTGTTGGTGGTATATAGGAATGCTTGTGATTTTTGCACATTTATTATGTATCCTGAGATTTTGCTGAGGTTGTTTATCAGCTGGAAGAGCTTTTAGGCTGAGACTGAGGTTTTCTAGGTATAGAATCATGTCACTTGCAAACAAAGATAGTTTGACTTCCTCTCTTCCTATTTGAATACCCTTTATTTCTTTCTCTTGTCTGCTCATTGCTGGTCAGGACTTCCAATACTATTATTACTGTTTTTAAACTTTTATTTTAGGTTCAGGGGTACATGTGCAGGTTTGGTATATAGGCAAATTGCATGTCATGGGGGTTTGATGTACAGCTTATTTCATCACCCACATAATCAGCATAGTATCCAATAGGTAATTTTTCAATCTTCACCTCCTCCCATCCTGCACTCTCAAGTAGGCCCTGGTGTCTGTTATTCCCTTCTTTGTGTCCATATGTACTCAAAGTTTAGTTCCCACTTATAAGTGAGAACATGTGGTATTTGATGTTCTGTTCCTGTGTTAGTTCACTTAGGATAATGGCTTCCAGCTCCATCCATGTTGCTGTATAGGATATGATCTCATTCTATTTTATGGCTGCATACTATTTCATGGTGTATATGTACCACATTTTCTACCATTGATAGGCATTTAGGTTGATTCCATATCTTTCCTCTTGTGAATAGTGCTGTGATGAACATATGTGTGCATGTGTCTTTATGATAGAACAATTTATATCCCCTTGGGTATATACCCAATAATGGGATTGCTTCAACAAATGATAATCCCTTTTTAAGTTCTTTGAGAAATCACCATATTGCTTTCCACAATGGCTGAACTAACTTACACTTTCACCAGCAATGTGTAAGTGTTCCCTTTTCTCTATAACCTCGCCAACATCTGTTATTTTTTGACTTTTTAATAGTAGCCATTCTGATTCATTTGAAATGGTATCTCACTGTGGTTTTGATATGCATTTCTCTAATTATTAGTGATTTTGAGCATTTTCTCATATACTTGTTGGCCAAGTGTATGTCTTCTTTGGAAAATTTCCTGTTCATGTCCTTTGCCCACTTTTTAGTGAGGTTGTTGGATTTTTGTTTTGCAAATTTAAGTTCCTTATAGATTCTGGATATTAGATCTCTGTCAGATGCATAGTTTGCAAAAATTTTCTCCCATTCTGTAGGTTGTCTGTTCATTCTGTTGATAATTTCTTTTGCTGTGCAGAAGTTCTTTAGTTTTATCAGATCCCATTTGTCAATTTTTGGTTTTGTTGCCATTTCTTTTAGTGTGTTTGTAATAAAATCTTTGCCAGGTCCTGTATTGAGAATGGTATTTTGTAGATTATCTTTCAGGATTTGGATGGTTTTAGATTCTCCCTTTAAGTCTTTAATCCACCTTGAGTTGATTTTTTATATGGTATAAGGAAGGGGTCCAATTCCCAGTACTGTTTATTGAATAATAAGTCCTTTCCCCGTTTCTCATTTTTGTCAGTTTTGTCAAAGATCAGATGCTTGTAGATGTGCAGCCTTATTTCTGTGCTATTTTGTTCCATTGGTCTGCGGTTCCATTTTTGTACCACACCATTCTGTTTTGGTTACTGTAACCTTGTATGGTTTGAAGTCAGGTAATGTGATGCCTCTAACTTTATTCTTTTTGCTTAGGATTGCCTTGGCTATTCAGGTTATTTCTTGGTTTCATATGAATTTTAAAATAGGTTTTTCTAATTCTGTAAAGAATGTCATTGGTAGTTTGATAGGAATAGCATTGGATCTGCAAATTGCTTGGCAGCATGGCCATTTTAACAATATTTATTCTTCCTATCCATGAGCATGGCATGTTTTTCCATTTGTTTATGTCCTCTCTGATTTCTTGGATCTGTGTTTTTAAATTCTCATTACAGAGGTCTTTTGCCTCCTTTTAAAGCTTTATTTCTAGGCATTTTATTCTTTCTGTAACTATTGTGAATGGCATTGCATTATTGACTTAGCTCTTAGCTTGGATGTCGCTGGTGTATAGGAATGCTAGTGGTTTTTGCATGCACATTCATTTTGTATACTGAAACTTTGCTGAAGTTGTTTATCAGATTAAGGAGCTTTCAGGCAGAGATTATGGGGATTTCTAGGTGTAGAATCATATCTTCTACCAAAAGGGATACTGTTATTTCCTCTCTTCCTATTTGGATGCCTTTTATTTCCTTTCCTTGCCTGATAGTTCTAGCTAGGACGTCTAGTACTGTGTTGAATAGGGGAGGTGGGAGTGGGAATCTTTATCTTGTTCTAATTTTCAAGGGGAATGCTTCCAGCTTTTGCCCATTCAATATGATGTTGGCTGTGTGTTTTTCATGGATGGCTCTTATTATTTTGAAGTATGTTCCTTCAATGCCTGGTTTGTTGAGGGTTTTTAACATGAAGAGATGCTGAATTTTATTGAAACCTTTCCTGCATCTACTGGGAAGATTATGTTTCTTTTTTTAGATCTGTTTATGTGGTAAATCACATTTATTAATTTGCATATATCAAACCTACCTTTTATCCCACAGATAAAGCCTACTTGATCACATTGGATAAGCTTTCTAATGTGCTGCTGAATTTGGTTTGCTAGTATTTTGTTGAGGATTTTTTCACCTATTTTCATCAAGGATATCGGCCTGAAGTTTTCTTTTTGTTGTTGTTTCTCTACCAGATTTTATTATCAGTATGATTCTGGCCTCAAAGAATGAGTTAGGGAGAAGTCCATTCTCTTCAGTTTTTTGGAATAGTTTCAGCAGGAATGGTACAAGCTCTTCCTTATACATCTGGTAGAATTTGGCTGTCAATCCTTCTGGTCCTGGGCTTTTTCCGATTGGTAGGCTTTTTATTACAGATTCAATTTTGGAACTCATTGATCTGTTCATGCATTCAATTTCTTCATGGTTCAATCTTGGGAGGTTGTTTGTTTCCAGAAATTTCTCATTTTTTTCCTAGATTGTCTAGCTTGTATACATAGACATGTTAGATTCTGAGGGTTGTTGTATTTCTGTGGGGTCAATTGTAATATCCCTTTTGTCATTTCTGATGGTGTTTATTTGGATATTCTCTCCCTTTTTTTTAATTAGTCTAGCTAGCAGTCTATCAGTCATTAATTCTTGTAAAGAACCAGTGCCTGGATTCACTGATCTTTTGTATGGTTTGTTGTGTTTCAATTTCCTTAAGTTCAGTTCTGATTTTTGTTATTTCTTGTCTTCTGCTAGCTTTGGGGTTGGTTTGCTCTTGTTTCTCTAGTTCCTCTAGTTGTTAAGTTCTTAATTTGAGATCTTTCTAACTTTTTTATGTGGACATTTAGTGTTATAAACTTTCTCTTTATAATGAAATGCTTTAGTTGTGTCCCAGAGATTCTGTATGGTATCTTCGTTCTCATTAGTTTCATAGAATTTCTCAATTTCTGCCTTAATTTCATTATTAACCCAATAGTCATTCAAGAGCAGGTTTTTTAATTTCCATGTAATTTTATGGTTTTCAGCAATTTTCTTAGCATTGATTTCTGTTTTTGTTGTGCTGTTGTCTGAGAGTGTAGTTGGTATGATTTTGTTTTTATTTTTATTTTTATTTTTTGAGATGGAGTCTCGCTCTGTCGCCCAGGCTGGAGTGCAGTGGCACGATCTCAGCTCACTGCAAACTCCACCTCCTGGGTTAACGCCATTCTCCTGCCTCAGCCTCCCGAGTGGCTGGGACTACAGGCGCCTGCCACCATGCCCAGCTAATTTTTTGTATTTTTAGTAGAGATGAGGTTTCACTGTGTTAGCCGGGATGGTCTTGATCTCTTGACCTTGTGATCTGCCCGCCTTGGCTTCCCAAAGTGCTGGGATTACAGGTGTGAGCCACCGCGCCCGGCCTTAGTATGATTTTGTTTTTTATGAATTTGCTGAGGATTGTTTTATGCCCAATTGTGTGGTTGATTTTAAAGTACGTGCCATGTGCAGATGAGAAGAAAGTATTTTGTGTGGAGAATTCTGTAGATGTCTATTAGGTCCACTTGGTCAAGTGTTGAGTTCAGGTCCCAAATAATTCTGCTAGTTTTCTGCCTCGATGGTCTGTCTAATATTGTCAATGGGGTGTTCAAGTCTCCCACTATTATTGTATGGTTATCTAAATTTCTTCATAGGTATCTAAGAACTTGCTTTATGAATATGGGTGCTCCTGTGTTGGGTGCATGTATACTAAGGATAGTTAGGTCTTCTTGTTGAATTGAGCCCTTTACCATTATGTAATGTCCTTCTTTGTCTTTTTTTTTTTTTAATCTCTGTTGGTTTACAGTCTGTTTCGTCTGAAATTAGAATAGTAACCTCTGCTTTTTTTTTCTGTTTTCCTTTTGCTTGGTGGATTTTTCTCCATCCCTTTACTTGGAGACTGTATGTGTCACTGCATATAAGATGGATCTCTGGTAGACAGCATACCATTGGGTCTGCTTCTTTATTCAACTTGCCAGTCTGTGCCTTTTAATTGGGTTATTTAGTCCATTTACATTCAAGGTTAGTGTTGATATGTGTGGATTTGATCTTGTCATCATGTTTTTAGATTTTTATTTGCAGATTTGTTTCTGTGATTGCTTTACAGTGTCGCTGGTTTATGTAGTCAAGTGTGTTTTTGTTGTAGCTGGTAGTGATGTTTCCTTTCCGTGTTAACACTGCCTTCAAGATCTCTTGTGAGGTAGGGTAGGTCTGATGGTAACAAATTCCCCTAGCATTTGCTTGTCTGAAAAGGATCTTATTTCTCCTTTGTTTATGAAGCTTAGTTGGGCTGAATATGAAACTATTGACTGGAAATTATTTTCTTTAAGGATGCTGAATATGAGCCCCCATCTCTTCTGGATTGTAGGATCTGCCAAAAGATCTGCTGTTAGCCTAATGGGGTTCTCTTTGTAGATGACCTGCCTCTTCTCTCTAGCTGCCTTTAACATTATTTTTTTTTCTTTTTGACCTTGGAGAATCTGATGACTATTTGTCTTGAGGATGGTACTCTTGTGTAGTATTTCACAGGGGTTCTCTGCATTTCCTTTGAATGTTGGCCTCTCTAGCAAGGTTGGGGAAATTTTCATGGACGATATCCTGAAATATATTTTCCGAGTTACTTGCTTTCTCTCCCTCTCTTTCAGGGATGCTAGTGAGTCATAGATTTGGTCTCTTCACATAATCCCATATTTCTCAGAGATTTTGTTCATTCTTCATGTATTTATTTTTGTCCACACTCTGAGAGTCTTTTCTCGGCTTGGTCTATTCTACTGTTAATACTTGGGATTGTATTCTGAAATTCTTGATGTGAGCTTTCCATTTCCTTATCTATCAGATCAGTTTGGTTCTTTTTTTTTTCTTTTTTGTTTTTTTTGAGACAGGGTCTCACTCTGTCACCCAGGCTGGAGTACAGTGGCATGATCTTGGTTCACTGCAACCTCTGTGTCTTGGGTTCAAGTACTTTTCCTGCCTCAGCCTCCCAAGTAGCTGGGATTACAGGCACATGCCATCATGCCTGGCTAATTTTTAGTATTTTTAGTGGAAATGGGGTTTTGCAGTGTTGGCCAGGCTTGTCTCAAACTCCTGACCTCAAGTGATCTGCCCACCTCAGCCTCCCAAAGTGCTGAGATTACAGGCGTGAGCCACCATTCCTGGCCTGGTTCTTTCTTAAAATGGCCTTTTCATCTTCCATCTCCTGTATTATTTTATTATATTTCTTAGAATCCTTGGATATGATTTTGACTTTCTATTGAATCTCAGTGATCTTTGATATGGTTTGGATTTGTGTTTCCGCCCAAATTGCATGTCAAATTGTAATCTCCAGTGATGGAGACAGGGCCTGATGGGATGTGATTGGATCATGGAGGCGGGCCTCCCCCTTGCTGTTCTTGTTAGAGTGAGTGAGTTCTCATGAGATCTGCTTGTTTAAAAGTGTGTAGCACCTCCCCCTTCACGCTCTTCTTTCTGTTCTGGCCATTAAAGATGTGCCAGCTTCTCACTTTCCACCATGATTTTAGTTTCCTGAGGTCTCCCCAGAAGCAGAAGCCTGTACATTCTGCAGAACCATGAGCTAATTAAACTTCTTTTCTTTATAAATTACCCAGTTTCTGGTATTTCTTTATAACAGTGTGAGAACAGACTAATACAGCAAATTAGTACTGGGAAGTGGGGCATTGCTATAAAGATACCTGAAAATGTGGAGGCAGATTTGGAACTGGGTAATAGGCAGAGGTTGGAAGAGTTTGCAGGGCTCAGAAGAAGACAGGAAGATGAGGGGAAGTTTGAAACTTCCTAGAGACTTGTGAAATTGTTCTGACCAAAATCCTGATAGTGATATGGACAATGAAGTCCATGCTCAGGTGGTCTCATATGGAGATGAGGAACTTATTGGGAACTAAAGTAAAGGTCAGTCCTTCTATGCTCTAGCAAAGAGACTGGTGGCATTGTGCCCCGCTCCGGGGATCTCTGGAACTTTGAACTTGAGAGAGATGATGTAGGTATCTGGTGGAAGAAATTTCTAAACAGCAAAACCTTCAAAAAATAGCCTGGCTGCTTCTAACAGCATATGCTCCTATGCATGAGCAAATAGATGATCTGCAACTGGAAATTCAAAGGGGAGCAGAGCATAAAATTTTGGAAAATTTGCATCCTGACCATGTGGTAGAAAATAAAATCTCATTTTATGGGGAGGCATGTAAAGAGGAGTGGAATGTTAATAGTCACAACAATAGGGAAAATGCCTTGAAGGCATTTCAGACACCTTCATGGCAGCCCCTCCAATCACAGGCTCAGAGGCCTAGGAGGAAAGAATGGTTTCATGGACCCAGCCTAGGGCCCTGCTCCCCTGTGCAACCTTGGGACACTGATTCTTGCATCCCAGCCATTCCAGCTCCAGCATGGCTAAAAAGGCCCCAGCTATGTCTCAGGACACTGCCTGTGGCATTCAGCCTATGGGTGCACAGAGGGCAAGAACTGAGGCTTGGGAGCCTCCCTCTAGATTTCAGAGGATGTATGGAAATGCCTAGATGTTCAGGCAGAAGTCTGCTACAAGGACGGCCTCATGGAGTACCTCTACTAAGGCAGTGTGGAGGGGGAAATGTGGGGTTAGAGACCCCACCCAGAGTCCCCACTGGGACACTGCCTAGTGGAACTGTGAGAAGAGGGCCACCATCCTCCAGACCTCAGAATGGTAAATCCACTGACAGCTTGCACCATGTGCCTTGAAAAGCCATAGGCACTCAATGTCAACCCTTGAGAGAAGCTGCAGGGGCAGAGTTGCCCAGGCCTTGGGAGCCCATCCCTTGTATCAGTGTGGCCTGGAGGTGAGACTTGAAGTCAAAGGACATTATTTTCAAGCTTTAAGATCTAATGACTGCCTTGCTGGGTTTTGAGCTTGCTTGGGGCCTGTAGCTGCTTTGTTTTGGTCGATTTCTCCCTTTTGGGACAGGCATATTTATTCAGTGACTGTACTTGCATTGTATCTTGGAAGTTACTAAGTTGTTTTTGATTTTACAGGTTTATAGGCAGAAAGGACTTGCCTTGTGTCAGATTAGATTTTGGACTGTGGACTTTTGAGTTAATGCTGAAATGAGTTAAGACTTTGGGGGACTGTTGAGAAGAGGCAATTGTATTTTTCAATGTGAGAAAGACATGAGATTTGGGAGAAGCTGGGGAAGAATGATATGGATTGGATTTGTGTCCCTGCCTAAATCTCATGTCAAATTGTAATCTGTAATGTTGGAGGTGGGGCCTAGTGGGATGTGATTGGATCCTGGGGGCAGACTTCCCCTTTGCTGTTCATGTGATAGTGAGAGAGTTCTCACAAGATCTGGGTGTTTAAAAGTGTATAGACCCTTCCCCTTTATTCTCTTCTTCCTGCTTCAGCCATGTAAGATGTGCCAGCTTCACCTTTACCTTCTATCATGATTATAATTTTTCTGAGGCCTCCCCAGAAGCGAAGCCTGTACAGCCTGTGGAACCATGAGCTAATTAAACTTCTTTTCTTTATAATTTACCCAGTTTCAGGTATTTCCTTATAGCAGTTTGAGAACAGATTTGTACAATCTTC
Organism: Homo sapiens; assembly: GCF_000001405.40. NCBI lineage: Eukaryota > Metazoa > Chordata > Mammalia > Primates > Hominidae > Homo > Homo sapiens. Next base: position 177,532,752 of record NC_000001.11, on the reverse strand, counting down.
ATTCCTATTCATATTCTGAATTCTTTTTCTATCATTTCAGCTATTTCAGCCTGGTTAAGAATCATTGCTGGGGAACTAGTGTGGTTGTTTGGAGGTAAGAAGACACTCTGGTTTTTTGAGTTGCCAGAGTTATTGTGCTGATTCTTTCTCATCTTCGTGGGCTGATGTTACTTTGGTCTTTGAAGTTGGTGTCATTTGAATAGGCTTTCCACCCCCTCCTTTTATCCTCTTAGATGTTTTAGGGGCTTTGGTTTTGGTCTAAGATGAGTTCAGTCAACTGGCTGACGATTAGGGGGACAAATATCAGTTCAGGACTCCTATGCTTTGTGCTCTGATTCTGAGGGCCTGCCAGCTTTGTTTTCTGGACACTTGAGGTTAGAAACCTGCTGTGCTGGAGTGGCCAAGGTGTTTGCAGACCTCTGGTAACAACACTATGATGGGTGGTGCCAGCCAAGGCACTTCATCAGGTGGTGGCAGCAGAATTCATGGACATTTCCATGTTCTAGCAGCAGCAGCAGCAGCAGCAGCAGCAGCACAGCACATGCTTATTGACTGAAATGGGGGACTGACAGGTGCAAGGGTGCCAGTCTCCATGCAGGCATTCACTATCTTTGGTTTTAAATGTGTTTCCTGGATTCTAGAATGTCCCAGAGCCCTCCCTGTAGATCTCCCAGTACCTGTAAGTAACAAGACAACAGAAGATATGGCAGAGCCATGTGGGCCTCATTAAACATAGGATATGGAACAGTGAAGGTGTGCTTGAGCTTAGCAGGCAGAAGCAAGAGTTCTCTTTTTATTAATGAGTTGTAGGAATTTTTTATATTAACTAGATATCAGTCTGTCAAATACCAGTTTTACCAATATTTTCTTCCACCTCATGGCTTGCCTATTTTATTTTCTTAATGTTTTCTGAATGAGTGGAAATTTTCAATTTTGATGAAGCCTAATTTGTCATTTTTTTCTCTTTTTATGGTTATTGATTTCTGTGTCCAGTCTAAGAAGGTTTTTCTTACTCCCAAGTTACAATGATATTGTCTTATTAGTTTTAGTTTTCACTTTTGGGACTAGGAGTTATTATAAATTAATGTTTATGTATTGTGTGAGGTCAGGGTCAAAGTTTTTTCATATGTTCATATCTAGTGTTTCATCATTTGTTAAGTAGAGATTCCTTACCATATTAGGTTACTTTGATTTTTACCAAAAATTAAATGACCATGTAAGTGTGGGTATATTTCTGATTTATATTCTGCCCCATGATGCAATCATCACTTTACTGACTCTTATGGCAGTAACACCTTCCTTGGTTACAAAAGCTTTATAATTCTGAAATCGTATGGTAAAAATTCTGTAACTTAATTTTTTTTCAATATTGGCTTTGGATTTTCAGGTCTTGCGTTTCCATATACACTTTAGGATGAGATTAACAGTTTCTATAAATAAGTCTGTTGGGATTACTATTGGACTTGCTTTCAAATAATGTGAAGCTTGCTTCACAAATTATGTGAAGAATTGTGGAGATCAGTTTGCCAATAATTGACATCTTAAAAATATTAGTTTTATAATCAATGAACATGGTATATCTTTTCTCTTACATTTTAAATTTTTCTGCAATGTTTGTAGTTTTCATTTTACAGGTATTATGTGAAACTTATTAAAGTGTTTTGTGATTTTTGATGACATTGGAAGTAGAGTTGTTTTTAATTAAATTTTATAATTGCTATTACTATGTAAAATACAATTAATTTTGTATATTATCTTTATATTCTACAATTTTGCTAAGTGCACTTATGAGTTATATTAAATGTTTTGCAAATTTATTAGAATTTTCTGTGTTAACAATCATGTCTCTGGGCACAGTGGCTCATGCCTGTCATCCCAGTACCTCAGAAGGCCGAGGTGGATGGATCTCTTTATGTCAAGAGTTCAAGACCAGCCTGGCCAACATGGCAAAACCTTGTCTCTACTGAAAATACAAAAATTAGCTGAGCAAGGTGGTGTGCACCTGTAATCCCAGCTACTCAGGTGTCTGAGGCAGGAGAATTGCTTGAATCTGGGAGGCGGAGGTTAGATTGAGTTGAGATCATGCCACTGCATTCCAGCCTGGGTGACAGAGTGACACTCTATCTCAAAACAACAACAACAATCATGTAATTTGCAATTAGACAGCTTTACTTCTTTTTAAATTTTTGAGCCTTTTATTTATTTATTTTTCTTCACTTGCCCTGGCCATCACCTAAGTAAAATGTTGAATCGGAACAGTGAAAGTGGGCATCCTTGCCTTGTTTGTATCTTTTAGGAAAAGTATTTAATCATCATTAAGTATGATGACAATTTTTCATTTTTATCAAAACCATTGATCATCTTAATGAATTTTCTTCAATTCTTCATTTTATTTGATTTAAAAATATGAATTGCCATTACAATTTGTCAAATGTTTTGGGGGAGAATTGGAAGATATTTGCCAAAGGGTACAAAGTTTCATTTAGAAAAGATGAATAAGTTCTGGAGATATGCTGTGCAGCATGGTATCTATAGTAATAATAATATATTGTATTCTTGAAAATTCTGGAATTAGTAAATCTTAAATATTCTCATCACACAAAACGAAGTATGTGAGATGATAGAGATGTTAACTAGCTTGATTTAACCATTTCATAATGTATACACATATCAAAATATCATATCGTACACCATAAAGATATATAATTTTTATCAATTAAAGCTTTATAAAGTTGGGAAAAATAAAAACAAACAGACAAACCTGAAAGTGCATGTACCCAAAAACAAATTAAAGAAACTCAAAAAAGAGAAATTTAGTCAGGTGTTTTCTGTGCATCTATTGATGTAATAAAATAGCTTTTCTCAACCATTTTGTTAATGTGTTGAATCGCATTTATTTTTAAATGTTATACTTACATTGCATTCTTAGAATACATACCACTATATCTTAATGCAATATCCTATTTACATATGACCGGACGCAGTTTAGTTAACATTTTTGTTAAGTGAGTCTACACTTTGTTCATGAAAGATATTGTTCCCTCTCTCTATGTAATGTTTTATTCAGGTTTTGCTATTAGTTTTATTCTGGCCTCATAAAAATTAATTGGAAAGTGATTTCTTTTTTTCTCAAAGAGGTTGTGTACATTTGGTTTTATTTCCTCCTTAGATGTCTGATAGAATTCATCAGTAGAACCACCTGAGCCTAGAGTTTTCTGTGTGAAAAAGTTTTTGATAATAAATTCAATTTCTTTACCAGCAGGTATATGGGTCTTCCTATTTTCTGTTTTATCTTGTGTCAGTTTAACAAGTGTGTATTTGGAGAAATTTGTTTATTTCATTTAAGCTGTACAATTTGTTAGCATAAAGCTGTTTATAATATTACCCACTTATATTTTTTAATGTGTGTACAACCTTTAATGAAAACCTCCTTTTTGTTCCTGATATTGGTAATTTGTATTATCTCTCTTTTTTTTTTTTTTCTATGATGTAGTCAAAACCAGACAATTTTGCTGGTCTTTTCTAACACTAACTTTGGCCTTGTCATTTTTTTCCTATTGTTAATTTTCTATTCTGTATTCTCATTTTTATTTCCTTCTATCATAACCTTATTAGTATGTGTCTTATCTTTACAGTGGTAAAGGTTAGGAATAGAGAGACCTCAATTTTTAAAGTAAGAATTAAATGATAACATGTGTTCTGGTGCACAGTAATAAATAGATGGTATTCATTCTAATTATTATGAACACTTTCCTGATACTTCCTGTGAAGTTTTCTATAAGTTTCTAGTTAAGAGTAATTGATATAAAGTATTGTCATTGGTATTTATGTGGGGGAAATTTTAACTAGGTAGCGATCAACAGGTTAATATTTTACAGTTTTTACTGGCTAAAGTTACAAACATTTGTAAGGCTGCATTCCCTTCAAAATGGAAACGAAACAGGGACTCTTTTTACTTGGATGAAGCAATCTTCTCCTAGAATGTAGATCAGTTGCTTACCGTCTGATGAGGGCATTTTTGCAGACCTGTGCTGACCTCAGCATCCCAGTCCCATTTATTACATTGAGTGAGATAGCCTAGGGTCGAAAAGAGGTAGGAATGTATAGAACCTGGTATCTATGATGACCTTGAATAAGAGAAAAAAATTATAAAAATGAGAAAGTCAGGTATGGAAAGGTAGAATGAAATTATTTCTTGTTGAGACCCAACAATATGAGAAGACCATGTTAGGTACTTCCTGTACTCTTTGCTATTCCTAACAAAATGGATATAAAATATCCATTTTAGAGTTAAGTATATCCAAGGTTATAGTCAGCTGTGCAATGAGATATGAAAGCCCATTTCTTAGCACTACATAAAGTCTGTACACAGCCCCCAATGTAAAGTAGATAGCCATACACCATTGCCAGCATCGGTATGGTGTCAAACGGTGGTGTCAACTGGAGTATGCATTAAGCAAACATGTTAACACTCTTCTTCAACCCCAGAATTTAAAATATCCTCGGATGTGAAGTGGGATAAAAGCTCTTTAGAACTTCAAATAAGCTTTTTTTTTTTTTTCTTTTTTGGTGGGGTAAGGTGGTAGCGGGAGGGTTGTATACAATAAAACAACTGTAGACTTTCCAGTTTGTGTTTTGTTGGAAGGTAATGAGGCCTACGGAATTTAAAACATCTCCAGAAAAGGAGGCTGCAAAAGTGCTTTGTGCACTGGATGCATTAAGTTGAATATAAAGCTACTGTTTGTATATAAAATCTCTTGACATAATTGTAAAGCTTTACTCCGATTAGGAAAACACATGCACTGAAATTCAGGGTCTTGAATACAAGACCCAATAAAAACAACTCTCAAGCATCCTAACATGCACTTCAAAGGAGCGTTTTGTCTCTGTCAATATGTAGTCTACAGTGCATTTAATTTTCTGAGGAAATCCCTGTGAGCATTTTGCTAAATGGGTAATCAATCTACCTGATCTTGCCCAGTTCAATTAAAGCACAGCTACAAGAGCACAGACAGTCCTTCCCACAGTGAAAGTGGCAAACAAGGTTAGCAAATGGAGGCTTGGGGCCCAGCTGGAGCATGCCCATTTATCCCATTGTCCTCAGGCGCATGAAGGGCAGGAAAATGGCAAAGGACAGCCAGTTTGCCACTTTCTCACATGCCGAGTCTTCTTTTGTTTTTCATTACATGCTGTTTTTCTCATTACAAGCTGACTCCTCCCTTGGCTTTGTCTATTTCTTTCCCTCACTCTTCTTTCTTCTCCTCCTCTCCTCTTTTCCTCCTCTTTCATCTCCTTTTTCTACTTCCTCTTCCTCTCTTTCTCTCTCTTTTCTTTATTTTATATGCTGCCTTTTGTTGCTTTGATGAGAGTTCTCAATAAACAAATTCAATATATATTGGCTATGTTGCTTATAATATAGTAATAAGCATGGTAATCTAGAACTCATTACCAAAGATTTTGGAAGCCAGATATGCTACTAAGAGGGGCTTTGTCAGACTCCCTTTTTCAGAGGTAGAATGAGCCATAGCTATCATTCATTCTTTCAACAAAGAATTTATTTAGTATCAGGCACTGTTCTGGGTTATGAATATAGCAGGAAAAGAAAAGAAATACATGCCTACAAAACTTTCATACTTGGCAGGGAATGGAGAGACATATGTAATTTAAAAAGTAAATTACATAGTATATTGAAGGTGGTAAGTACTGGGGAGAAAATAGAGGAGCGCAAGGAGGATGCAAATGCTGTAAGGTTGCAATTTAAGAAGGGGTTTCAAGGTTGGCCTTGCTGATGTAGTAACATTTGAGCAATACTTAATGGAAGAGAAGATGAAGGAGTACCTTGTATTTCTCTCTGGGAGGCTATCCAGAGGAAATAGCAAGTGCAAATGCCCCAAGGTGGGAGCACGTTTGGAGTATTTGAGAAACACAAGGAGTAGAGCATTTAGGGCTGAATTTTCCAGTAAAATTGCTATTTAACTTTTATGTGTAGTTTCAGGTATTTAATTATCATTTGTTGGTGTATACTAAAGACAGAGTAGTTGATTCCAAAGGGACTCGTAGAGGAATTCATGCAAGATCAGAAAGTGCACAGATTGCTAGACCCAAAAGGAGAACCTAACAGGTTGTTGGAATATCATAGAAGGTTCAGGGAGGTGAAAATACCAGGCTTATATGAGCATTTTATCAAATGCTTGCACATGAGCTCATTGAAAAGACTGCTACAAGAACACATACCTCCAGTGCATAAAATGCAGGCAAACCAGTAGACTTAGGATGAAGAACACATCTACTGTATTTCAGCGCTTATTTGTTCTCTTCCTTCTCAAGCTTTACTCTCAGCAAATGCCTCCAGCCTTACTGAGGACATCATGGCCATCTGATCTTAGCTTCCTCACCTTTGCCTCCACCCAGGCTTGCCCCTAAGGCCTTTCTTTCTTCCCATAAGCTCCCTCTTTCTGACTAAGCCCCAGCCTTCTTTAGCATTCCTCCCAAACTTCTATCCATAGAAGCTGTAAATTTTCCCATTTGATTACCTCATTTTTTCCTGCTTTCTAATGAGAGCAGGAGGGTTTTTGTTTGTGGGAGGGTTTTTGTTCATTGCTTCTCTTACTTATTATTGGATATTCACAAAGCTGGTACTTCCTGGTACCAAGTAAACATCTCATAAATGTTTGTAAGCAGAATGAATGGTAGTTCTCTTTTACTTTCAAACAAAAATAATCCCCTTTATTGTGTTTCCAGAGGTAGTGAGAGACATGCATGGACGGGGCATTCTCCTTCATTTCTCCATCTCGCTCCTAACTCCTACTTTCCCATTTTCCTAAAGAGCAGGTCCTCCCAAAGCCCTAAACCTCAGAATTTTACCTATGTCAAAGTTATCCATTTCTTCTCTTTCTCAATCAAAAGCCCCATTCCCTCAACAGAGAGCATTTCCCTGGAAAAGAAGGAGGTAAATAATCTGATTGAAGTTATTGACTTTGATGTCCCAATAATTACATCAGAGCCCTCTTGGGGAGTATCTGAATTTTCAAAAGAGGGAGAAAGCTTGTTCATCTCCATATTTTGATCTAGAAAACCTCAGAAAAAAAACTATCCATGAACTTTAAAAGAACTCATTTAGTTTGGGAAAATTATTGCCTGTTTTTCTTTATGAGAGACAGTCCCTTGGGATTGTTCTTTGTAAATCTGTCCTTTGTCCCTTCAAACCTTTCAAGTGCTCTGTCTCTTCAACCTTTCAAGTGCTCTGTCTCTGGGTCTCATCATGGTTATTTTCAAACACCAATTTTGAGCTCTCTGTCCTGCAGCTGAGGCATCTCAGAGTGACATTTCCTATCAGGCCTGCAAGTGCATCTGACATAACTCTGATTGTCCCATATCAGTGCTATGAGAGTCCAGCCAGTTTCTGTGATTGTGGGGTAGAAGGCAATCCCGGCCAATGGGTTAGCTCTGTTTCACTCAGCAGGCTCTTCAGCTAAAATAGCTTAAAGGGCCACTCAAGGGGCAAAGGCGAAGAGGACAAAAGTGTAGTTTGGCAAATCAGCAATCCTATTGAAAACCATTTCCAGTGGTTTTGGCATCAAGGGAAGATGTGCTGTGTGGAAGGGCCTGACATGCCTGAAGCAACTGTAGTGGCTCTCTAAATAGTAAAAAAATTTAGAAAATAAGGCTGGGTGGGCAGGAAATGTAGACACCTTCAAATTACTTTAACTTCTCTGGTTCTCTTGCCAGATTGATTTCTTTCATTAGGGGAAGTTACTTCCATCTACATACCATTCTAGCCTCAGGAGGTAAGAGACTGATTTAGTAGTGTTAATTTAGAAGTGTCCTGAGTTTTCAGGAATTTATTCTTTAATATTTGAATGCCCATATGTGACACTTGGATTAATCGACTTGATTTGGGTGTAAGTCTTTTGTGAGTTAATGCCTCAAGTTAAGTCGGAAATATAATTTTGAATTAGTGGTGCCGTCATCTTGGACATCAAGGCTAGAAGTAAGTGATTAGAAAATTGTTTTCAGCACAAGCCCCAGTTAAAGCCCATAGTCACTTCTTGTTTCCTATTTTATCTGCCTTAACCTCTTTAGCCTCACATTCAGGACCCTGAACCAAAGATTTCCTCATCTTTCCTTAATTGTTGGCCAGTGCCCTCGATAGAAGCATTATTGCTCCTTCCCTACCCTCAGGAAGGAGGTATGGAAGTATGCAGGAATTTTCATAATCACAAATACTTGGGAGCAGTACCAGCATTTGATGGGTGGGGTTTAGGGATGCTAAAAGTTCTGCAACGTTTGGTAGTCCTACAAATGAAGAATTGTCCCCCTGCTTCCAATGCCAGAAAACACCCATTGATAAATGCCATTTGTCTGACTCTATCAGCTTTACAATTATCCCTCTGCCCTAGCTCACATCTTTGTCCTCCTCCTCATTTGTATTATTGCTTACTGTCTCTTCTTTACACATCTGTCTATGTCTATCCCACCTGAGATATCCACTCACATACTGTCTACCTCTCTGAATTTATCCTTAAAGACTCAGCTTTTTCTTCACATCTTTCTTGAAACCTTTCCCAACCTTGCCACTCTGAGTAACCTCCTAATACCATGAATCTCCCTCCCGTCTATTTTATGCATCACTCTCAGGAGAATCCATCACAGTCTTTTGTTTGTTTTTGAACTTTTTGTGTCTATTATTCTTTCCTAAGCTCCTAGAGAGCAGTCTTGTGTCATATACTTCTCCATCATTTGTTTCGTCTTCTATCTCTGTAATCTTCTACTCTAGCTAAATAAATCTACTTTCTTTCCCCCAAACATTGTATGGCAGCGACTACTATGTGTCCACCACAGCCTACTTCCTTGTCTCTTAGACAGTCAATGAGGCTTCCCTTGCCGTAGGTGTTAGGTCTGAGTTTTAGTCAAAGGAATGTGGGCAAAAGTGAGATATATCACTTCTAGGTCTGGCACATGACATTTTTCCATGTATAATCCATCCTTACTCTTTGTCTTTCCCATCCACCAACTAAAGGGAGAAGATGTCAAAGACCCAAAGGAGAACAGAGCCACAACACAACAAGAGTTAGGTCCTTAAATGACTAGGCAGAAGGTGACTCCCTCACTGGGAACTGGGGACATCTGTATTGAACTCTATATGAACAAGAAATAAAGTTTAATTTTGTTTCACACTAAGATTATTGCAATTTTGTGATCATAGCAAGCGTTACTAACACACACCATATCCTTTCTCATCTACGTGAACTTACTTTCATTTGCTTTCATTGCTTGGAATGAGTTTCCTCTTCACATGTTTAAATTTTATGCTTCATCTGATGCCAGATTAATTCCTGCCTCCTCCAAGGAACTCCCTCCAGTTTCACCAATCCAGAGTGACTTCCTCTCCAAATGCTTGAAAATCACATAGACTACTTTTCCATTCGATTGGCAAATGATATAATACTGCATTTATTTTTATTTAGCTTTAATGTGTATATTCTATCTTCTCTGGTAAATTTTAAGATCTGTCAAAGTAGTACCTTTGTCTTATGCTTCACAGTATTAGGAATGTTGTAGATGCTCAGGAAATAATTGTAAAATGAACAGATGGCCTTTTAAAAAATTTTACATATTATCTCTTCTTATTGGCTTAACTTATGTTATAGTATTTTGCTCCTTCCATGGATGATTTTGGTGTCATTTCTTGTTTCTGTGTCTACTTCTTAGAAATGCTTCACAGAAATGCTGGTGCAAGAAAATTATACCTTCTTCATATCCATTCTCTTTCACTGTATTTACTTTTAAGTGTTCTTTATTTACACGTGCTTAATATATGTTAGTTGAATGAATGAATCTATTCTCTCCTCTGAACTTAGAAAAGAATATATGTAAACTAGACTAAACCTCATGCTTTAGGAGATATCAAAACATCGTATCATATTTATTTTCTTTGGTATTATGAGAGTCATTGCATAGGGTTGGCTGACTATTGTGAATGAGGTCAATCATTACTATATCAACTTTTTTATCTAACAAAAGAAAAGATTCTTCAGTCTGTTACTGTAGTCTGATCATTACTTCTGCTGGTTTCATATTTGAGTTAATGTATATGCGTATGATATGTTTTCCAAATTAGTGGGGTAATCTGATGAGACTTTTCTTCCAAGAGATTTGTTTGAAGGAAAATCTACTACTGAGGCAAATGCCTTGTCAAGAAATCAAAATTATTGACTCTGCTCTTCTTTCTTCATTACTAAACCTTGAGACCCCATTCAGAAATCAATGGTGACCATAAAGAGGAGGTGCACAGAATCAAGCTTCAGGATACCTGACCTCTTTTCCCAATAGTTTGATCCTTAGAAATCCACCTCTTTCTGCATCGTTCTATTCAGAGGAAAATGGGTCAATATATTTCTCACTTTCTTTTTCATGTCTTATTAGGGTCAATGAGATAATGCTAATAACCACATAAGTAATTTCTGACTAATGGACAGATAACAGGCACACATTTTCATAATATATTGGTGTTAAAAACCTTTGCAATCAATGTGAAACAGATAGCTTAAGTCATTAACTAGTCCCAGTTACTTGCATGTATCAGACAGATGTGGCACTAGCAACAGGTCTGCATCCTTTGGTTATATCCCTGAGTTTCTGTCAGCCTTGAAAGGGGCAGATGTTAGGCCAGAAAGGAGGAGGACAGTGCCTGGGAAATTCCTAAGTAGCAAGATGCGAAGACTCCTTCACTGAGGAAGTTAGCAAGGTGGTGAGCCAGGGGTCTAGTTGTTGGTGCTGTCAGGGAGAGCCATGGAGAAGGACCCATTTATGGTAGAGTATAGGAGCCATGAAGGGTGTAGGAAAAATCCAGTGACTCAGAGCAAGGCAATACAAATTATGAACTAATTAGAGTTTTAATTTAAAGACTGCCAGTACTTTTCTATAAACTGTCTCATTCACTAATTATGTAATATGTCTATTCAACCGAACTGCCTGCTTAATATGGGCATGGGCCAGACATCTTGTATGTCTACCTTGTGTCTAACATGATGCTAGACACATTGGAAGTATTTGGTACGTATCTGTCAGAGGATTGATATTTGTGCTTAGTTTCTGTTTGGTTCATTCTTTTCTCTTTCAGGTTTGGGGACTGATTTTTTGTAGCTGCATTTAGGTATTCATTTTCTTATTCACTCAACAATTATGCATTAAATGCCCAAAACTGTGCTAAGAGCTAGAGATATAGACAAAGTTTATACCACCAGAGAGCTTATATTCTTCATTGATATAGAAATAGACATATCTACCATATATATGGATTGAAAGACAGATGCAGAAATAGATATATCTATCATCTATCTATCTATCTATCTATCTATCTAATCTATATCTGTCTATGAAATATAAACAGAATTCTAAATGAAGTTGGGAAGGAATTCATGCAAATTTCTAGAGAAAGAGAATTCTAGTCAAAAGAATTGTCTAGTTTCTGACGCATACATGTGCTGGCTGTGTTGGAGGAGCAGCAAGGAGGCCCGTGTGACCAAAGAGTAGCAGCAAGGGGGAGAATTATAGGAAATGAGTTCGAAGAGTTAGGCAGGGGCCAGATTACTTAGGGCTTTTACACAGTGGTAAAGACTAGAATTTATTCCAGGTGAAATGGGAAGACATTGAATGGCTTTGAGCAAGGGGTAGACCTGATCTGATTTCCTTCTCAGTAGGAATGTTCTGGCTGTCTTGTGGCATATAGATGTAAGGGGTAGAGGGTGCAGAGAGTCTCTTGTTGTGATCCAGAGAGAAATGGTGGTGGCCTGAAATAGGAAGCAGTAGTGAGTTTGGTCTTCTTAGATCACCCTGATTATTGACAATGTGGAAGGGTGAGATTTCATTTTACAAGTTTGAGTGACTGGCCCTACAATACTACTTTGACATTAGAGCACTGCTGGTCTTGCTTTTGAAAACTGTGACTTTGTTATTCTAGGGCCTCAAGTCCTGATCAGAGCAGGTTCTAGAACCTAGGAGTACTAAAGTCAGTGTAAGAAAAATTGAAAGAGAAGCAGAAGATCTAGAAATAATGAGATATGGCTTCTGGTGTTACAGCAACCCCTAACAATGCTGAAGGTTGTGCCCTCACTTCCTTTCATCCCATTTTTGTCTCAGCTCATTGGCTTCCATGCCCAGCCCTTTAGTAGAAACCTGCTTTGCCCAGGCCATAGCTGACCTCTAGATGGGCATGAGATGCCTGCATTTCAGTTATTGTCTTTCTTAACTCTCTGCACTGAGCAGCACTGGGCACCATGTTCTCTCTTGGTTTCCAGAACATCACACTCTGCTCTTTTGTCTTCTACCCTTCTGATGGTCCTTCTCCATGTCCTTTGCAAGTTCTTACTCTGTTCACTTTTTAAATGTTAGTGTTCCCCAGAGTTTTATTCTTTACTCTCTTATCTTACTCTTTCCATTCTCCTTGGGGCTTCCATCCTGTACAAGGGCTTAAGCCATCATGGATATGCAGATATCCCCTCTCTCAATATCTTTATCTCTAGTTTTAACTTGGGAGTTGAGCCTCAGACTGCTAGACCAGTTGCCAACTGGCCACTGCTACCTGGATGTCACATAGCCACCTTAAACTGAATGGTTTCTAAACTGAATTTGCAGTCTCAACCTTCCCCAGGCTCATTCTGCTTTTCTTTCTTTATTCTGCATCCCAGTTTGTGGAGCCATCCTGCATTGATCCTTCTTTTTATCCTATCTTCATCCTCTATCAATCACTAACCCAATTAGATGATTTTACTTCCTAAGTATATTTTAACCCCTCCCTTCTACTCATTCCTGTAAGCACTGCCCCAGTTGAGGCTTTCCTCACCTTCTACCTGGACTTGTAACTCATTTCTCTGCCTCCTATTCATTGTCTTTACTTCCTCAGAGATCTACCTAGCCTGTAATCTGGGCATGTCACTCTTTTGGAGTAAATTCTCCAAAAAGTCACTGACACATACAGTGTACTCTCTGGCTTCTCAGAGACCAAGCCGGGCTGTTCACCATCAGGTCCTGGCTCACCTTCCATTGTGACACACCTGAAATCTGTCTCTGTCTTCACTATTGTTCACACTCCAGGTCATTAGATTCTGGTAATAGTTTTTTTTTTTTTTTTTCAGACAGTCTCACTCTGTTGCCTAGGCTGGAGTGAAGTGGTGTGATCTTGGCTCACTGCACCCTCTACCTCCTGGGTTCAAGAGATTCTCCTGACTCAGCTTCCTAAGTAGCTGGGACTACAAGCGTGAGCCACTGCACCCAGCTAATATTTGCATTTTTAGTAGAGATGGGGTTTCATCATGTTGGCTGGTAATATTTCTTATTCTCTAATCATATCAGGTTTTAGACCTATGGTCATGGCATTTCCTTGCCTGAGAAGCCCTTCTTTCTGATCTGGATTATTCTGAGTCTTTAAAACTCAACTCAGTGATACATGGCCTCTGGGATACCTTCTTTGCTATTCGCAAAATAGGTTCCATGCCCTTTCGTGGTGTCTCTGGTGCCCTCATAACATCCTGCACTCATCACCATGGCATTATCAATAGTAATTATATGCTTATGTGTCTGTTTTGGAAACTCTCTGAGCCTTTGTGTCCTGATCTGTAAAGTGGGGATAATAGTAGTACTTAGAAGACTTTGGGGAGAATTAAATAAGAAAATTTATGTTATGAGTTCAGAACAGTGACTGGTACATAGAAAACACATTCACTGATAGCTACTTGGTAATAGCATTAATATTATTATAACTTATTTATAAAAATTATATAATAATTAAGATTAATGATAATTATACTATAATAAGATTATTAATAACAGTTATTTCATACCATATTATTACATGGCTGAGAGCTCCTGAAGGGCAGAAGCTATTATAATAATATGACTATGATTATAATAAAAATATTATTAATAACTAACACCTATAATATAGTATAATATAGTATAGTATAGAATAGAATAGTATATGCCAGACACTGAGCAAAGCAAAGAATATCAGTTATCTCCCAAACACCTATGAGTTTTACAGATGAGTGAATGGGTGCTTAAAGTGTAATTACTTAAACTCACAGAGACAGTAAAGGGCAGCCCTAGAGCTTGGCCCTGATTCTAGTTTAACTTCACTCTAGGACCTCAGCTGCCACCCTGCAATATTGCTGAGCACCAGAGAAATGTGAGGCATATAGTAGGTGGTCAAGTTTATTACCTCTCTGGTGGAAACTACCAAGTATTGCCCCAGACCGTAAATGCAAATGGCTTAGGAAGCTGGTGGTCCCAAAGGATGCTAGATCACCATTCATACAGCTGAATTAACACACTATTGATGAAAAGGACTCCCCTAAACTGTGCCTCTCTAATTATTTGACTATTAGACAATTAGAGGGATATTGAAAACTGGACATGTCCACAATAATCTGAGTCTCTCTGCTTTCTAAAGTTAGTGATGCATAGTTTTAATCATGGGAAACATGGACAACAGCTTGAGCTGAAAATAGAGTGCACTCACTCTCTGGCTGCAGCATAAACTCTTGGCCCAGTTATGTGGAAGGCCATAATTTTCAGATTATGTTGTTCAGCCCTTGAGAACAACATTGCAACAAGTTAAACAGATATCAAAGCAGACTGAAATTACTGACCCTGAAGGGCTCATTTTCCTAAGATTAAAGACAAAGACACATAGCAGAAAATGTGCTGGAGCAGAAAAAAATGGAGAAAGAGAATACTTACTTATTGAGCAGTTATTACATACTAAGTATTTTACATATACTGGTCCATTTAATACTCACCAGAATCCCATGAATTAAATAACATTATCCTTATTTCTGATGAGGCAAAGGGAGGCTTGTAAGTTGCCTGCATCACAGAGCTGATGACTTTGCTTTAGTGGCCAGCCATTCTTTGCTTGCCTAGTTTGTTAAAATCCTTCAGGTCGTAGAGTAATTTCCTCAGGAAATTCTCATACCAGAGCATACTTGTAATGGCATGGTGAGCTTTTAGCTCTCATCGTGCTGCAATGAAGGGTGACTCATGTCTTCCTGCTCAATTTGTAAACCCCATGAAGGTAGGGGCTGTATCTCTGGTTCACGCCTTTGTGACCAATAACTAGTGGCAGCACCTGGCTTGTGGTAGGTGCTCAGTAAATGTTTATTTAAATAGTACTCTTATCTTTACAAAGAAATGTCTGAATGACATGATCCATAGGTTCCTGCGAATTCTGTGTTTCTGGTGATAATGTTTAGACCAAGCAAAAGACTTCAGTAGGACTTAACGTTCCCAGTCACTGATGCTATGGGAAGGGCATGATTGCTGGTGATGTGGGTTTTGGTCTTTGTCATAAGTCGTTCTGAGGCCTTTCTACTTTTATGCAGGCCCAGGCAAGGGCCCTTTAACCTCCCATTTCCTTCCCGTAGGGCTTGGAGAATGTTTGCAACCCTTTCATCTTTAGCATGGGTGCTGTTCACTTCGCCCTTGGAAATACTTCTCTCTCTAGATCTGGATAGGAAATGGGGCATCGTCTTCCCACAGAGACAAGCAGGCAAGCCTATTTCATTGCATAGAGTTTTGCCATGAATTGGCATAAAGACAATTGGGGGAACTAAAATAGTAATTAGAGAGCAGTGATAAAGTTTAAAATAACCTTTGTCCATTGTCAGGACACAAATCAGTTTCCAGTTTCTGCCCATGATTCTGGAATTAGGCTTTCTAGACCCTAATCCTAGCTTTTGGAACCTCAATTCATCATCCTTGAAATGGGGGGGTGGTGTCACAGTATCTATTAGGTTAAAACATATAAAATTGTCATTTTTGTAGGTCAAAAAGGGTCAAATCTCGACAATTTCATGTAGCTCAACTTAATATATCATAGGATTGCTGTGTAGATGAAATGAATAATGCATGTAAGGCACTTGTCATAATGCCTGTCCCAAAAGTACTCAATACATGCAAGCTATGATGATCCTAATGATTTTTATCTGAGACAGTGACTGAGGTCTTATTGACTTCTGCCGTCAGTTCAATTTTTCTGAGTGGTGCCAACAAAATGTCTAGTTTTTCCTAACCATTTTTTGAAAAGTAATGGGCAAGCAGGCAACCTTTGAAGACCACTTTTCCCAATATGTTGCCTTGAATATAATACTGGGGAAGAACGTTACGTATGGGTCCTCATGTTCCAAGTAGATGTGTTAAATCCCTCTATATGGAGAGAAGTCAATTTCCCAAGCTTCTCCATACATGAAATGATTACCTGAGAGGCTTTTCCTCATACCACTCACTTAATATTGCTGAGGCGCTGAATGAGTCACTTAATATTTGAGTGTCAGATAATTCATTTTCATTTTCAAACTAACATGTATTGTTGGATATTTGCTAGGTTTTAGGCAATTACATGCTGTTTTCACAAACAAAAATTTATCCTCATAACAATAGTCATTCATTTTTCATTTATTCCACAGCTATTTATTGAGTACCTACCAGATGTCAAAGTTTATGTTAGACAATGGATAACATGGTGACCAAGTCAGATATAGTACCTGGGAGCTTACAGTCTACTAGGAGAGAGAGAGATCAAATACATAATCTAAATAAAAAATGTAAAATTGCTGTTGTGGTATTATGAATGAGAATATATGGTGTATGGTAGCAAGAAATACAGAGCTTTCATCAAGTTTCTGAATGTTGGGCATAGCTGCCAACTAGCCCACACCATGCTTTTGAGAAAATTAGGTAAAAGATGTCTTAGGATGTGCACTTCTGTGTTAGGATATAGGAATTGGTGAGTGGAGTGTGACTAGATTCTACCCATCATTTTACCCTCAGCCAGATGATCTTGTGTAGGGTATAACCTGCACAAATGTACACAGCATCTTTGGTTCAGAGGAGGCTTCCTCAAGGAAATGATATTAGCAGTTATCATATGACAGAGAGAGAAGCTAAATGTGATTATGTGAAAATGTGTGCTTATATTCAGTAGAATTGAGAAAGTGGTGCTCCAGAGAACTGTGTGTGGAAAGGCCCAGCGGCAGGAAGAATCGGGACCCACTTAAAAACTATAAAATGTCCATTGAAACTAGAGGTCAGAGTCATGGAGAGGAAAGTATAAACTAAAGCCTGAGAAATAAGCAGAGATCAGAACTTGTGGGTCTTAGAAGGTATACTGATCTTCAACATGAGAGCAATGAATAGTCACTTAACTGTGCCCATAACAGGATGCCCATAACAGGATTACATTTTTGTTTGTCAAGATCACTTTGGATGTTAGAAAGGAAATGGATTGGAGAAAGGTATCAATTATGAATATGGAGACCTGTTAGGAGAATACTGTGGTTAGAAATGATGGTAGTTTGTCACAGTGTAGCATCCAAGGAAATGGAGAAAATAGTACCTGTTCAATAAATGTTAGGAGGTAAATTGGGTAGAAGTTGCTGATGGATTGAGTGTTGGAGATGAGGTGAGAAAGTAATCAATGATAATGCCAAAGTTTTTGACTTGTGGAATGATATAAATGGTGAAGCGATTCCCTAACATAGAGAATGGTGGAATAGGACTATGTTGCCTAGTGGAGACACTGAATTAGGGTTTCATCTGTGGCATCCAAGTGGAGTTATCAGCTATATACCAGCAAATCAGAGGAGAGATCTCTGTCAAAGATAGAAATTTATGAGGCACCTGTGGAAAATGAGAATTAAAGCCATAGGTATGGTTCAGATAATCAAAGAAGAAAATATAAATAAGAAAAGAAGGCTTAGCAATGAGCCTTTAGGAATTCCAAATTTATTGGAAAGACAGAAAAGATAAACCTTCCCATTTTTTGAGATCCATCTTCCAGAAACTAAGGCTCAGAGAAGTTGAGTAATTTGTTTAAGACACATGGCTGGCAAACGGTAAAGATGGAGTTTGAGCCTGGATATTTTATATTCCAGAGCTCTCTCACTCTTCCACTGTGTCACATATTGTAGCCTTTGAAAAATTAATTTTTGAAAACTTTGAAGAATATTTTCATTATATCATATAACATTTAACATTATATCATTCCATTGAGTTTCTATTTTTTCCTGTTCTTAAAAAGGCAGCCTAAAAGATTCACATTGTTCAGGGTAACGAGAGAAAGGCAAAATGAATGTTATAAGGAGGGATTAAAAACTAGAACTAGAAACTCTAACAGCTTCTGGGAGCCTGGAGTTCACTGACTTGACATAATTAGGTGTCCACTTAACACTCAGTAATTGAATGACTTTATGCCAACTTCTTTAAGAGAGAGAAAACTAGTGAGACATGCAGCAGACACCTCCAGGCTCTTTCACAAAAACCTTCACAGCAGCAATCTGCAACTCCTGCTGACTTATAACTGCATTATCACACCTCCAGGGAGCATGCAGACACTCCTTTCTCCTTGTCTTGGGTCAAAGAGCTGAAAACAGTCCCAGCAAGTCCTGAGAATGAGATGCTGAGCTTCTGTGGGTCTGCTATATGCAGTTCCTTCTCTTTTCACTAAAGCAGGTTCCCTGACAGTGAATGGCATGGGAATAAGTCCAAGAGTTCTGTGAAATAAACTGGAAATCAGAAAAAAAAAATGGGAAGAGTTTTCTAGGTCTACCCTGTCCTGGGATGTTGGTTGAAATTAGTTGTGTCTCGTAGATTCTTTCAACTTCTCCTCTCTTCTTTATATTTAAAGGTCAGTAGAAAATTTCAATTTTAATTTAATTAGGGCAAGAAAGTGATTCAATAATTTATGTGCTGGGCACATCTAAATAGATTATATTCTCTCACTCACCTAGACAGGTAAACAACAAACAAGGCTTTAAAATACCTTACTTAGAAATAAAAAAACTTGAAAAGAGCCCAAGTTAGGCAAAATTTGTGCTGTGCAGAAATTGGTTGCAGACAAAATTGACCCTTCTAGGGTAGCCGTTTAATATTCCTTTCTTTGCAGCAGTTCTAATTAATACTTAATCACCCTGGAACTAGCCTCTTCCTCGAGGAACTCATAGGGATCTTGAAGCTACCTCTGTCTAATTGACCAACTTTCAACTGGTGATGGTGACTTTCATTAGCTTGCCACAAAAACATTAAATTGAAGCAAGCAGAGATGAGACGATACCTCAGTATGTGAAAATGACTAAGAACACTGTGCTGTTCATTGCTTTTAGATTCTTGTGACCATTAGGTTTCTCCTAATATGATGGCATGGGTGAGCTAGAGCAATGAAGGAAGCACTGAACATGGAATCCAAGGACTTTGGATCCCTTGTCCCATTTGCCAATGGTGTGACCTTGCCAAGTCATTTAATATAATTAACCAAATATGCATTGAGTATAGCAAGGGAACTTGGCTATAGCCAAATAATGAGGTTTTCCAGGATATTTTAAGGAATTTAGACTATTTTCTTAGGGAAATGAGGAGTCAGAGGATAATCTTGAGCAGGAGAGTGACATGATCAGATGTGTATAGTAGAAAAATCTCCCTGGTGTCAGTGTCTAGGCTGGATTAAACAAGGGCAAGGATAGTGGTTGATCTAAAATACCTCATTGGCTTTATGGTAGATGTTATGCATGTAAAGTCTTCCGCAGGTAGTCTGTAGTCCTTACCACCTTGTGATTCACAGGAAGAGGCCGCTGACAATCCCCATGCTCCCTCATCAGTCCCATGTCTGCCAGAGTGCCCATTGTGATTAGGGTCCTGCCCCATTCCTAAATATGGTGGTTCTGCCTTCTCCACATTGCATACACTAGAACTCTGATGGAAGTTTAGGCAACTTTTTGCTTGAGGGATGAGGAGGCATTCTGAGATAGTCCAGAGTAAGAGGATGGAGAATTGGGACTCAGCCTCACAAAGCCATTCTCTTATACCACATAAGCGGTAGGGGAACTCTGCCTCATAGTTTAGGCATTCTTTGGAGGGAGATCCACATGAACACACCTCCTCTTTGGATCCCTCTCTATTTCTTCAATTCTCTATTGTCCTCTTTATACACCACTGTTAGGGCTTTCTCCTCAGATACGGGGTTTCCAATCTGCTCTTTCAGGAAACCCATGAGAAAATAATCTGAACCCTGTATGTCTACTTGTGTTTTGGAAACATTGGCATTCTAGATTTCAGGTGGGTTAAAAAAAGTAGATCCTTCCCTCTGCCTTGGGATTTGTTGCCTGTAAAGAGGAACAGGTTGGTTCTTTGAATGGGGTGATGGTGAGAAAGATAGATGAAGCTTCAATTCCAGTTCTATCTCTCCACTACTGAGGACTGAGATCAGTTTCTTTCCGAGTTACCTAAACACAAACATTTCTTGGTACAGAGAGTTGAAGAAATCAGTTTAGTCCCTGAAAAAAGAAAGCATATTCCTCTCATTGAAATGGCTTTAATCTTATGTCTTGAAAAACAAAAAGCTTGATAGTATTTTGTAAGGGGCATTTGGCTCCTTTTTGAAACTTTCTTTCCAAAGGGCCATCACATTGGTGGAAAATGGTACCTGAGTCATATGTGATCAAAATGCCACTCCCAAGTACTTTATTTTCAATCTCTAAATTTCTCCTCTGATAGAAGAAAGCTTTTTTCCTGCCTCATTAAGATTCATTTTATTGGAATATCTTATTAAATACATTTTTTGTATATATATTACTGTAATCAAATATCTCAACCTGCGTTCAACAGTGGAGTCTTCCTGTACTGGGTCGATGGCTTTTTATAATGTGGCTTTGTAGTACAAAAGATACAGCGGCCTGTGTGGCACCATTACCAGCCCTCGTGAATGAAGTCCTGACCAGGTCTGGAAAAAAGCCTGGTCCTCCAGCATTACTCCAGATAATGTAGCTTCTCTCATATTCCGTCTCTATTTCTCCTATAGTTAAATAAAATAAATGTGTTCTATCTCAGTAGTATCTGGAATAGCAAATCTCCTTCAATCTGCTGGAGCAGTCTAATTTATGAGTACAAGAGATAAGAAGATAAGAAAGGAGGGAAAAATGAGGTAAGAAAAAGTTGCAGATCCCAGGATTTAAGCCAATTTGTCAGTAGGAATTACATTAAAATTGAAAGATACCCAAGCCAGTTTAAAGTAATGAATCAAAAGAAAATTCACTTTAAAATATAATGATGATATGCTTCATTATGAAGAAAACAAAGTGTGTTTATTATTACCCGAATATTTTATGAGAAAGAAAGTTATTTGATGAGGTTCAAGTTCCTGCCCACTGTCACTTTGAATAATACTGGATTTAAAAAATGAAACAGTTTTGGTCCTAAAAGAGTATAATTCCAGAGATCAGATGTATGAAGGGAAGACAGAAAATAGCACAAGTGAGTCCTATTGCAGGGGCCAAAATGTGGAGTACAAACTATAGGGTGACAAGAGAGAACCACCGAGGTAGAGGTGGCCCATCAGTTTCTTTCTTAAGAAAGATCACTTATCAGTAAAAATATACCTCTTGATTCAGGTTGGGAGAAATGTTGCTGTAGATTCACTGATTCCCTCTTCTGCTGGCCACGTTTTGTTTTTGATGAGTCAACTACTGCTGCTGTTATGAGATGAAAGCCGAGACCCATTGGTAATTCTTCCTGAGTAAACTTAACTCTTGGCAAGAATACTAGGTTTCTAACCCTTTTCTTTTTTAAACGTGCTTCCTATATACCTTCAGCCATTTCTTTTTTATTTATTTTATTTTACTTCAAGTTCTGGGATACATGTGCAGAACGTGCAGGTTTGTTACATAGGTATGCATGTGCCATGGTGGTTTGCTGCACCTATCAACTCGTCATCTAGGTTTTAAGCCCTGCATGCATTAGATGTTTGTCCTAATGTTCTCTCTCCCCTTGCCCCCAACCCCATGACAGGCCCTGGTGTGTGATGTTCCCCTCCCTGTGTCCCTGTGTTCTCATTGTTCAACTTCCACTTATGAATGAGAACATGCGGTGTTTGGTTTTCTGCTCCTGTGTTAGTTTGCTGAGAATGATGGTTTCCAGCTTCATCCATGTCCCTGCAAAGGACATGAACTCATTCTTTTTTGCGGCTGCGTAGTATTCTATGGTGTATATGTGCCACATTTTCTTTATCCAGTCTATCATTGATGGGCATTTGGGTTGGTTCCAAGTCTTTGCTATTGTAAATAGTGCTGCAATAAACATACATGTGCATGTTTCTATAGCAGAATGATTTATAATCTTTTGGGTATATATCCAGTAATGGGATTGCTCGGTCAAATGGTATTTCTGGTTCTAGATCCTTGAGGAATCACCACACTGTCTTCCACAATGGTTGAAGTAACTTACACTCCCATCAACAGTGTAAAAGCAGTCCTATTTCTTCACAGCCTTACCAGCATCTGTTGTTTCCTGACTTTTTAATAATTGCCATTCTAACTGGTGTGAGACGGTATCTCATTGTGGTTTTGATTTGCATTAGTCTAATGACAAATGATGATGAGTTTTTTTATATGTATAGCCAAGACAATCCTAAACAAAAAGAACAAAGCTGGAGGCATCACGCTACCTGACTTCAAACCATACTACAAGGTTACAGTAACCAAAAACAGCATGGTACTGCAACCAAAACAGATTTATAGACCAATGGAACAGAACAGAGACCTCAGAAATAACACCGCACATCTACAACCATGTGATCTTTGACAAACCTGACAAAAACAAGCAATGGGGAAAGGATTCCCTATTTAATAAATGGTGCTGGGAAAACTGGCTAGCCATATGCAAAAAACTGAAACTGAACCTCTTCCTTATACCTGATACAAAAATTAATTTAAGATGGATTAAAGACTTAAATGTAAAACCTAAAACCATAAAAACCCTAGAAGAAAACCTAGGTAATACCATTCAGCACATAGGCATGGGCTAAGACTTTATGACTAAAATGCCAAAAGCAATTGCAACAAAAGCCAAAATTGACAAATGGAATCTAATTAAACTAAAGAGCTTCTGCACAGCAAAAGACACTATCATCAAATTGAACAGGAAACCTACAGAATGGGAGAAAATTTTTGCAATCTATCCATCTGACGAAGACCTAATATCCAGAATCTACAAGGAACTTAAACAAATTTACAAGAAAAAACAACCCCATCAAAAACTGGGCGAAGGATATGAACAGACACTTCTCAAAAGAAGACATATGCGGCCACCCATCAGCCATTTCAACTTCTTGTTATTTTTTGTTCTTGAACTATTCACTCCTGAGCTTATGATCAGCAAGATCATACTTGAAAGGTAGGTGTGTGTGTGTGTGTGTGTGAGAGAGAGAGAGACAGAGAGAGAAAAGAGAGCTAAAGTTCAATGCCAGTGCTTGTAAGCTCCTGGATAAAGTTCCAGGGTACTTAGAATACTCTGAACAGTGTGTAATAGTATAATGGTTATTGATAATGGTGAAACTGTAGTGTAGCTTTAAATGGATGTCAATAGAATGAGAAGATACTATCTGCTTCCTATTCAGTTTTTAATTCTCTATTAATCCTCACTCTCTTGGTTGCTCCAAAGCTGTTGTCTCCTCCAGGTGATGTTTAAGCCTGTCTCTCTTCTCCTCGCATGCACCTTATGAAAAATGGCTTTGCCATCTGCAGCTGTCAGGAGGCTGTGGACTTGGGAGTACAGCTCAATGAATATACAAATGTGCAGCTGGACCACAGCCCCTTCCAGAAGGTAGCTGGAATATAAATCATAAGCTTGCATTACTCAAGTAACCATTGGGGGGCTGCCATGCATTAGGGAGCTTAAGGGAAGTAAGAGGACATGAGAAGAGTCTCACTGGAAATAGGCCCTGCAATATGTGAATAGGTTGGCTGAAATAAACAGAGCTGAGAGTAGCATGTTTCAAAAAAACTAATTTGTTAGGCTCTTGCAGATCATGGAACAAAACTAAGAACAACACAGGGTTTATTGAGCTTCAGTAGATTTGCTTCCTTTAGGACTTAAAAGGATATGAGAGCTCAGATGGCAAAAAGGAACAACGTATTTGAAACTGGAAGAAAGGGAATCCTTTAGTAGGTTTGCTTCCTTTTGGTCTCTCTCTCTCCTTCCCCCACATTCTCCTTTCTCTCTTCCTTTCTTCCTTCTTTCTTTCATTTATTCATACTATCTGCTTCCCAGTATTTAATGCCAGGGACTATGCAAGGTGCTAGAGGCACAATTTTTGTTTCTGATTCAAACAAAATCTCTGCCCTAAGGTTTAGGAATGGTGGGGTGTGGGGTGTGTAGGTGGTGATGAGGAAACAGACTTTAATAACAAAGACGAAAATAAAAAATTAAATGGAATGTGATTAGTTATAATAGAAATGGGTATTAGAAGCTGTGAAATTTTAAGAGGCAGAGCATATAAGTCAGCTTGGGGATAGATTTTCAGGGGAGGTGACATTTGAGCAGAATCTTCCAGCATGAGTAGGAGTTGCTTAGGAAGATCTGGATACAAGCAGGGTGACAATGGATGCAAGGCTGGAGGCCTGAATGTGCGTTCATTGATTCTTTTTGATGGCCAAAATTTTAATCAGCCCATAATTCTTAATTATTTTTCTTGAAGCATTTTCTTATTAGAGTCAGTACAAAATCTACTTGTGGACTTGTTTCTCACACAGCTGGCTTCACCTGTAAACACATCTGGCCCACGTACCCTTGTGACTCCCCTGGCTTCCCATGAAAATAAACTCAGCTGCTTTCCTTCTCTCTCTTTCTCTCCAACATAAAATGAAACAGTTGATGAAACCTCAGGAACCCTTCACTGGAATTCAAGTCTCATTTTTTCTGCTAATAGTGTTAAAGCCCATAGTTTATTTTTTCATTGTCAAGAGCATACTCCCCGAGTTTTTTTTTTTTTTTTCATTTTATTGCAAGAGCTTTCAATGTGCTCATGTATCTCATACACAGGAAAAGGAATTCCTATCTCTGGTATTGCCTGGCAAAAGGACCTGGGTTAAGGCAGAGAGTTCCCGTATACTCCTGATGCAATTTTCCATATTATTAACATCTTACATTAGTGTGGTACATTTATTACAATTGATAAAACAATAGTGATACATTATTATTAACTAAAGGCCATAATTTATTCAGGTTTCTTTAGTTTTTACCCAATGTCCTTTTTCTGTTCAAGGACAGTATCAGAATATCATAGTCTCCTTTAGCACCTCTTGGATGCAATGATTTCTTAGGCTTTCCTTGTGTGTGTGTGTGTGTGTGTATGTATGTGTGTGTGTTTAAATGACTGTAGCAGGTAGAATAATGGCCTCCCTCAAATTTCCACATTATAATCCCTGGAACCTGTGACTATGTTTTGTTACATAGAAACAAGGAATTGAAGTAGCAAATGAAGTGAGGGTTGCTAGTCATCGACCTTAAGATGAGGCGGTTATCCTGGATTATTTGGGCCCAATATAATGGCAAGGGTCCTTAAATGTGTAAGAGGAAGAAGGATCTCTTCAGAGTAATGTGATATGAGAAACACTTGAGTGGCCATTGATGGTTTTAAAAATCATAGGAAAACTCCAGAAAGGAACACATCGCTGCTGACATTAAAACCTTAATCTTAAACCCATTGAGACCCATTCTGAACTTCTGACCATTGGAACTGTAAGAAAATAAATTTGTCTTGCTTTAAACCACTAAGTTTGTGGTAATTTATTATAGCAACAATATAAAATTAATACAGATTTTATTATCTGCAAGTGGGGTGTTGCTGTAACAAATACCTAAAAATGGGGAAATGTGCTGGCAATTGGGCAATGGGCAGAGGCTGTAATAATTTAGATGATGATGGGAAAAGCTGAGATTGCTTTAAAGAAACTGTTAGTAGAAATATGTATGTTAATGACTCTGCTAGTGAGAACTCAGAAAGAAGTGAGGAACATGGTAGAAAAAAAGCATATGTAGTCTTAAAGAATACCTAAATCTTCATGAAGAAACTGTTGCTAGAAATATGGGTGTTAATGTTCCTGCCAGTGAGGGCTCAGATGGAAAGGAAGAACAACTTATTTGAAACTTGAAGAAAGGGAATCCTAGTTATATAGTGGCAGAAAGCTTAGTTGAATCTTGTCTTGTAGTTATGTGAAAAGGCAAATTTGTAAATAATGAACTTACATATTTAACTAAAGAGATTTCCAAGAAAAGTATTGAAGGTGTGTCTTGTCTCTTCCTGCTGCTAATAGTAAAATGTGAGGGGAAAAATATAGGTTGAGGGAAGAATTGTTCAGCAAGAAGGAGCCAGTGCTTGATGATTTGGGAAATTTCCAGCCTGTCAACATTTCAAATTACCCACAATTAGGTAATTCACTATACTTTGGAGAGAAAACCAAAGACATTGCTGGACAACCTTTTGCTTGTGCCTCTAAAGATTAGTATCCAGTCCCATACAGGGCTCTTTGAAGAGATTAGTCATGTGACTCATGGACCTCCTCACTAGATACCAGAAATATAAATAAGAATATTCAGGAAAGATTTGTGAAAGATTCTCTTGTTTACTGGAGTAAATCTCCATGACATACACAGGAGACACACAAAGTTTTTAGAATTTTATACCAGTAGAAACACTACTACCTTGACTTGAAAGAGACAGAGGGAATACAAATGAAAAAAAAGCTGTTGAACCTCAAAAATTTACAGTGAAGAAACTGCTGATAAAGTCACTCAACTGTAAACATATGCCAACTTTCATGAAAATGAAAGCATGACTCATTGGGCATATCCTCAAATCCAGGAAGCCGAGCCAAGATCCTAGAGGGCAGAGCTGAAAATCACAAAAGGTTATTCCCAAGCCTTGAAACTAAGTGGAGTTTTCCTGCCTGGGTTTCAAAATTGCTTGGAAATGGGGACACCTTTTTTTATTTTTTATTTTTTGCAAGGTTCCTTTCTTATTATCTTTTGAGAGCAGATAGCTTTTTTTTTGTATTCCACAGGTTCACAAAAAAGGCACAGAAATGTGCCTCAAAATGGATTATACCTACAGTCTGATGCATACCTAATTTAGATGAATTAGAACTGATTTTTAGTTTTATAATTTTCTTCTATTTTCAATTTTATTGGTTTCTACTCTAATTTTTATCATTTCTTTCCTTCTGCTTGCCTTGGCTTGAATTGCTCTCTTCTTTCTCTATTTTCCTAAGATAGAAGCTCAGGTTATTGATTTTTGTATCTTTTTTCTTTTTAAATATATATACTTAATGCCATAAATTTCCTCCAAGTACTGCTTTCTCTGCATCTCACAAAATTTTATAAGTTGTATTTTCATTTAGTTAAAAACATCTTAATTAATCTTGACTTTTTTTTTAACCTGTGTACTATGTAGGAGTGTGCTATTTAATTTCCAAATATTTGTGGATTTTCCAGATATTTTTCTGTTATGAATTTCTAATTTATTTTCATTGTAATATAGGCACATACTTTGTGTGGTTTCTATTATTTTAAGTTTGTTAAGGTAAGTCTTATGGCCCAAAATGTGCTCTATCTGGGTGAATGTTCCATTTGAGTGTGAGTAGAATGTACATTCTGCTGTTGTTGGATAAAATAGTCTAGAAAAGCCAATTATCTGGTTGATTTATAGTGTTTAATTTTACTGTAGCCTGACTGATTACCTTCTTGTTTGATCTCTCAATTGCTTGAAGATGAATGTTGGAAGTCTCCAACTATAGTAGTGGATTTGTCTACTTTTCAGTTATATCAGTTTTTGGCACTCTGTTGTTCATATACATTTAGGATTGCTATGTCTTCTTGGAGAATGGACTCCTTTATCAGTATAGAATGCTCCTTTTTATCTCTAATAATTTTGCTTGTTCTTAATACAGTTCTGGTTTCACTAAATTTAAGATAGTTACTTCAGCTTACTTTTAATTAATGTTAATGTAATATACCTTTTTTCATTCCCTCTAATCTATTTTAGTGTTTGTATTTAAAGTGGGTTTATTGTAGCAACATATAGTTGGTCCTTTCAAAAAATTTCTTCTGACAATCTCTGTCTTTTAATTGGTAACTTTAGACCATTCATACTTAAAATGATTATTGATGTAAATGGATTATCATCTATCATATTTGTAACTATTGTATTGGTTTCTTTTAAATCTGTTTTCTCACTCTTGAGCATGTAAAATGATTGTATGTTGTCTCTTAGCATATAATCATATTTCTTTTAAAAAAGTCAGTGGTTACCCTGGACTTTGCAATATACATTTTCAATGAATCTAAGTCCACTTCCAAATAATACTTCTGCCACTTCAGATGCAGTGTTGTTCTCCTATAGCAGAATATTCCCAATTCCTTATTTTCATCCATTATTGACATTATGGTAATTTATTTTACTTACTCATATGCTATAACCACCTGTTTGTATCATTACTTTTTAAGAGTTAACTTTTAGGTAGATTAAGAATCAAAATAATTAAAAACTTTTATTTTACCTTTATTTATTTTCTCCTTGATGCTTATTGTGTTATGCAGACCTGAGGGTTTTTTTGTTTGTTTGTTTGTTTGTTTTTTACTATATCATTTTCCTTCTCCCTGAAGAAATTTTAAAGTTTTTTTCAGGGCAGGTGTACTGAGAATACATTTCTTCCATTTTTGTTTGTTTAAGAAGATTTTTATGTCTCCTTCATTTCTGAAGTATAATTTCACTGAATACAGAATTTTAAGTTAGTGTATTTTTTCTTTTAACACTTTAAATATTTCAGTATGCCATCTTTCTTGCTTGCATAATTTCTGATGAAAAATTCACTGTAATTTTTATCCTGGTTCATGTGTAGATAAGATACTTTCTACTCTAACTTCTTTAAAATTTTCTTATTGTCTGGTTTACAGCAGTCTGAATATAGTGCAGTTTTTGTTTGTTTGTTATTTGTCCTGCCTGGTATCTTCTGAGATTGCCTCATCTATTGTATGGTGTCTTTATTTAATTTTGGAAAGTTCCCAGTGATGATTTGTCAAACATTTCTTCTGTTCTTTTTTCTCTTTATCCCCTTCTAATATTTTCATTACACACATATATATCTTCTAAATTTTTCTACATTTTTTGGGTGTTTTATTCTAGTTCGTTGTTTTGTTCTCTCCCTTTCCTCTCCTCTCCTCTCCTCTTCTTTTCCCTTCACGTCCCGTCCCGTCCTGTCCTGTCCTATCCTATCTGTTTCTTTCTTTCTTCTCTTTGAATGTCAGTGTGGGAGGTTTCTATTAGCCTATCTTCACCTTCAGTGATTCTTTCTATGGCTGTGTATGGCCTACCAAGAAGCCCATTAAAGGTATTTTTAATTTATAACATGTTTTCTATTTCTCACATTCCCTTTTGATTATCTTTTAGTGTTTTCATCTCTCTACTTATATTCCCCATCTGTTTTTGGATACTATTTACTTTTCCATTAGAGCCTTTAACATATTAATTATATTTATTTTACATTTTGTATCTGATAATCCTGACATCTGTGTCATAACTAGGTCTGGTTCTGATGCTTGCTTTGTCTCTTCAAAGTTTTTTGTTTTTAAAATCCGTTTGCATGCCTTGTAATTTTTTTTGTTGAAACAGGGACATGCTGTTTTGTGAGGATTTATGGGAATCTGGCTGTAATTTTTTCTGTGTTCAATGTTTGCCATAGCTCTAGATGCCAGAGGCTTCAAACTCCTCTAGTGTCCTTGTTATTGTCTCTCCTCTTGACTTTGGGATGCCTTAAGTACTCCTTTTCAGCCAGAGTCCACATCTTGCAGCTCTTTCAGCTGTAATCCACTGTGTTTCTCAGGATCCCTGTTGGTGTGGTGGTCAGTTGAGGAAAAAGAAAATATTCTATCATCTTATGATTAAATCTCAGTCTTTCACTAGGCCTGTGGGTCTGGACTTCTGACCTTCATAAATGTTTTTCTGGTAGTTTAGGATAGCTTTTAAAAATACTTTACACTTGAAGTGTGACAGGAAGTAAAGTAGTAAAGTATGTGCTAGAGTGAGAGGAATGCTCTTCCTCAACTTGGATGAAGCTCTGGAAAAGTATTTTTTCCTAGAGTGTAGGTCTTTGTTATGGGGAAAGCTGTGGGTGCATTCCACAGTGATTCTTCTTTTCTTCCATCTCAAACCCTTCCCACAAAGGGATCTTTTGTGGATCTTGACTATGAGAATCTGGTGGGTTGCTTGGAGGTTAATCTATGAACATTTAATAAACCATTTAGACTGTGATCTTCAGATTTTCTCACTCGTGTGCTAGTCCACACTCAGCTACCAATAGTTCATCAAAATTATCATCTAAGTGTTTCTGCTGATTTATGGTTCTAGCAGCTTCTGCTCTAGGTAAATAGATCTTGAATGTTCCCTTCTGAATGAACTTGCCAGTCCAGGTTTTGGAGTTAGAGTTTGCCCTGCAAACTCAGTCCTCTGCTGAGTTCAAGAAAAGACAGTGATTTTTAGCATGTCCAGCTTTCTCTTGTAAGGACAAATGTACCAACTTCCCAGGTCTTTACATGCTGGGGCTGAAACTAGAAGTTGCCATTGCTAATTTTATTACCATTATTATCCCAATTCTCAAAATAAGGTAGGTATATTAGTTTAAGGGCAATGAGGTAGAAGCTGCTAATTTATATTTCTTATGGTTGAATTGGTTCTTAATTTGGTGTGCCAAAAAGAAAAGAGCAGATTTTGACCATTCATTCCCCTATAACCATAAGTTTGAAGCTGATTTATCTTCAGAATGACTATACACACACACACACACACTCTCTCTCTCTCTCTCAAAAATAATTATAGTTTTGCCTTGTCTCTCTAGAAGTCAGCTATACAGCAATCCCATCTCTTTAAAGTGCAACTGATAACAAGAATATAATCAAAATAATCCTCTGCGCAGTTCACTTAAGTGTCACAAAATACAGGCACTAAATTTCTTAGAATATAATTTTGATACAAGCAAAAATATATGTCATGTCTATTATATATGATAATTATAAATATATAATATATGATAATTATGAACATATATATACACCCATACTTATATATGTATGTATGTATATATGTGTGTGTGTGTCTATATATATAACTTGTAAAGCATACCAATATAATGGCCAACAGTGAGTCTAGCATCTGTCACAAGAGCTAGAATATTACCAATACTCTTGAAGCTACTTCCCGTGTACAGGTCTATTAAACAACCAGAGATAACTACTTTCCTAAATTTTGAGCATATATATTCATATGTTCTTTGAAAAATGTTTTATTACATATATAACCCTAAACATATAATCTTGAGGGTTTTTTTTTTGCTTTCTAGTTTATTTAAAATAGGGTATCAAGCTATAAGCAGTCTTCTAGACTTAAACATTTAATTAGTTACATACTCTTTCTGTACCCAATGTCCTCTTCTGTAAAATGAGGGTAATAATAATATTTAACTTGCTGTATTATTATAATAATTAAATGAGTTAATATTTGTAAACAACTTAGAATAGTACCTGGCATGCAAATCATGCTTTATATATTTGGGTGTATATATATATGTGTGTGTCTGTGTGTGTTTGTATACATATATAAATATATTTATGTGTATACATATATATTTATATTTATATGTATACATATATATGTATACACACATATATTCATTTATGTTGTTGATGTAATTGGAGTTTATCATTTTCACTACTGTATAATGTATTTTGCGTGTAGTATAATTATTAATCCATTCTCTTGTTAATTGGCATCTAGATATTCAGCTGTTTGCTGTCAAAAATAATACTTATTTGACAATTTAAAAAGTTTTATTTTGCTTGTATTTGACACATAATAATTGTACATATTTATGGGGTATGGTGTGATGTTTCGGTATATGCATACAATGTGTAACGATTGAATTAGGGTAATTAGTATATCCATCACCTCAAACACATGTCATTTATTTGTGGTGAAAACATTCAAAATCCTCTCTTCCAGATATTTTGAAATGTACAATACATCACTGTTAACTATAGCCACTCTATTGTAAAATGGAATGCCAGAACTTATTCCTCCTAACTGTAACTTTGTATTTGTTGACCAACTCCTCCCAATCCCCTGTTCCTCCTCCCCTCTCTAACTCTAGTAAACACTATTCTACTCTCTAATTCTACGAGACCAATTTTTTAAGATTTCACATATGAGTGAGATCATGCAATATTTGTCTTTCTTTGCCTGGCTTATTTCACTTAACATCATGACCTCCAGGCTCATTCATATTGCCACAAATGACAGGATTTCATTAATTTTTTATGGCTGAAGCGTATTTTATTGTGCAAATAGACCATCTTTTAATACATTCATCCATTGATGGACATTTAAGTTGATTCTATATCTTGACTGTTGTAAATAGAGATGCAATAAACATGGGAGTGCAGAATATCTCTTTGAAAGAGATTTCAATTCCTTTGGATATTTACCTAATAGTGTGATTGCTGGATCATTTGGTAGTTCTATTTTTCATTTTTTGGGAGAACATTCATACTAATCTCCATAATGGCTATAGTAATTTGCATCCCCCTGACGGTGTATGAGTTTGCCTTTCTCCATATTTTCACCCGCATTTGTTATTTTTTATCTTTTTGATAATAGCCATTCTCACTAGGGTGAGAATTATTGTGATTTTGATTTGCATTTCCCTGATGATTAGTGAAGTTGGGCATTTAAAAAATATACCTATTGGCCATTTTGTATGTCTTCTCTTTGGAACTTTTGCCCATTTTTTAAATAATTTTTTTTCTATTGAGTTTCTTTTATATTCTGGATATTAACCCCTTGTCAGAGACATAGTTTCAAATATTTTATCCCATTCTTTAGGTTGTCTCTTCACCTGTTAGTGGTTTCCTTTGTTATGCAGAAGCTTTTTAGTTTGGTGTAATACCACTTGTCTTTTTTTGCTTTTATTATCTGTGCTTTTGAGGTCTTATCTATAACAATCCTTGACCAGGCCAATGTCATGAAGTATTTCTCCTGTTTTCTTCTAGTGGTTTTATATTTTTATGTCTTATCTTTAAGTCTTTAATCCATTTTGAGTTGATTTTTTAAAAATAGTGATACATAGGAGTCCAGTTTTATTCTTCTGTATATGAATATCCAGTTTTCTCAGCATCATTAATTGAAGAGATGATCCTTTTCTAATGTATGTTCTGGGTGCCTTTTAAAAAAATCGGTTGTAATGTGTGAATTTATTTCTGGATTCCATCTTCTGTTCCACTGGTTTATATGTCTGTTTCTATGCAGTACTGTGCTAATTTGGTTACTATTGGTTTGCATTACATTTTGAAGTTAAGTAGGGTGATGGCTCCAGCTTTGTTCTTTTTGCTGAAGATTGCTTTGGCTGTATGGGACATTTCGTGATTCTATACATTTTCTACTACAGTGAAAAATGTCACTAGTATTTTGATATGGATTGCATTGAATTTGTAGATTGCCTAGGGTAGTATGGACATTTTAACAGTATTAATTCTTCTCATTCATGAACACAGAATAACTTTTTATTTGTTTCCTCTTTAATTTTTTTATCAGTATTTTATAGTTTTTAGTATAGATATTTTTACCTTTTTTGATTAAATTTATTCCTAGGTATTTTTTAGTAGCTGTTGTAAATGAATTAATTTCTTTTTCAGACAGTTTGCTACTGGCATACAGAAATGCTACTTATTTTTGTATGTTAACTTTGTAACCTGTGATCTTACTGAATTTATTACTACTAACAGTTTTTTTGGATGGAGTTTGTAGGGTTTTCACCCTACAGAGTTTCATAATCTTTGACATAAGATTAAGTCATCTGGAAACAGGGATAATTTGACTTCCTTATTTCCAATTTAGATGCCTTTTATTTTATTCTCTAGTCTAATTGCTCTGGCTAGGACTTCCAGTACTATGTTGAATAGAAGTGGTGAAAGTGGGTATCCTTGTCTTATTCCAGATCTTGGAGGAAAAAATTTCAACTTTCCCCATTCAGTATTTTAGCTGTGGGATTGTCATATATGCCTTTATTGTACTGAAGTAAGTTTTTTCTGTAATTTGTTTAAAGTCTTTATCATGAACAGATGTTGAGTTTTATCAAATGCTTTTTCTGCATCTGTTGAAATGATCATATGGTTTTTGTTCTTCATTCTGTTAATGTGATGTATCATGCTTATTCATTTGCATATGTTAAACCATCCTTGCATCCCTGGGATGATTTCCATTTGATCATGATTATGATATTTCTGATGTGCTGTTGGATTCAGTTTGCTACTATTTTGCTGATAATTTTTGCATTTATGTTCATTAAGGTTATTGGCCTGTAGTTTTCTTTTTTTGTTATGTCCTTTTTTGGGTTTGGTATCTCGGTAATGCTGAACTCACAGAATAAGTTTGAAAGAATTTCCTGCACTTCAGTGTTTTGTAATAGTATGAGTAAAATTTGTATTTGTTCTTCTTTATGTGTTTAGTAAAATTCAGCAGTGAACCATTAGGCCCTGGGCTTTTCTTTGATGGAGGACTTTTTAATTACTGTTCTGATATCATTACTCATTATTGGTCTGTTCAGATTTTCTATTTCTTTGTGATTCAATCTTAAAAAGTTGTGTGTGTCCAGAAATTTATCTACTTCTGAATTTTCCAATTTGTTGGTGGATAGTTGCTCATAATAGACTCTAATGATTTTGTATTTCTGTGGTATCAGTTGTAATGTCTCCTTTTTCATCTCTGATTTTATGAGTCATCTCTCTTTTAGTCTAAAGTTTGCCAATTTTGTCTTTTTAATAAAACAAGTTTTTATTTTGTTGCTCTTTTGTATTTTCTTTAATTTATTTCTTCTGTAATCCTTATTACTTCTTTCCTTTTACTAACTTCAAATTAGTTTGTTCCTGTTTTTCTAGTTCTTTGAGCTGCAATGTTAGGTTGTTTATTTGAGATTTTTGTACTTTTTTGATGTTGGTGTTTATTGCTATAAGCTTCCCTCTTAGAACTTATTTTGCTGTATCTCATAGGTTTTGGCATATTGTGTTTTCATTTTCTATGTCTCAAGAGTTAAAAACATTTCTTTAAAAAAATTTTCTTCATTAGGCCTTCAGTTGTTTAGAAGCATGTTGTTTAATTTCCATGTATCCTTATATTTTCCAAAGTTTCTTCTGTTAATGATTTCCAGTTTTATTTCATTATGGTCAGAAAGGATACTGGATATGATTTAGATTTTTAAAATTTGTAAGACTGTTTTATGGCATAAAATATTGTCTATTTTAGAGAATGTTCTATACACTGTTCAGAAGAATGTGTATTCTGTGGCTTTGCATGGAATGTTATGTGAATGTCTGTTAGGTCCATTTGGCATAGATTATGGTTTAACTCTGATATTTCTTTGTTAATTTTCTGTCTGGATCATTTGTTCATTGCTGAAAGTGGCAACCCCCATGTTACTGTATTGCAAGTTATTTCGAACAAATAACACCTTAACTTTGATCACAAAGAAAGGAAACAAAAAACCTGTGGACTTTAACTCAATTCTCTCCCTACTATTTCAATTTTTGATGTGACTTTATATTTTGTATATTGCCTATGTCTTAACAAATTATTTTAGTTATTATTTTTAATGGTTTTACCATTTAGTCTTTATACACCATATTTAGTTTATATACCACAACTACAATATTAGAGTACCAAATGTTTTACCATCCTTTTCTTTTGGTTTGAAGAACTCCCTTTAGCATTTGTTGTAGGAAAGACCTGGTAATCATAAGTTCCCTCAGCTTTTGTTTGTCTGGGAAAGTCTTTATCTCTCCTTCATTACTGAAGGGTAATTTATCTGGGTACACTATTCTTAGTTGGCATTTTATTTTTTTTTTCAGCACTCTGAAAATATCACATTCCTCCTGGTCTGCAAGATTTCTGCTGAGAAGTCTACTGCCAGGCACAGCGGATTTCTATTATATGTCATTTGCTTTTTTTCCTTACTGCTTTCATAGTCCTTTGTTTTTTGTCCTTTGAGAATTTGATTATAGTATGTCTTGGAGTATTCTTATTTGTATTGAACCTGATTGAAGACTTTTGACTTTCCTTTACCTACATATTAATGCCCTTTTCCAAGTTTAGAAAAATTTGTTATTTCTTTGAATAAGGCTTCTACCCTTTTTTTCTTTTTCAACTCACTTTTCAACTCCAAACATCTGAAAATTTGCCCTTTTGATGTTTATTCATCTATCCCATATGCTTTCTTTTTATTCTTTTCTTCTTTTCCCCCTCTGTGTATTTTCAAATAGCCTATCTTTGAACTCAATGGTGTTTTCTTCTGTTTGATCAATTATGGTGTTGGTTCTCCCTATTGCATTTTTCATTTTGTTCATTGCATTTTTATGCTTTAATATTTCTGTTTTTTATTATTTCAAACTCTCTGTTAAATTTATCCATAAATTTCTAGATTTTTAAAATTAAAGTTTGTTGAGCTTCCTTAAAATAGCTATTTTAAATTCTTTGTCTGAGAAATTGCATATCTCCATTACTTTAGGGTCAGTTTCTAGCATCTTATTTGTCCATTTGGTGAGGTCAGACTGAATGTTCTTGATTATTGTGAATGTGGAACAATATCTGCACATTGAGAGACTAAGATTTTTTTTCTCAGTCTTCACTGTCTGTTTTTGTGCCTGTTATTCCTCAGCAGGCCTTCCAGACATTTTAAGCCGACTGACCATTGTGTTTTTCAAGTCTGTGATCATTGCAGCTCTCTCAGCACTAGAGGGAGTTCATAAGTCCAGGTTTGCCATGAGTCTTGAGAAGGCTCTAATTTTGTCACAGCTCTTAGGCCCAACTGGACCTGGGAGAGACCCAAGGGGAGGGTATTCGGGCTGTGTGGGAAGGCTGGGCAGAGACCTGAGCCTGGAAGACTGTCCTGGTGGCCCTCCCAGCCACAGATGCACCTCCCAGCATGTTTCTTCATAGGCAGGATAGTTCCCTGACTTCAGTGAGAAAGGTTGGAGTTGAGACTGGGGCCCCTCAGGATCTGTTGTGGGATGGAGGTTAGAGAGCCTATCTCATTGGCTCAGACAAATGCCTGTCTCCTAGCAGGTTCTTGCATAGATGGGGTAGTTTTTCAACTGTACCAGGAGAAGCTGGGCCAAGACTGGACCCCCTCAGGATCTGCCGTGGGATGGCAGCTGGCAAGCCCATCTCATTGGCCCAAAGCAGGTCCCTGCACAGAGGGAATATTTCTAATCCCTGACTGCAGCAGGAGAGGTAGAGCTGAGATTGGATCCCTTTGAGTGTGCTGTGGGACAGAGGTTCACAAGCCTATCATGGGGGCTCAGACTTTTGGGCTGTGTAATATGAGTGAATCTCCCTCTGGGTCCTTGTGTAAGTAACTCTAAGCTGAGGCTTCAACTGAGTAGGGCTTGAGTTGAGCCACAGAATAATTTTCAGATTCACTGCTGGGACCTATGTCAATGCTGCTGAGGCACTAGTGCATATGATTCCTTCTGGACCCCTTAGCAGATGGTTTTGGTTGCAGGCTCAAGGCCAAATGGGCCTGTAGCCCAGCCCCTTGGGGAATGGGCCATTTCCAGGCTTAAAACCAAGAGCACAATTGGATTAGCCACATGAGTGCCAGTCTGCACTCTCAAAATTACCTTCCTAGGTCTCAGGTGCCACTGGGGTTTCATAATCTCCTACCTGAATCCCAAGGCTCTCACAGATATACTTTTGTCTGTAGATGGGTACACAGTTCTTGTTGCTGTGGGGGGATATGAGCAGGTAACTTCCTATTCTGCCATCTTCCTGACATCTTCCCTTGAATATTTTTATTCTTGTGTCATAATATACCTGTGTGAGAGTTTCCCTAGGGAACGTGCTAAAGGTAGAATTGCCATATCAGTTTGAGCATACTCAGCTTGACAAAATAACAGCAAAGTGGTAAAACATATTTTCACTTCTATCAGTAGAACATAAGAGGTCTTATTATTTCACAACATTGCCATCAGTTGACATTATCAAATAAATATTTTTTACAATCTAGATGGTGTACAATAGGCTTTATTATGGAGCATTTACAAAGTTTCTAATGACAAGCGTCTTTCATGTTTGTCTTTCAAGTTTCTTCTAACTGCTTATGTCATGTGCCCACTTTCCTGCTTGGTTGTTGTTTCTTCATACAGGGCTTTTTGTTTTTATATATGAATACTAATTTTTTGGCAGTTACACAAGTTGCAATGATTTCATAATCTATGTCTTTTCTTATTGCTCTGTGATTTTTTTGTAACAGAAGTTCTTAATTATAATGAGGTATGTTAATATTTTTGATATGTTTATTGCTCTTTGTGTCTTATTTAGAAAAGTCTAAAATGCTCAAGTTACTAATATATTCTTCTATATGCTAAAATGTTTAAAGTTTTGGGTTTCACATTGAAGTCTTTGTAATTTACTTTATATACAATATGTGGTATGGATCAGATTTTAATTTTTCTATGTAAACGTGCATTGTCCTGATATCCTTAAACAATATAATCTACATCTGTTGAATCACTCATTCTTTCTACATTGATTTGCAGCAACACCTTGGTCATATATAAAATTTCGACATATGCATAGGTCTATTTCTGTGTTATCTGTCCTATTCCTTTGGTTAAATTATCAATTTCAACGCTAATACCACATAGACTTGACTTAATTATACAGATTTTAAACACATCTTGATATTTATCTCTTATATAGGAGGGTCCTGGCTATTCTTCAACCACTGTTCTTTCACATACATTTTAGAATCAGCTTGCTAAGAACTTCAAAATGCTTTATTAGTCTTTAACTGGAATAGTACTGAATATAAAGATTAATTTGGAAAGAATTGATATCTTCATAATTTTGAGGCTCCCATCCATGGACATGGTGTGTGTGTGTGTGTGTGTGTGTGTGTACACACACATATGTATGTATTTACTTATTTAGGTCTTTTTTACTGTTTTTCAGTAAAGCTTTAAAATTTTCTCCATAAATATCTTAAAAATCCTTAACAGTTACCTTCATTTTTGCTGCTGTATAGAATATCTTTAAAAGTGGTTTAAAAAGTAATTGTCACTGCTGTGTAGAAATCAAATTGTTTTTGTATATTAATTATATGTTTAACAAGTTTGTTAAACTTTAAAAAATTTCTAACATTGTATCTCTAAATTATTGTGGGTTTCTTTGTAGACAACCATAACATCTATAAAAAAAGACAGCTTTGTTCCTTTTCCAATTCTAATATTTTCCTTATTTTATTGCAATAGTTAGAACATTTAGTAGCATGTTGAATAAGTCAGGTATGGTTGTATCCTTTTTCTGGTTTAAAATGAAATTATTCTAATGTTTCATATTTAAGAATCATCTGTAGAGTTGGGGTGGCTGGGCTTTATCAGGTTAAGAAAGTTTCTTTGTAGTTCTAGTTTGTTATTATGATTGGGGCTGAATATTACCAAGTGCTTACTTTTGCATCTATTGGCCTAAAGATGTGGTTTTAGTGCTTTAATATGTTAGTAAGTTGATTTGCTTTTAAATGTTCTGAAGCATAACTACCATTCCATTTCTGGCATCACATTTTTTATGTACTCCTGCATTAGTTTTTTTCAATATTTTGCAGAAATATATTAACTACTTAATTTTCCTTAATGGTTCCTTAGTGTCAGTCTTAAGTCATAGTTTTTCTATGGTTTTAACCAATTCAGCTTATTTTTTCAGTTTTTGTCATTAAGTTACTTGCATCATTATGGTGCCCCCTCTTCTAGTACCTACTCTTAATTTTCCTGAAATACAATGGAAAAGACATTGTAAATGTTGGGAATACGATAGAACATCAAATCAGCGATATCAGTAGTAAAATACAAGTCATGATTTATTTGACATTGTTAAAGATCACCACATTTTTATAAATGTAAAAAGTAAAATAATAAAAAATAATAGATGACATCATTGAGAACAATTCATACCACTCTGGCTTTCATAGACCTCGCTAGTGCTTTAAAGTCATTATGTGCCCGTAGCACCGTGGGAACATTTTATCTCCATTTTATGGAAGCCCAAAGAACCTGAAGAAAGGTTAAACTATGTTCTATTTCTTTTGTTAAAAGAATACTAAATGCCTTTAGAAAAATTTCTACAAAGCTGGAGGCATCACGCTACCTGACTTCAAACTATATTACAAGGCTACAGTAACCAAAACAGCATGATATTGGTACCAAAACAGAGATATAGACCAATGGAACAGAACAGAGCCCTCAGAAATAATACCACACATCTGCAACCATCTGATCTTTGATGGTGCTGGGAAAACTGGCTAGCCATATGTAGAAAGCTGAAACTGGATCCCTTCCTTTTATACCTTATACAAAAATTAATTCAAGATGGATTAAAGACTTAAATGTTAGACCTAAAACCATAAAAACCCTAGAAGAAAACCTAGGCAATACCATTCAGGACATAGGCATGGACAAGGAC
Organism: Homo sapiens; assembly: GCF_000001405.40. Classification (NCBI taxonomy): domain Eukaryota; kingdom Metazoa; phylum Chordata; class Mammalia; order Primates; family Hominidae; genus Homo; species Homo sapiens. The sequence continues at coordinate 177,492,377 of NC_000001.11, read as the reverse complement.
TTCATATCTAAAACACCAAAAGCAATGGCAACCAAAGCCAAAATTGACAAATGGGATCTCATTAAACTAAAGAGCTTCTGCACAGCAAAAGAAACTACCATCAGAGTGAACAGGCAACCTACAGAATGGGAAAAAATTTTTACAATCTACTCATCTGACAAAGGGCAATATCCAGAATCTACAAAGAACTCAAACAAATTTACAAGAAAAAAACAAACAACCCCATCAACAAATGGGCGAAGGACATGAACAGACACTTCTCAAAAGAAGACATTTATGCAGCCAACAGACACATGAAAAAATGCTCATCATCACTGGCCATCAGAAAAATGCGAATCAAAACCACAGTGAGATACCATCTCACACCAGTTAGAATGGCAATCATTAAAAAATCAGGAAACAACAGATGCTGGAGAGGATGTGGAGAAAAGTGTAACACTTTTACACTGTTGGTGGGACTGTAAACTAGTTCAACCATTGTGGAAGACAGTGTGATGATTCCTCAAGGATCTAGAACTAGAAATACCATTTGACCCATCCATCCCATTACTGGGTATATACCCAAAGGATTATAAATCATGCTGCTATAAAGACACATGCACACGTATGTTTATTGTGGCACTATTCACAATAGTAAAGACTTGGAACCAACCCAAATGTCCACCAATGATAGACTGGATTAAGAAAATGTGGCACATATACACCATGGAATACTATGTAACCATAAAAACAAATGAGTTCATGTCCTTTGTAGGGACATGGATGAAGCTGGAAACCATAATTCTCAGCAAACTATCACAAGGACCAAAAACCAAACACCGCATGTTCTCACTCATAGGTGGGAATTGAACAATGAGAACATTTGGACACAGGAAGGGGAACATCACACACCGGGGCTTGTTGTGGGGTGGGGGGAGGGGGGAGGGATAGCATTAGGAGATATACCTGATGTAAATGACGAGTTAATGGGTGCAGCACACTAGCATGGCACATGTATACATATGTAACAAACCTGCATGTTGTGCACATGTACCCTAGAACTTAAAGTATAATGAAAAAATGTATATATATATATATATATATATGAAAAATTTCTACTTCAGATGGTTAAAACAGAAAATTCATTAATCTTCTTTGGAAAATTCAGATTTTTTTCCCCTCTGGATGATGATACTCTTCTGTAGGGATTCTAAATAAGGTTTTTATTATGCATCGTTTCCAATTAGTTTTCTATCAGTTTTTGTAGGGTAACAAACCACTCTAAAATTTACTGGCTTTAAACAACAACTGCTTTACAGCTCACAATTTGAGTTAAGATCAGCTGGGGAATTTCTGCTGATCTCACCTGGCCTCACTCCTGCGTCTAGATTCCATTGGCAGTTAATGTCTCACTCACATTATCTGGTAATCAGATGGCTGTTGGCTAAGATGGTAGGCCATTTGTCTCTTGTCATCCAGCAGGTTAGCTGACCTTGTTCATGACCACCATGTGGCCAGGCTCAGAACTCACACTGTAACACTTTTAGTCAAACCTAGTCACCAAGTCAGCCAGATTCAAGGGTTAGGGAAATAGACCTCTTCTTGTGGGAGAAGCAGTAAAGTACTGTGGCCAATTTTGCAACCTAGAAACCTAGCAGTGCCTTTTAGGGTATCAGAAGAGAAGAATCTCTGCAACTGCAGGCTCTGAATCTATCACAGGGTTTCTCATTAGGAATCCTTCAGTACGGCCTCTGCCACAACACTCCACCCTTATAAACGTTGGGTCACGGTGGCTCCTTGAGTTTAGCTTTGGGTATAGATCTAGGTGAGTAAGGGAGGAATTCAAATGATAGGACCTGACCTTGAAACCCAGCAGGATGCTGGCTCTTCAAAATTTTCTCTTGATCTGGAAATTCTCTTTGATTTGGGACCACTTACTCCCTCTATAGGTTGTAAATGTTTTTGGTTCCAGGGGACAGCTAAGAGGGTGTGCTCTAAGTTCATTTCTCTGAACAGGTGCAGCACTCCATATGGCATGGGTGAGGGGTGGCTGTGGTGGTGGGGGAGTATGAGAACATAACCTCCACATTACCCGGCCCACTTGCATCCCGCCCCTCTAGAGTGTTCCCCTTTCTTTCCCGCTCTGGGTAGCACCACATGGTGGGAAATTGCAACTTGTCACTTCTTTGGGTGTGATAGCAGAGTCTTGGTTCCTTGAATAGAACAGTTTAATGTTAATTTTCAGTCAAAGAGGATCTGTGTATGTATGTGTGTATGTGTGTGTGTACATTTAAGTGAGACCAGAGCAAGTGAGACAGCGAGAGAGAGAGACTGATTTGTTATTTAGGGTGCAGAGAGAGAGATGACCAGAGCTAGGGAAATTAATTCTATATATCCTGAGCTGGAAGAGTAAATTGAACAAAGAAACTATTCTTTAAGAACAGGGAGATGTCGAGTTTCACAAATCAGTGATTGGATTTGTGGTGGGAATGTGTGTGTGTGTGGGGGGGGCAGGGTGTGTGTGTGTGTGTGTGTCTGTGTGTGTGTGTGTGTGCGTGCACGTTCATATGTGTGGTGGGGGCTAATGTAACTGAGACTGGATTCAAACCAAGTCATGCTGCATCTGTGGTAGAAGAGATATTTATATTCACCCCAAATCTTCCCAAGTCCTTTCCTCTCCCCATAAGCTCCATGCACGTGCCTTTCCTCTATGCTCATCACTGGCTTTATTTTCCTTTCCTCTCTCCAGCTGGAATCCAGAGAGACTCTGAATTTCTTCAGGCTAGTCCACCCCTGCAAGGTAACTGTCCTCTTCTCTGGTTGTAGTCGGCAAACTCTGCCCTCAGTTTATTTCTCCCTTCTTCCTACCACCTTGACTCTCATTTTCCTTTGTCTTTCCCATTCTACCTACATCATGATATTTTTCTTTCTTCTATAACACACTTCTAAATAAACAAACAACAAAGAGAAGCCAGAAGAAATAGCAAACTTCCAAGCAATATTTTTGACAGACTTTTTTCCCTTATCACAGCATTAAGAATCTAGCTATAGGCAATTCTGTTGTAGGTAATGTATAAAGCAAGTTACACAGATATGATCCTTAATACTAGAAATTTAATTCTTCTAAGATGTGTGCTCCTTGTATCTCTCCTAAATGCAGAGTAGCTTATGGGCAGTCATTTTATATTAAATTGAACTATATGAAATTGCTGATGCTCAACTATTGTTGATATACAAAAATGACAATTTTGTGTGATTCAAACAATATTTTATGTTAGTCCAGTGATAAATGTTTTAATCAGTTTTTGGGGGGTGGAGAAGGCATTCTCCTGAGTATATATTAAACCAGAAAAAAATTACGGTTCCTTTTTCCCATCTTGCCATTACTATTGCAACAGCTTCCCTCCCAGATGGTTTCTTTCTGTCTGAGCCCCTCATCATTCTTCTAATCAAGTCACTACCCTGATTAAAATAATTAATGACTCCACAGGATGAAAACCAGATTATTTGGCTTGGCACACAGACCTCTTCCTGTATGAGGCCCCGGTCTGCTTCTCTAGCATCTCATACTACCACACTGCCCCATGTACCCTGGGCTTTAGCCAAAGTTTTCCAAACCATACCAAGATGTCATATCTCCATGATTTTGTCTGTGGTTCCTTCTGGCAAGAATGTTTTTCTCCACTTACCTGCTGGAGAAACTCCCAATGCCCCAAGAGGTCTTAGTTTTAGTGTTACCTACTTCTCTCTATTCTTCCTTGACACACCCCTAGGTGTATTAATTGCTCCTTTCCCTGGATTACCATTGTATAATACTCTGATAACTGTTATACCATTTCCCCATTATATTATACACATTTGTGGGTATGCATCCTTTGAGAGTTTTGAGTTCTCTGTATACTTGTCCTGTGTTTTGATCGTCTTTGTATCCCCAGCATTGCCTGGCCCATGGTGAATGCCCCATTAATGTTGGTGAAATGGATTCTCTGACTGCAAAATTCATCAACCTTTTTTTTTTCTATTCAAGATGGAATAAAAAAAAACAGATGCAAGCAAGTTGCTAGTATTAAAGTTAATGAGCTTGCAAACACTTCATTTAAATTTGGATATAAAACATTCAAGGCAGTCTTTGTTTTCCCTAAACCCTATACCTGTCCCAGCTGTGATTAGTTATTTTAGAAAAGATTAATATATCTTTAATTCAACTACACTACATATTTCTCACTTACTTTAAGCAGCAGAGAGCCTCTTTCAGGTTTAATGTTGAAACATGTAATAACTTCCATTTAAACATTATACCCATGGATTTTTTTCTCATTAATCAAAATTAACTTAATCCTCACTGTACCTCAAGGGAGTATAAGCTGGTCAAGAATATCCTGGAGTTTTTTGTTTGTTTGTTTTGGTGATGAAACTCCTGCTTAGGTTCTGAGAGAGTGTGATTCTTTACATTGAAATTCATAGGAAGGTATAACCTCAAATGCCAAGCCCTAAGCTCTTTTGCTTTCATTGACTCCTCTGTCTTAGCAAATGCCTTGAGAAAGTCAAGTTTGTATCATAGTTGGAGGAGTAGCAGCAGGACAGATCTTATCCAATAAGATCCTAGATGAGCTTCCAATGCACCTGCAGAGAGCAGCTGAGAAGCCCTGGGACCTGGGATGCTGAAGAGGAGTGGCTTGACCAAGTGGGAGGGTACAGAGTTCCTGATTCTGCAGCTTTTCCTGAGGAGGCTGGAAGATGGGGGAGGTGAGGGCAGAGGCACAGGGAGAAGGGAGCAGTTGCCACAGGCTGAGCTGCAACAGCAGCCACAGCAGTAGGACTGGGCTAGGGGAGGGAAGCACTACTGCCAGCAGTTCTGAGCTAAGGATGCCCTCTTCTCCCAACTCAGCAGCAGCTCCGAGGCAGAAAGCAGCAGAACAAGTGTCCCTGAAGGGATTTGTATAATTGCTCATTCTGTGCAGTTTTCCCATTCTGCCCAACAGTTTTTGTTTTTGTTTTTTAAAGGTGTATAGATACCATAACATTCAGGCTATGGCTCTAGGACCATTTGTGGATGTGGGAGAGAGACTCTGCCCACCCTATCCAGTATTTACCGCCATTTCTCACTTTCTGTTCATCTGGAATATCTTCTGAGGAAAGAGAGTGGGATGTTGAAAGTTATGCTGATATTAGGGCTTCTAAAACTTGAAGATTTAGTCAGACTGACTGATGTGTTGGGCTTGCCTGAGGGGTCTGGACATCATATAAGATTAGTCACAACCTTGATGGCTCTACTGTATATATTAAACATTCACAGAAGCAAAAACACATGTAGGAGTTTCAAATTCTAAGTCCACAAATTCAAGTGTGTCAAAATGTAAATTCATCTACTTTTTCATAATTTAAATTTATTACATCATATTTTCATGGATAAGAAAATTTAATATAGAGCAATTCAGGATGCACCTGGTCAATTTAGAGTTTTCCTTCTCCTACCTTTCTCCTTGAAATATCTTCTGAGTTTCCAGGAGTTTATGTAGCATCAGACCTCATGGTTGGGGTGGTGTCTGGTCTTCGGTCATTGCCCCATTTCCCCCTGGCATCCTGAGAATTATGCATTTTTATATGGTCTGCAGAGAGTCCCACTTGGATCATTCTACCCCTTCCTTGTGGAAACTGGGAGGCTGCTTTGGATGCACAAGTACTCTCTGGGCCACTTTCTTATATCTCTTGAGTATGTGGGAAAATTCTGTATGTTTCCCTAAAGGCACTTTGAGGACAGAGAAATTCGGGGGTGCTAGTGACATCAGGACCTTCCTTTGTATGCATCCACACTGCCTCATATGAGTGGGGATCCTGGTGCTTTCCTGGGCCCTATCTGACTCAGGGCCAAGATGCTCTCTGATCTTAGATTCTCAAATAATTCTGGCACTTTTTAACATCCCCTTTCCTAAAACTTGGCATAGGGTATAGGACAGGGCTTTATCTCAGAGAACCCTTGGCCTCTACACTATTTTCCTCCTCTCTGATGATCTTCGCTCACCTCACCTGGTGGAATTTTTACCTAGTTAGATAGAGTGGTCTAATGCTTCCTGTTTTCCCCAAGCATGTGTTTGTACAGAATAAACTTTAGTCTCAGAATCTTTCAAAACTTTTGCTTTTGATACTCAAAAGTCAAGATTTTGGAACAGAAAAGCCTTTTTCTCAGATGGTTTTCTCCAGCAATCATATCAAGACACTATTGAGTCTCAAAAGCAATACTGTCCTTTTGTATTTCTGTTGTAACAATCTTCTCTTGAGGTAAATGGATATTTCTACTGAATAAGAGAAGAAAGGACAAATAAAGTCATTGGAACTGTGAAGGAACCACAGTTAAAATCTCAAATTGTTATCTTGCCACACTTGTATTAAGTTCTTTCTATGTGTTTATGATAGAGACCATGAAAATCACTCTTCCAGTTTTCATTTCTGAAGCAATGTAGTGAGCATTGTATGCTGTTGTAATCAGGTCCCTTACAAGAAGATTGAATCCCTGTTACAAGATGTGGGATGTGGGGACTGCTTGTTTGGATGAGTTTCATATTGCATTAGACTCCTTAACTTGCTCTCGAAGAAGACTCCGGGGTGTGATTCAAGAAGGACCATTCCCATCCTCCGTATCACTAGAGTTTCACCAGGCCAGCATTCGGAACCTGACATTGGGAGTAGTTGTTTAGGACACTGCTTCTTTTTTTTACTTCATTGTAACCAATATATCCTTCAAATAATTGAATATTAAAATAACTGAATTCATTAGGGAGAACTGGGAAAGGCCATCTCTTGTATATTTTTATTTTGCTTATAGTGCCAGAAAATAATAATAAGGAAGGTAATGATTGAAACGAATTACCAGGGAAGAATGTGCAGAATGAGAAGAGAATAGGAGCAAGGATAGAATGCTGGTGCTGATAATATTTAAAAGGAAGGAAGGGACCGGCACAGTGGCTCATGCCTGTAATCCCACCACTTTGGGAGGCTGAGACAGACAGATGTCTTGAGGCCAGGAGTTTGAGGCCAGACTGGCCAATATGCTGAAACCTCGTCTCTACCAAAAAATAAAAAAATTAGCCTGGCGTGGGGGCGTGCACCTGTATTCTTAGCTACTCTGGATGCTGAGTCAAGAGAATCCCTTGAATCTGGGAGGTGGAGGTTACAGTGAGCCGAGATTGTGCCACTACACTCCAACCTGGCTGATAGAGTGAGACTCTGTCTCAGAAACAAAAACAAAACATAAAAGGAAGGATGGTACAGAATGGTCTTGAGGGGAATCCAGAAATGGAAAAAAAAAATCTAGAACAGAATTTCTGCCACAAAAGTCAAAGATTACATTTCAAGAAGGAGGAAGTGATCAACACTGTCAAATGCCCCCCAAAAAGAGGACCAGAGTAAGTTCTAGTGGTCTCTACCATTGCAGAATGACTATAGTTAATAATGTAGTACATAGTCTCAAATGATAAAAGGGGGATATTGAATGTTTTCAGCACAAAGGAATAATAAATGTTTGAGGTGATGGAGAGGCTAATTATCCTGATCTGATCACCATACATTATATGTATCACAACACCACTGTTGTGATATTTACCCCATAAATATATACAATTTTTATGTTAATTAAAAATTTAAAAAAGAAGCAAGAGGGCTGCAGATATAACCAGTGACCTTAACAAGGGCTGTGTCAATAGAATGGTGATGTAGGGAACAAGACTGTTGAGGCATGAAGGGCAGGAGAGGGAATGATGGGTGCAGGTCAGTATTTCCCAAAGTGTGTTCTTTTGTATAATTGTCCCAAGCAATATACCTTAAGAGGGGAATTTTGTGATTATATACAAAGATGGTGAGAAAGCAGCGAGTTTAAGCCCAAGTGGTTGTCTCTGGTTTTGAATGTCTTTGGTTTTAGCAGATATTCAGATGCTGGCTTTTTTTTTTTTTCTTTTGAGACAGAGTTTCGCTCTTGTCACCCAGGCTGGAGTGCAGTGGTGGGATATCAGCTCACTGCAACCTCCACCTCCCGGGTTCAAGTGATTCTCCTGCCTCAGCCTCCCCAGTAGCTGGGATTACAGGCACCTGCCACCACGCCCATCTAATTTTTGTATTTTCAGTAGAGACAAGGTTTCACCATGTTTGCCAATCTGGTCTTAAACTCCTGACCTCAGGTGAGCCACCCATCTCGGCCTCCCAAAGCGCTGGGATTACAGGCATGAGCCACCATGCCTGTCCGATGCTGGCTTTTTCCTTTAGCTGCTTGTGTAGTTCTGTAGGGCCATTGCCCCGTTGCTGAGGAGATCTCTGTATAGTGCTGCTATAAATGGTGTCTCCTTTGGCTGGTCGTTTTCCATTCTTCTTCAGTCCTGATGAGGAATCTGAATTCTAATGATCCACCCCACATTAATTCTGTTTATTGGGGTCACCTCATTGTCCCAGGTTAATAGTGAACTCGTGGGTGAGGTCTCAAATTCAGTTCCTTTCCCGGGGTGCACATGTGGTCCATGCATGATATATACCTTTTCTCTGCTCTCTTGGAGGACTGTAGCCTTGCTCGATGGTAAGGGCAAGTTGTAGCCAGACTTCAGGCTTTTCCAGGAAAAAATCTAACCAGGGTTAGGGCTGCATTTAAATGGGTTGTGCCATCAATCAGAATTCCAGTTTTAGTGGTTGATGGAGTGCTGGATGAGGAAACCTGAAGCAGGCCCTTAGTCAAATCCATTAAGCCTTGTGACAGGAGATGTATGTAGACATATATAGAACTTGATCAGATTGTTAGCCGAGACATGACAGGAGATGTGTATGTGTGTGTGTGTGGTACGTGTGCACTTATATAATTTTAACAAGCCATTAAGTAAGACACATGTGTTGCCGACATCTTTTGGGAAAGTTTTCATTTGCAATTCATCAGATAATTTATCCTACCCATCTACAAAAGATTGTGACCTTTGTGATCATTTATTTTTCCAGAGTCAGAGAAGACTCTCAGCCTAGAAGGGGTTTTTGTTGTTGATTTTTGGTGTCTTTTCTTTCCTTTTTTTTTTTTTTTCTTTTTGAGACAGGGTCTTGTTCTGTTGCCTAGGCTGGAATGTGGTGGTGCAATCACAGCCCACTGCAGCCTCAAGCTCCTGTGCTCAAGTGATTCACTCACCTCAGCTCCCGAATAGCTGGGACTACAGGTGTGCACCACCATACCTGGCTAATTAAAAAAACTTTTTTTTATAGAGATGGGGTCTCTCTGTGTTGTCCAGACTGGTCTTGAACTCCATTGCTCAAGCAATCCTCCTGCTGTGGCCTCCCGAAGTGCTGAGATTACAGATGTGAGCCATCACACTGGCCTATTCATGTTTATTGCATGTTTTAGTATAAATATGCTAACTGGAATGTGCCTTTTATTGTTCACAAAGCATCAGAAAGGTGCTTAATGTTTTATCACTATACCTGAATCCCCTTTTAGCTCTTCTTTTAAAAAGTCTGACATCTTCTTCCCCCCACTTGTACATCAAATTTATGTGTATCACCCTCCTGTACTTTTGTTCCGTGTTTTGCCTTTCAGAGGGTTTTCTGGGTTCAAAAGTTTAAAAGTTGTGAGAGAGTATCATTTGCCTGTACCTGCAGTAGTCAGGGTGGTGTCTCCTGCCAGTTCCTCTATGTCTGGTCCTTCCTCTGCCTCCCCAGGAGCCTGCCCATGCCGCAGTTGAAGCACTTCTCACCTGAACCTCAGCGATTTGCTAACGCGCTTACCCACCCCTCACCTCCTCTATAGGCTTCATGAAGGCAGCAAGGGCATCTTATTAATTTTTATATTCCCGAGTCAAGCACAATGCCTGACACATAGTAGGTGCTCATTGTATACTTGCCAAATAAATGAATTTCACTTCAGTGGCCTGGTTTCAGGGATTGGATTGGGAGCCCTCCCATAGCTAAGGACAGAGCAAGGGTATGGTGTGTGTGTGTATGGGGGGGTGGTAGTGATGGTGGTCTGCTTAAGAAGGGATTGAGGAGAAATCTCAAAGGCAAAGAGAATGAAATTCCTTGGCCTTCTTTATAAATTGAACTGAGGGACATGAACTTTCTCCCCACTCTGAACTCCCTTTGCACTTGCTGCCTGTACCACTCATTTTAGTACTTAATTAGCACACTGCCTTAAATTAAAGTCGCCCAGGATCATAGAGGGGTCTAATCTGCATAGTTACCTCAGGAATTCTGTGATGCCACAGCTGGTTACATGGGGTTCTATTTTCATGAAGTCTCCCAAGTCACTCGGGAAGAGCTGTGATGGGAACTTTGAAGAACCCCAAGAAAGGTGAGAACAGTCTGTCTTCGACTCCCTTGGAGAAGTGTCCAGGAAGTCCCACATTCTAATATGAGGAAAGTGGGAGGACAGAAACCAGATCTCAGATTCCAGCATGAGGGGCAGATGAGCTACGTTTCTGGGCCATTACTTAAGGATTTCACCAACTCTGTTTTGCCCAGCTCATCTCAGAGATCAATAGAGTTGCAAACATTTAGCAATTGGCCCAGGCTTCAAGAGCCATTGCACTGGGCAGGAAGACCTCCTTTTCACTTGGGGCAGAAGAAGCAGGCATCCTCAGCAGAATGGATGAAGTCAGTCACAGAGGGGAAGAGGCAGGGGTCAGGGCCTCAGTAAAGGGAGGCTGGAGCCTGAAGATCACCACTCTTCTTTTACTACGTCATTTCAGGTGCTCTGACACACAGAGGGATTTGGACACAGTAAGGCCTTGTTTAGCATAAAGGCCACTGGATGCTAGCGTATTTTGAATCAAGAGAATTCTTGATATAGGCTTGAGTCAACTCTCTCAGTCTGAAATAGACTGAAAAATTAAGGTGACAGTTCTTATTTAACCAATTCTTTTAATAAGTCTATAAACCATAAAATACCAAGTGAAAAAATATTTTAGTGAAGTCACCATAGCCCAAATCCAAAGCCCCAACTTTTATCTGTTGTTTTGTTGTTGCGATTGTTATCATCATCTCCCTCAGGCTTTCTCTGAACAAGTGACTCTATTCTCTGAATTTTTTAAAACCCCAATACAACGGATATATATTAAACAGTTATATCTTTTAACCAACACATATAATTAAACATACAAAACATTCGCTCCCACCAGTTTGCCAAGACAGTTGCTGTGATGCAAATTATTGCCCGACGCATCGTTATTCTGCTTGTGCTGCCTGGTGCTGCTTTTTTACTCTTTCTCTTTGCTTCCCACAGACATGGAGCGAGGAGGGCATGTGTAATTTTCAGATGATCTGCTGCTTTTGATTATCTGCATCATTGCTTTTCAACATTAGTGTGTATAATCAAGCATTGATTTTATATTTGTCTATTGTGCATCCTCAATTAAGTTCATAAAGGGCAAAGGCGCTGTCTGATTCTGTTGGGTGCCTAGAACAGTGCTGAGCAAACTGGGTGCCCCTTAGCACTAATTGGATGCCAGACTGAATGCCAGATGGCAGCTCTTTGATTTGGCTCCTCTCAAGTCTATTTAACCATAATTCACATCCATTGGAATTTAGATTCCATTTTATAACCCAGATTCTTCTGATCTCAGTATAAATGTGGTGGAGCAGCTCTTAACTACAATTAACTATAATTTACATTAATATTAAAAGCCTCTAACAGTGGACAGAGACAAAGCTGAGCTAGTATTTTTCCATCCCTAGCCTTGGGACAATTCAAGTGTATTGGTCAGTTTCTCTTCTCACCTGTGACTGTGATGCCTAAGGATCCCCAACCAGAGTGTCATTCCTGTATTTTCTTTATTTATTTTCCTCTCCCAATTTTTGAAAATGAAAATGCCTCTAGATAGGTAACATAGAAAGTAGTTATTAGTCCCTTGGTGTAAATAAGCTGAAGGACCAAATTAAATTGGGATCCTAAAGATGGGAACTTAGGTAGAGATTAAATGTTTGCTGAAATATTTATATCCAAAGGACCCATTGCCATGAGGTGGAGTTCAAGACAGATGAAGACCACTTAGTGTGGAAGGTCCTCAGGGATGGACACGGTTCATGCGCTAACTAAAGGGTGGACGATGTATGTGTGTTAGGGACAGAAGGGTTTAGTGGGCTTCAGTTTTAAAAATAAAAACAGGGAACAGAAATCAAACATAGTTTTCAGTTACCATCTTGAAGGGGAGCCATAATTATAGCCTAGAGACCAATGCTACAGAAACTTTGAAGGATTTTTTAAGTTTGTGACTTCACTGTATTTATTGTCACTGCTAGGTTTGGGCTTTTTTGTAGTTATTAACAGTAAACCCTTAAAACCAAAAGGGACTTTGCGGTTATCTTGGGGAAAACAAGGAAGAAGAGAGAACTAGGCAGACTGACTCCCATACCACTTTCAGATTTTTGGGAGAAAAACCACATAGGCAATCAATAAAATGAAAATAAGAGTAAAGGGTGCAGAGGAGGCAGGCATAGCCTAAAAAAAGACTCAGAGTTTAACAATAGGAGGGCTCATTTGGTGGCAGGAACCAAAGCCTGTGGCATTAAGCAGAAGACAGAACAAAGCCACATCAGGGAGGAGGCCGAAAAAGACCGAAGCGAACAGCAGGGGACGTCCAGGCTGGGAAAGGAGCAGAAAGGGACGCTAGCCCCTAAGGAAGGTGTCACCTTGCACACTGCATAGGCTATGGCTGACCTGCAACAAAGCTCAAAGGAGTCACCTTCCATGAGGTCCAAGGGCCTCCAGGATGGAAAGAAAGCTCTTGGTTTCAATTCCCGGCATGTACTTTTCTTCTTGAAGTGAGTTTAGATCACGTTTCAGCAAACGTCCTCCTGCAGAGAAAGGCCTTCATATTAAAAATAAAGTTCACTGGAGACACACTTGATATTTCTAGTGGCATTTCTACCTGTCCAGCCCAGGGAGGATCTTAGTTCCATTGTCCATCACTGTCTCACCCCAATCCCTCATGCAATTCAAGTTGTTGGGTTTAATCTTTGTAGCGTTAGCAGTGTGGAGCCTAATTGTTTCAGAGGTCATGCCTGATGCTGCACAACCCGGCTGGATGGAACTGCATTCTGGTGCTGATTTGAACTTGAGAAGAGCTGCAGTGTTTCACTGATATGGGGTAAAAGGAGGTTTGGGGATGAGGGGTAAAAGAGATATCTTCCAACACCCTTTCCTGTCCCATGTGTTCAAATCCCTGCTGTGCTGCAAACACATTGCTTGTTCTGGTGAGGTTAGAAGCCTGGCATCTCAATTTATCTGCTTTGCTATAGGATTTAAAAAGAAAAGTTCTCCTAAAGTAAAAAACGTAGTTTGGTTGCCTCTAATAAAATGTATATGGGACTGACTGGGTATGCATTTACTACATGAAATAAGTATACAGAGTGAGGTCTTTGCCTCAAGTTAATCACTAGGCATCTTTCATTTATCTGTTGGTTGGCATGAGTGTGCTGTGGCAACTTTGACAAAAGTAATCTCATTTTAACCTTGGTTGGGTGGGTGTTTCAGACTTCCACACTGAAACAAAATGGCAGCCAAATCCTTTTAAACATGCCTCTGTCCACAATTTGCAACCGATTTTGGATTTTTGTGAAATATGACATATTAGCAGAGATTGTACAAATAGATGTGAGTGCCATGAATGTCAGTCTATGAATGACACTTTTGGGTTTGAATGATGCTACAACATTCCACCTTACTTCTTCCTAGTAGTATCTCATGAAAGTGGCTTGTAAATGGCTGCTCCTGGTGGGACCGCAGGCAGATTTCAACACAGTCTAGACCCCATGAAGGAGGCAACTGCTCATCACTCCACCCCTTGGGATGGGAACTGAAACCTTGTAAGAACTGCCTAAAACGGTAGCACACTAATTAAGTGGAGAGGCAGAGTTATAAAATAAATCCGGTCTGGTACAAAGCAGGCTATGTGTGGGAGGGAGCGGGGGAGATGGGCAGAGGGTGGGGAGACAGGCCAATTTAGCAGAGATGGAGCCATGGCACATTTGATGAAGACGCTTTCAGAAGTAATTGTTACTGTCGCTTTTCAGCCCTCTGGAAAAATAACCTGAAGCACCAAGAGAAATGAATTTTCTCTCAAGTCACTAAGTAAAGAAATCCTCAAAATAATGATTTTATACTTCCCAGTGGAAGAGAAAGAAAGAGCACAAGAGACAGAGAGAAAGAAAGTGGAAGAGAGAGAGAAAGTGAAAGAGAGAGAGAGAGAGAAAGAGGGAGAAAGAGGAAGAGAGAGAGGGAAGAAGGAAGAAGTAGTTCTGCTTTCTTCCGCTTGAAATTTTGAATAATGAGACCCATAGGCTGGAAGGGAGGGCTCCCAGATGAGTAAGTGAGTATAGGGGATGGACACAAGCAGGAACTCAGATGGGCCCGTATCTGGAGTGATCTCGCTCTCATTTTCTACATGAGTGAGAGCGCAGCACAGACTATCAATCACAGTCAAAACTCCTCAGAAAGCCACCTTTGGCTGTGCTCCTCTCACCTCCTCTCTCCTAGCCCCCTCCCTCTCCGAAAAACAGGTGTATTATGGGTGACCAGAATTTTGACCTGCTCCTTTGATGCTATGTAATTTATGTTTTGTTGCAGCGGTGTTTTCTTTAAACTAGACCTGTGTTGTATCTCATCTGGGTATTACTGCTTCTTTCTGTCATTGGATTTTAACACAGAATTCTTGCAGACTCACTTAGCAAACATTTACTGAGCAAGGACTATATCGCTATGTTGAAGCCTGCTTGTAAATCCTTCTTACCAAGGTCTAAATGGCTGTTTGCTTGAAATGTCAACTATTCTTGGAGATAGCTGCATTTTCTAATAATTTGAGGACCTAAGTTATGGATGGGAAGTTATCTTACAGTTCGGGGGTTAGGGGAGATGTCCGGGTGTGCTTCTTGTTGAGAAGGGCATTTGGGTGCCCTGGATTATGGCCGCAGGACTGGTCGCAGACTGTTATCTCTTAGGGGTAAATGGCTCAGAAGGACACAACAAACATCTTTTTGGACTCCTCATCTTGATTTTGGTACCTAGATAGTAAGGTTCTTTGGGAATAGGAAAGCCTTAGAATATTAACAGCAAACAGTTTCTCCAACCTCTTTCTTTATGTGTCTCTAGGCATTCGGGATCAGAATTCTGCCCTCATTTCTGATAGTGGCAGAGGGGCAAAGGTCACCTTCCTTCAGACAGGTGACCTCTCCCCACAGCCTAGGGAAGGAGTATGAGAATAATGGTCCTACACAGTGGCAGGAAAATCAAATTACTTTTCTAAGACTGTTTGGGGTTTGCCTTTTTAAATCATTGCTTCATTAGTGTATCATTCTCTGTCTCCCTGATCTTATATTTCAGTTTCTGGCAGGTTAATCAGAAGGCTGTAGCTAAATCTTCTACTGTCTGTAGGGCACTGGCCACCCTCAGACACCCCCAGAGCTATGCATGAGGGCTCTTTGGCAACACCAGTTACTTTCTGCCCAGGTTGCTATATCCCTGAGTCCTGCAGCTGCTGGTTACCATGTACGCCTCCCCTTGGTTTCATTCTCAGAATGTCACAGTGACCAGCTTGCAGGTGGCATCCTGCTGTAGATGCTGGCACAGACTTTCAACCATTATGCTGCCTGTACTGATTTTTTCCATTAGTTGATGCCAATGATACTCACTTTGATCTTTCCCTCCTCCTTTTCCCCATTTACTCTTTCTGAATCACTCAGGCTCAGGAAACAGAAAAAGAAGCCCTTCGTTGTAAGGCTAATCCTAGGATTTCTAGGTTTCTTTTGACTCAAATTCTGAGCAGCCTGGACCCCACAGGCCTTGTTGACTCCTTCCTCACTGTGTTCCCAAGCTCCTGTCTTTTCTCCACACTTCCCATGCCAAACAGACATGATTTTTGATTTCTTCTCTTTTGTTGAATCTGCTAAATGTGAAATCCGGATGATTCCACTAATGTCAGACACCACCAATCTCTGAACAGTCCCATTATGCTTACCTTTCTTGCTGCAATCTGTCAGGAACAAGCTTATTTCATGTTAAAATAAATGGGTTTCACAAGTGCTGCAAACAGCATTTGTTGCCTGTCAGTGAAAATATGAGTGTGGGTTAAAGTTGAGAAGGATCGTTTAGATATTGGGGGTCTTGATGCTCTGTGAGGAATGAATACAATCCCTAGGTGAAATAACCCAACAAAATGAGTTCTTCCACTACGCAGGGAAGACATCCTGGAGCCATGAGGAAAGGATGTTACTTCTGTTGCAGAGCAGTGCAACACTGATGAAAAGGTGAGGGAGGGATGCATATGCCTGACAAAAGATTCCCTCCCAGAATTAATAGTTATGTTGACAGTTCACTCTGTGCACTGTTCATTCTAGCACCCAAAGATAATGATTACAACCAGTTCTTACGGGGCACTTTTTATAACTGGTGATGTTCTAAGTATTATACATGATTTTTGTCATTTAATCCTCAGCCATGCTATAGAGGAATACTAGTATTATCTGTATTTTAAAAATGAAGTCCCTTATCTAAAATTGTACAGCTGCTAAGTGTCGAAACTAAACTTTGAACCCAGACAGACTGGTTTCAGACTTTTACTTTTATCCTATATTAATTCCATTTAATGACAATACTTCTAAAATATCAGTGCCTTTCATAGTACTAGCAGATAATAGATGCTCAATGAATATTTGCTGAAAGAAAACATTTGCTAAAAATATTAAATCTTATCAGAGAAGGGAGTAAAGGGTATGGGATATTGTCATTAGTAACTTTGTCTTCCCAGGACTACAGTCTCAGCTAGATGAGGCACTAGGTGCAGGCATTTTGTAGGACACCATGGAAGAGATCAAGATCTCCCCTCCTTGTCCCAAAGGTTCAAAATCTCGGAGTTAGAACACAGCTTCTCTGGTCCAGCCACCCTGAACTCTATTGTGACTCCTTAGCCATGCCATATATATCATCCCTCCACACATTGGCTCTTGTTTCCATTGCCTGAAATGTGCTCTCCTCTTTTGTTCACAGGGAAAACTCTTCATCGCTGTTTAAGGATCACTACTTCTCTATCATTTTATCTGACTTCTGCTTTACGTTTTTGAGTCAAAAGTAGCTGTCCTTTCACATTTCAATTTATATCCAACTCTACCATTTTGCATTATTGGCTAACATTTACCACCTATTTTCCCCACTCAAAGGTGAGCTCTTTGCAGGAAGAGTCACGTTTCATCAGTGTATGTATCCACAATACCAAGCATATCCATAAGGCCAAGCATAGTTCCAGATGCGTTCTGGGTACTCATTGGCATGACTTCACCAAATTGTATTTCCTGCTTGCTGCACTTTGCTCTGTTGTTCCAAAGGCTCAGTGGGCCTGCTTGGGGAGTTCAGGGCCAGAACAATTACAGGGAATGGGCTGCCTATCCTTCTCAAGTTAACTGGCCACCAGCCACTTGCTCCAGGGGAGGGTTAACTTGATTTAAAGGTACAAGATTGAGGAAGAGTATGTCATGAACTTGACTAAATGATTCTCTTAACCAGTGTCAGTCCATTGAACTGTCCCTTCAATTTTAACTGTTCCATCAGCCAAACAGCTTACTCAGCTTTTCAGAGGCCTATTACTTGATCTGAAAACATTGGCAACATTTTGGCCTCCAAACTGACTTTAAGCCTGTTATAGATAATGTGTTCTCTCTGGATTAGGTGACACATCTTGGTCGTATTGGAGAAACATCAGTTATGTCTGTGCCTTGGCTGGTAACAGCCAGAATTGAGGGTGTGCCAGCTTGCACCTCATTGCTAACAGACTCCTTAATTTACCTGCTAAATCTAGTAGACCATTCACTGTTGTCTTAGAATTGAGATGCATAATGTGCACACTTGTTCTTCCTCTACACTTTATTTGCTCAGGTTATTAGATAGTCAAATTCTCTTGGGTTCTGCATTAAACCTTGTCAAAAGAAGCAAGAATGTGAGAAACACCCAATGGGGCTTGATTTCTTTGACGAGACTTGCTATTGCTGCATTTACCCCTCGATAATTGAGTTTCTGTTCCTCCTAATATTTAAACACATCAACTCACTTAATCTTAAGTGTCTCCTTTTCTTGTAATGTCTCCATTCTCATAAACTACTGTTTGTAAAATAAAAGGCTGAAGAAGCCCCTTTGTGTTTTCCTTTTACGGAGGCCTGTGCAGTGAGAATGGAAGCTCTGACTTTTCATGCTTCTTGGGCTATGCATATGCATGCCTCCTGTTTGTCATGCCTGAAATAAATTTTCTACCTGTGTTTTTGCTTCATGCTTTGCACACAGTGCCCCAAATTGCTACTCCATGGGAGACTAGCCAAGGACACGTTGTGTTCCATTTTCATGATGAAATGTAGATTTCCCGTTGAACCTAATCAACCTTCATTTCAAAGGGTTGACAAGGCAGATACTTAAAGAATTCAGTTGGTTAAATTTATGGTACTGAAAAAGGGTCCATTCCAAGAATATTCTCTGATTCTAAAGCTGTAGAATTTTTATTTGATTGTGTATTAAATTACATTTTTATTCACTTCAAGTCCCTGCTTCTCAATTTTGTGTCCCGCATAGAGAGACAAACTTGTTGACAGTCATATTGATCTAACATTCTGTCCCAGACTGAAAACATCTAGTCTTTCAGTCATGTTTCCATCAGATAATTTTTATACCCAATGATATATCTGAGATTTTTGCATGAAAAAATATGGTCTTTTTCTAGTCAGGAAGTAGAAATAATGTACTTTGAATTAGTAAACATGTTCCAGGGATGTGCTAGATTTTAACATCTGCTAAATCATTTTTTGCAACTCTGTGGGGTGGGTGCTGTTGTCTCTTTTTCACAAATAAAGGTATCTGGACTTAGGCTTCTATGGTCTTTCCCCAAAACACAGATAGCAGAGGAGGCAAATCCAGGCTTGCCTTTCCCCAGAGCAATTGCTTTTTTGACATTCTGTAAAATTTTTTTCCCTAAAAATCCTTGTTAGTATGGGAAGGCCAACAGTACTTAGAGTATCAAATGAGACAAAATTCTTCCTGCTTACCCCAGATGTGACCTAAGAATCACTCTCAACACAGCATCTAAGTAGCCACTATCGATTAATTAGTACTAGTATGCAGATTGAAAATTATTTGCCATTCTGTCTGCAAAGCCTGCAAGTGTGGACTTTATTACTAGACCATAAGGTTCATACCCTAACCCACTCTCTCAGCAAAGTAGCTCCAATGAAGAGGGGATGGTAATGCAGAGACCTAAGGCACGAAGACCCACTGACCTGAAGAAGCAAGGGTGGTGTCAGCAGGAGTCATTAGTAACACAAACAAGTGACACACAAATAAGACATCTTGTGTATCCTTCAGCCAGTTGAGAATCTCTCTGGCAAAAAAAAAAAGGTTTATTTACCTTGGAAGTATCCCATAAAGATACAGCAACCAGATTTCTCTCCCACTCTAATTCACTCTTTCAGGTCACTCTAAACATAATATATAATTATGTAACTTAATGATTCATACCCAATTACATGCTTGTTCTCACCCAGTTTGCACATGCTTTCTAACATCATTGTGTACTTGGCTACCCACTCAGCATCCATTTTCTTCTTTCTAGATCACATCTGCATTCCCTGCCCACCTTCTCCCTCCAGCAACTTCCGCAGCCTAGTCATACATTGTGTGCATCAGGCCTTCACCAGCATGCTAAGACTTGTCCAAGAGTCTTGATGTCCTAAACTGCAAGTGACATGTAAAGCTTGGATCCCAAGGTCAAACAGCATGACTTGAGGATAACATAAATAGGTAAAAACATGCACTCCTTCACTCATATGCCATTTTAGAACACTTGATTAACTATGTCTATAAAATGAGAAGTCTTTTTTTGCTCTCTAAACCTGGGCCTGCTTTTAAGCAGGGTTAATATGGACAACAGTAAAGCCCTGGTTTTTCTGAAGTCTAGTATGGATTTGGTTATGTGAAGTTGAAGCCTTCACATACAGCCCTGGAACCAAGCAGAATTGCTTTGCATAATAGAGAAGAAAGTTGGCAAGGAAAGATCCAGGAGTAAATGACAGGAAAAAGGGCAGTTGTGTAATTAGATGCAGAGAAACTCCAGTAGTGGCATGACTGAGAAGTGAATTGGAGGTATAGGTATGTCTAGTGGGAACATTTAAGAGTTTTTTTTTTAGTGTGAGATGTCACACATAAAACTCCTACTTCATCATCTGTTGATACCAGCCCTTATTTTGGCATGATTCCTTCGGTGGACTTGAAAGAGGTACTAAGCTCTCTATATCCGGGGTAAGTGAGGCAAAAACAGAGGGAGCAAGTTTATATGCAGGAGCTGCAGGGGTTGCAGAGGGGAGTCTCAAACAGCCTCAGAGAGACATTTTGGAGTCTGAATTGGAATTATCTAAATCAAGGTATCTAGATTACTAAGTAGAGCCTTTCCCAGTCTAGGGTTCCTTTCTGAAACAAAACACACACACACAAAACTTCAGGAACAATTTTCTCAGTCCTCTCAAGGTTGCAAATATCTAGTATCATTCTAGGTGTGTGGAAGAGAAGCTAAGTTACTATATAATATGGATATTTTAGTGCAAGGGTCAACAAACTACTACTGGGGGCCAAATCCAGCCTATTGTATACTTTTGTAAATAAAGTTTTGTTGCAACACAGATACTCCCACGTGTTTATGTATTGCCTATGGCAGTTTTCATGTATTACCCACAATGCCTAAAATATATTTTGTGTGGACCTTTCATTAAAAGTTTACCAACTCCTGTTTTAGGGCATTAGGTCTTTATTAAGCCTTAAATTTTTAGGAGACCCTAGATGAGAAAGGCTGATTGGTGACATCTTAGATTAAGTAATCAACTTAGAATGGAGCCAGGAATGTGTCCTCACCTCAAATGAACACTAACAGGAGATATTTACTGTACAGACCATTCTGTTCTTTGCCAAGATGACAGTTGAGACTTAGTCATATTTGAAAGAAAGTAGACTAAAAAGAGGAGAACGTTACAGTTGTAACTTTGCCAGGATTCCAGTCTATTTATGACATGGCCTAGGAAACTTAAACCCAGTTGGGGAAAAACTCCCATGAAAGAGTCTATAATGGCCATAGATTTATCAGATTTATACTCAGTCCCCTTTCTCAGAGAGACATATCTCTTCTAAATTTAGACATGCAGTGGTGGCAGGCCTAAGCACCAGTTTGGGGACTTTTTGTTTTGTTTTGTTTTCCCATCTTGTACATTCAAAACCTCTTTTTTGTCTTGGCTTATTTAGAGTGCTTGTACCTGGTGCCTGAGAACCAAGTTGGATGTGGGCTCTGTTTAGAGATATAGCCTCTTTGAGCTTTGTGTGCAGATATTTACCAATCTTGTGCCTCAGTGACCCCACCATGTCTTTTCCTATGGCATTGTTTAATCCTAAGACTTCTGTCGTTTAAGGTTTTTACCCTTGCCTTGACATCCCTTTTAGCTAGGGCATTACCCTTGGAAGGCTCTAAAACAGAGGTTGCCATTGACATTTCTGAAGTCTATGCCCCTAAGCACATCTGCCGTGCAGTTCTTATTTTTCCTCTGCTTTTAGATGTTACAGGCCTTGAGTAACATTTTTTTTCACTGTAATATTTTTCTCCAGTAATGGGATATGTCTCTAATGCTTCATTTTCCTTGCTAGTTTCTCTTTGCCTTTTAAGAAAAGCTCAGCTGAGATTCTGACAGTTTAACTTTCTTCTTTAGTTTGTTCCTTTCATTCTCTACCACAACATGGAAGGCTACTGGTATTAGCTGGACTAAGCACTCTCTTTCCTTTCTCCTTTTTGATCTCTGCCCTAGACAGGGATGATACTCAAGTATTTAACAATTAGTATGGCACAGTCACTAACCAATAGAAAGAAATGCTGACTGTAAATAAGACATATGGCCATGTTGGTATATACTGGTGCGGAATATCAGCCCAGCCCTAGACATTGGCTTTTTAAAAATTTATGAGATATGTATATACATATATTTTATAGTGGGCGGCTTTACAGTAAGACATGATAAGTCAGTGAATTCTGGTCAATAAGGTAATCTATTGTTCAAGCATATCCACTTTGGCTTCCAAACCTGGATTGGTAAACCTAATAGTAGTATTGCAGCAGACCAACATCTAAACCAGAACAGGATTTCATCTTTTATTGTTTTCCCCAGGTCCCTGTTAGTATTTTTTCTGTATTCCTCATATTCTCTTAGAGGTCAAGTTTCACGAATTTTGGCATACTTCAATAGCTGCATCTGCACCATTGTGTGCTGGAGCTGGCTCTCATTGGCTCATAGAGCTGGCTGTGCGCATCTCTTCCAACTTTGTGTTCAGTGACTTTACATTGAATGCTTGAAATCAGTCATGGAGGGAGTATTCATATCTCAGAGATTGACAAATGCTACGAATAAGGTTATTATTTTCCAGAGAGTGGGTTGTTAAACAATAACCAACACAATTCCACCTACAATAACTAGTCTCCTTGAAATTTACCCCAATAATGCTGCAAGTATTTTAAGATGATCTTTCCTAAAGTAGTCTAATTTCTTCTCCTGAAACCTTTTGTATAGCTATTCCAACTTTCAAGAAGTGGTTCTCCAGTTGCTGTTTCATAAATTACCTTCAGCGTTAAAAGGCGCGTTTTCTTGGATCCAGGCTTCCTTTAAGATTGGTTAAGCTCTTATTCTCTTGCTCTGTGGGATTTCTTTGGACTACAGCAACCCTTTTGAATCTAAAACAAAACATTTCCTCCTCTTTTCTAATCTCCTCTCTTTGAGCCATTTGATCTAGAAACATCTCTTTTTCCTTTTTATATCTGTCTATTGGCATCTAAGGTTTTATTTTCACATTAAGATGGGTCTAGGCAGATCTCCAAGAGTTCCCAAGGATTTTTTTTTTATTTCTTCTACAGCTTCTGATATGGTATTAAGATAATTCATATTTTTAAAGCAAAGTCCATTTCTTTTCTTAGCAAGCTTAACTCCTGGGGACTACTCCAGACAAAGACCTTTTTAGCTTTTAAATTCATAACCATAATCACTGCAATTTTTTTAAATTACTTAACCTAACAAGATACCCTATTCTTTCTTTTTTTTTTTTTTTTGAGACAGAGTCTCACTCTGTCACCCAGACTGGAGTGCAGTGGCACAATCTCGCCTCACTGCAATGTCTGCCTCCCAGGTTCAAGCAATTCTCCTGCCTCAGCCTCCTAAGTAGCTGGGACTACAGGTGCACGCTGCGTCTGGCTAATTTTTTGTATTTTTTAGTAGAGACAGGGTTTCACCATGTTGCCCAGGCTGGCCTTGAAATCCTGGGCTCAGGCAATCCGCCTGCCTCAGCCTCCCAAAGTGCTAGGATTACAGGCGTGAGCCACTGCACCTGGCCACCTTATTCTTTATAAAATAAATATTCCTATTCTTTAAAAAATGCTCATTAATAAAATCCACCATCCTTTTGTGGATGAGAAGACAAAGTCTGGGTGTTTAAAACCTGAGGTCTTGGCCAAAACCTAGGTTTATTAATAAATCTGGAGCCAACCCAGTATCATGGCACCAGGGATAACCTTTGGCTACTCATGAACATCCTGCACAATCTAAGAAGTTAGCATCTCCCCACTTCTCAGGCTTGGCCCTGAATGCAATTCAAAATAATATAAAAGAACTAACTTCAAGAATGTACCTCCTCTTCTTTTCAACTAATTTTCTTTCAAATGTAAGCTCTAATATCACCTCTATGAAGATTTCTCTGACTCCCCAGTGTATTTGGTCTTCCCTCTGTACTTTTGTTCGTTCTGTTTTATTATACCTGTATTGTATAATAATTCTTTTTTTCATTGTTCTGTAACACTAGGAAGTAATCTTCCTCGATGAGAATATCTTTTATTCTTCTTCATAACCCCAGGACCTAGGGCAATGTCTGTTGCATTGTTGGAACTTTATAACATTTGGTTGATAATAGAAAGCAGCATTTGTTCTAGGATTTGTCCAGTTTACATTAAAAAAAAAAAAAAGAAGTGTCATGGAAAATCAGTCATTTGATGCAGTGTCCTCCATTTGAAAGTTATTACTCCTTTAGTTTGACCTGGTAGTAGAACAAATTAAAGATAGTTAAGCTACCATTGAGAGGAATTGTTTCATTTTATTCTTCTTCTCCAGTGAGTCCAAAATC
This sequence comes from Homo sapiens, assembly GCF_000001405.40. Classification (NCBI taxonomy): domain Eukaryota; kingdom Metazoa; phylum Chordata; class Mammalia; order Primates; family Hominidae; genus Homo; species Homo sapiens. The sequence goes on along the minus strand of NC_000001.11, from coordinate 177,468,223 downwards.
TACTTGGAGTTTTCCATTGGAGGGTGTGATAGTAGAAAGATACAGAGTAGCATCTTGCTTGGGTGGTCCAGTGACTTAGTCTAATTCACAAGTACACTCATGGTTTTATGATCTAAGGAAATGGGTTCAGGGTTTGAAGTCAGACAATCTGGATTTCTACTGCTTGGTTGTACCAATTAACGTCTGTGTTCTCCTAAGCAGGTCATTTAATCTCAGTGAGCCTCTGCTTGCTTATTCATAAAATGGACGTAATAATATCTATTCCCAGGAGCTGATTTGAGGAATATATTCAATACTTTGTAAACATTTATTCTCTAGAAATCAGTATTTTTATGGGAGTGATGATTGCTAGAGTCAGCTAGAGTTAACTGTGGGCTTGGACCCTAGTAAGTAAAAGAGAAACCCAGTATAATTATGAACCAACTGCCATTTCTCCTCTGACATTTAAGGATGTTCATCTTTCTCATCACAAAAAGATTTAGCTTGGAAATAGCCGTGCTTCATGGCTCACCCTAAAGTGAGATTTTTTTTTTCTTTTTTGAAAGTTTGAACTGATACAATTCCACTGCTTCTCTGCCTCTAAGTCAGACCACACAGGCTTCTTTTTCCTTCAAGTCCCCCTCTCAAAAAAAAAAAAAAAAAATACTTCAATCTCTTTCTTGTGATTGTATAACTCAGAAATGTCTAAAGCTATAAGCTTCAAACTTGTCAGTGTTCTTATCCTCACAAAGACAGAAAAATCAAGGAAAATTTGAAGGAGAAAAATTTCACTTTTTTTTCTTTTAAGCTCTTTAAATGAAAAACAAACTGTGGAGTTATTATTTATGTGTTTTCATTCTCCTTGCTAATAACATCACATTATTGCCTAAGGAGATTTCAATATCACTAGACTATTGATATATAGGATACAGAAAATTCCTATTATAATCAGAGATGGTGTATAAAGCTTGTTCTGGTCCCTGTAAGCAAAAAATGCTTTTCATCTTCTCTTGGAGTCTTATAATTTGTATCCAGGTCTAATAATGAAGCCATATTTTGGTAAACAAAGAGAAGATTTTCTTCAAGGTATTTTCCAACCCCAAAATCCTCCCCTACTTTTAGCACAAATTAAATTTTAATTTCAAGTCTTCCTTTACTTGCAAAGATTTATTTTTTGTGAAAAGACAAATGGTAGTTATTAACCACAAACTCTATTGAATAAATAAAGAATCTGAAAGAGTTTTTGAAAAGATTTGAAGGAGATTGTGTATATGGGCATGGTATGTAAAATTAGCAGGAAGAGGCTCGGGAAGTAAAATAAAGAGAATGAAGCAGTTACCATATAATTGACCATTTTATATACGAAAGAAGGGACATACTTAACTGGTACTCACATACATGGAATGATAATTCAAAGGTCACTAAAAAATATGGGAAAAAAGAAGCAGTAAGAGTCTTGGTCAGGAGAGGTAGTGGAGAGAGCAATGTGGGAGTGTGAGATAAAGGACAGAGAGATGCTCAGAGGATTTACTTACATCTTGTTCCTTGTCCAAGAGTGACAGACATGTGAGGTGGGGCAGGCTTGGCTGGCTGAGTTTTCCTACAGAATAATTATTTATTGTGTCCTTTGGTAGGTTTTCAATCAGCCATGAGATTTCCATGTGCTGAACACAGAAGATACAAAAAGTCCACATAGTCAGCTAATCCCCAGGTACCTCTTTTCTTAGGTCTTCTCATCAGGAGTGATTCACAGTTTATAGTTGTGCATGCACACACATGCAAGCGAGTGAGAGAGAGAGAGATAGTGACTGAGGGCATAGATTCTGGAGTCAAACTGTGTGGTTGCAAACACTAACACTATTCCTTACTAGATGTGCAAGTTACTTAACCTCCATACGCTTCAATTGCTTCATCTGTAAAATAGAGATAATAATGCTACCTACCTCATTAGCTGTTGTGGTAACTAAAGAATTCATACATTTAAAGCTTTTGTTAGTAATATATTCTATCAATTTTGCCCTGTTGTAACTCTGGAAAAACATACTGGATGTCATGGATAATTATACTACCTGACTGTATAGAGCTTCTTAGCAGTCTATCAGATGATTGGTTACCGCATATACATTGACCACACTTGGATCAGATTTGTTTGTTGTCCAATCAATCAGTGGCCAACCCTTTTTTATGAAACAGCCAAGGGCTATTTCCCTCAGGAGAAGGCTGTGGGCAGACAGTTTTCCTTAGGTGGTTATTTGGTTTGGCTGTGTCCCCACCCAAATCTCATCTTGAATTGCAATTCCCATAATCCCCACATGTCATGGGAGGGACCCAGCGGGAGGTAATTGAATCATGGGGGCGGCTACCCCCATGCTGCTGTTCTCATGATAATGAATGAGTTCTCACGAGAGCTGATGGCTTTATAAGGGGCTTTTTCACTTTTTGCTCTGCACTTCTCCTTTCTGCTATCATGTGAAGAAGGACATGTTTGTTTCCCCTTCTGCCATGATTGTAAGTTTCCTGAGGCCTCCCCAGCCCTGTGGAACTGTGAGTCAATTAAACCTCTTTCCTCTATAAGTTACTCAAACTCGGGTATGTCTTTATTAGCAGTGTGAGAATGGAGTAATACAGAAGGGATGGTGAATGTGGCAAGTTCCATGACTGACAAGCCCATGTTAGGAGGCATTAGTGTAAAGAAGATGCTTTATCTAATTAACTAAATCCATCCATCATGCTGCTATTAAAATCTCTGACCCTTCTTTCTTTCTCATTTAACTCATGTAATTACTTCAATTACACATTTCTTCAATTATTATAATTATGTATTATTTGTGTTGAAGTCATTCTTAGGTGGTACAACATTGGCAACATAATCTCTGTTTCCTTCCTGTCTTTATATTCAATTTCAGTGTCTTTATAATAATACCTGTTAGTTTTGGGGCCAGAATCTTGTCCCTCTTGTTTATTGCTATTTTTTCAGCATTAGAATAGTGCTTGACTTGTGACAAGGGCTCAATAAACATTAGTTGAATGGATTAATAAAAAGGAGGCTTAGAAAGGCAAAGTGGTCAGGTGTTGGGTGATAATTGGGCATACATTTCATGGGTCTCCCTCTAATGTTTAATGTCTAACGTTCATCTATTTTACGATGGAAATGTACCTATTATTCATTTTTTACTGTTTTTTTTTTCTTACTGGACCACAGTAAAGCCTCTGGAGGTTGTGCGGTGAGCTAAGCCAAGTCCTGAATAGGCAGGAATAAGGGATAGAGGTGCTCACACTGGCAGTTGAACTGGCATATTGTTGTTTTTTGGAAAAAACTATCCCCAGAGTCACTCTGCAGTTGCCATGGATACTATCTTGGGTGCTCTGAAGTGTCATTCCACAGTGAAAAGAATCATGCAGAGTTGGGCTTAAATCCCAGGTCTGCTCTTTATTGCTGTATGTCCTTGAACAGGCTATTTAAACTTTCTAGAGCCTCGATTTCCTCATTTTAAAAATGCATAGATAGCAGAGTTGGTTTGAGGGTGATAATAATAATAGTTGCCATATAGTAAACATTTCCCATTTACTAGTCAAAGTGCTACCTATTTAATCCTCCTCAATTATTCTGTGAAGTAGGTTTTATTACTCCTGCCTAACAGATGAGAAAACTGAGGTGTGAAGAGGCTAGCTAATTTGTCAAAGATCACACAACTAGTAAGAGATGGAACTAAGATTTGGCTTGAATCTCATACCTTGGCCAGAGATAATTCATGGAAAAATGCCTGGCACATATCATGCATTTAATAAATAGAACTATCTCATTCTCATCATTTCTTTCCTTGTCAGAGAGCTTTTAAGACCCTCCTTTCCACCCACCCCAGTTCCTCATACATACTCACGAATTTTAGAGACCTTGTAAATGAAGTGAGACCACAGCCAACAAAACTGGCTGCTTTCTAGTCAATGTCAGGAAAGAAAAGTCCACTTCCTTGATTTGAGGATCATTCAGGGGTTGATATGTATCTTATAGTGGCATGCTCAGATCCCAACATCTGGGTAACAATAGACGAGGGTAGGCTTCTCTGCCTAAGTAAACACAGAGAAGTGGGGTGTTAGGACCTTTTTCCTATTTACCATTGTGTGTCGGCATTGCCTTTTCAAGCCCCTAAGCAAGATATGAGAGATTCTATATAAAACCAAATTTGATTCTGTCCTCTGGATCAAATAAATGATTACACCCTGGAGGGCTAAAACTATTATACAAGAAGAAAGGGAAGAAGAGGGTAAATGCTGAGATGGGGAATAATTACTGCCAAAGGTGAAGGTGATTGACTGGGAGTATGATACCTGTGTAATTGAGGCAAAGAGAATATAAAAATCTGTGCTTGTTTCTAGAGTGTGCATTCAGAGGTCCTTGGCGACTGGTATGTACTGCAGGTGGGTGCTTAAATGTTTGCTTCTCTTGGATCTTTGCTTTTATAATCTGTTTTTACAAGGACTATTTAAGGAGTCCACTTTACTGCTGGCAGGGGAGTGGAGCACAATAAAGCTATATTTAAAAAATAATTCCAGTTATCTTAAATTTCTTATGGCATTCCTAGAGTATTAAATCTGCAGACAAAGGTAATGTGCAACTCTCTCCTGACCTTAAAAAAGACTTCTGATAATGGTTGAGTTTCCCAACATAAGTTCTGATGGTGGAGTGAGTGGGAGGGGAGACCAGAGAGCCTGACCTGGATCTGCCTGTGTAATCTCCTGGCTTGGGAGTGGTGGGGTTCTATTCTTTGTTAGAAGCTGGACTTTTTTTCTGATTTTTTTAGGAGGCTATTTCAGGTTATCCTTTTGGACTCTAGGGAGAATTACATCTCAGCCAACCAGTTATACTGAACAAATAAACAAGGGGCAAGGAAAGGTTGTAGTTGTAGTTGAAGAAATTCTGTCTAAGATCTTGGTGTCCTCGTCTCCCTGTCCACTTACTAGGTTGCTGATATAGTTTGGCTCTGTGATATATGTTTGGCTCTCATCTTGAATTGTAGTCCCATAATTCCCACATGTTGTGGGAGAGACCTAGTGGGAGATAATTGAGTCATGGGGCATTTTCCTCCATACCGTTCTCATGGTAGTGAATAAGTCTCACGAGATCTGATGGTTGGATCAGGGGTTTCCGCTTTTGTGTCCTCCTCATTCTCTCTTTGCCTACTGCCATCCATGTAAGACAGGACTTGCTCCTCCTTGCCTTAGCCATGATTGTGAGGCTTCCCCAGCCACATGGAACTGTAAGCTCAATTAAACTTCTTTGTTTTGTAAATTGCCCACTCTTGGGTATGTCTTTATTAGCAGCGTGAAAACAGACTAATCCAATTTCCAGTTTCATTTCCACAATGAGTTTGGGGCTCAGTCTGGATGTAATATGGTTTGCTAAAGAAATATGCTACTCTGTGGGAAGTTTGGAGCTCATACCGGTTTTCCCTGATTCGTTTTTCTCTTCCTCTTCTTCTCTCTCATCTTCCTCTTTTTCCTCCCTGTCTTCCTCCTCTTTCTTATCTGCTTCCCTCTCTTCCTCTTCTTCCTCCTTTTCTAAATGTCCTTCTCAAATGGACATTAGGTTTCATACACTCTCCTACCTCTACTTCCTTTTTCACTTTACTTTGTTTTCCTTTCTCCATCTGTAAAACCTAACCCATCTTCTATAGTTTTGTTCTGAATATCTCTTCCTTCTTCCTCCACAATATTTTCCATTTCTTCAAAATAATATTACTTATTCACCACCTTTTTCAAAAGAACTCACATTTTTAATGGTCATCAATCCCCCCATCCACTGGGGGACAGAAATGGAGGTGAAAAGCTTTGTTCCTCAAGATACAGATGGATTGACAGAAGGGGAAGAATGGAGCAGGAAGACTTGCCCCAGGCCACCGGACAAATTAGCCTGGACTGAGTGCAGCCTACTTATTTCTGGATGGCTCTGTTGGTCCCACCCAACAGGAGACCATTTTGTCAACTGTCTGAACATTCATACGAAGCGTTGAATTTATTTATCTGTTGGTTTTCATTCCCATCCCCAATAAGGCTGTAATTATTTGCTTTTTGAAGGCAGACATAAATATTGTTAAAAGCCTTCCATAGGTTTACTCACCCACCATGCTAAGAAACACAAAAGGAGCAGCAGGGCAGCAGAGACAACACTGGTGAGAGTGTGGTCATGGCAGCATTGCAACCCAGCATTCAGGAAGGCTTTGATTCTGAGAGAAGCAGAAAGTCAGTGGTGAGAGCCCAACAAAATACCTGAGCACCAATCAGCAAAGGAAGAAAGGAGCATAGGGTGGTGGGCCTTGTGAAAGGTGTAGTGAAATGTACTGCGGCTAGAATTGGTAAAGAGGCAGAAGCCAAGCCAGTGTGGGTGGTACAGAATCAACACAGATGGGTGAAGCAGGATGGGGTAAGAAGGCTAAGCTTAGAGGGCTGGGATGGCCTTAGAGCTGCACTACCTAGTACCCCTTCAAAGAACTAGTTGCTGCAGCTATATGGAGGGCTAGCTGCAGACAGCCTTCAGCCCTCAGGCCACTTAGGGATTGCATCAGCTATGAAAGTACCTGCCTGAGGTGACCCGAATCTACTGACTGGCAGAGATGGGAAGAAAAAACCCAGTCATTTCAACCCAATGCAGGACCAGTTTGTTGGGGCATTAGAGCCCCAGAGCTTCCTGTGGGATTGGCTGACACTATTGTTTGGGTTTGTATTGCAACTCAATTCCTCTCACTACCCACAGTGACTTCCCTGATGAGCATCCTCCACACTAACCTCCATCTCAGTCTGCTTCCTGGAGAACTCAACAGTTGGTACCATGAGTAGTCCAAGAAAGCAGGTGTTAAGATGGAATTTTGGAGCTAGGTGACTTACTTACTACCCATCTGGCAATGAGGATCCCATCACCAGCAGAGCACAGACAGTCCCTGGCACAAGGCAGAAGTTCAGTTATTAAAACTTTCACCAGGGTTGAATGGTATACAGTGGAAGGGAATGTACTAGCTGATAATGTTGTGCACCAAGTGTTTGAGAAATATGGGAGAAATTGTAACTAGAAGAACAATGGAATTGAGCAGCAATTGCTAAGCTCAATCGATGCACTAGACTGAATGTCAGGAAACCTTGGCCTATGAACCAAATTCTGCCCACTGCTTGTTTTTATAAATAAAGTTTGATTGGAACAAAGCCATTTCCATTCATTTACATATTATTCATAGCTATTTTGCACTACAAAGGCAAGGTGAATAGTTGTGATAGAGAGTTTATGGCCTCAAAGCCTAAAATGATTACTATGGTCTTTATGAGCCTATAAGGAAAAAGTTTGCTGACTTCTGAACAACAAGAAAGAACAGGGAAAGAGAAAGATTATCAAGCAATTGCAAAACCAAGTGTGAAACCCAGAAGACTGTTTTGGCAAAGCACAAAGGGGCTCTCATCTCATGCAGTGGGAGGTTTGAGAAAGCTACAGAGCTAAACCAGGACTTATTCAGTGAAGTAACTGAGCTCCAAAAACAGGTAAATTCTCAACCAAGGCAGGTCTGCTATGCTAAGGTGAGGACTCTGGTTAGAAAAGAAGAGAACACTGACACATAGGAGAGGAGCATCTAGGCTGATGCCTCCAACAATCTTGACTTTCCAGGTGCCTCTGAACCTTTTGAGCCTATAGAAGTGCCCCCTATCCCTATTAAGAGCTAGCATACCCCCTTTATTATTTGAAAAAAATGCAGAGATCTCTCCTCTGAGAAATAACATGTGTTCCTCTCAATATCTGCCCTATCTTCTCTCCTGGTCATTAGACTTACTTACGTCTAGCAGCCAGACGTGTGCTGGGCCTGGAAAGAAAGGAAAAAGACTTTGTCTGAGTGGAGCTGTGGGGTTTAGACAGCATATACTGACAGGAGATGGGGGAGTAGGTGTAGGACTGGATTCTGAGGTCACTTGATCAAGGGCACTAAAAATATGGTTGGTGTATTAGTCCATTTTCATGCTGCTGATAAAGATATACCCAAGATTGGGGAATTTACAAAAGAAAGAGGTTTAATTAGACTTACAGTTCCACATGGCTGGGGAAGCCTCACAATCATGGCAGAAGGCAACAAGGAGCAAGTCACATCTTACGTGGATGGCAGCAGGCAAAGAGAGTGTGTGTAGGGGAACTCCTCTTTTTAAAACCATTAGATCTCGAGAGACTCATTCACTATTAGGAGAACAGTGCAGGAAAGACCTGCTCCCATAATTCAATCACCTCCCACTGGGTTCCTCCCATGACACATGGGAACTGTGAGAGTTACAATTCAAGATGAGGTTTGGATGGGGACATGGCCAAACCATATGAGTTGGTTAAGAGAAATTTTATTGAATTAGGAGTATTCTTTTGAGTTACAGGATTTAATACTGTGGCAAGGACCCTAGAGATATGGCAAACTGGTTACAAAGATAGCTCTGGGAACATAAAAATGCAATAGCCCACACCTAGTAAGGATAAAATGTCATAGTTTTTATGGAAGAAGATGGAGGAAATTAATAAAAAAAGTTAAGAAAGTAGGTATGCCAAAGGGGATATAATATCTAAAGCCCAAAACCCCACCTGATATTGTGTTCTATGGGAAGACCCAGCAGGTATACAATTTACCAAGGCCATTAGGAAAGCTCTGATGAGAGGATCACTAACATCAAGAAGTTTAGCAATGGCTCTTGTTTATAGACCACTGATAATGGTAGGAGAAACCATTACAGAACAAAGCTCACTGATTGATAGCAATGGGGTGATTGGATCACCAAAACAATTGAACCTAGGTGACAGCACTTAACGGTCAGGTGGATGTGATTTTTATAAAAAGCAGCAAGGTTGGAATGGTAGCCAGGAAGATATGATCTGCAGAGAGTTATGAATTGTTAACAGACTGTGGCATCCCTCAGGGCTAAATAAATGTGCATCTAACAAGGGTTCAACCTGTATCATGAGAAGAAATCAAAATGGATCATCAGGAGGCTCAGGCAGTCACCCTAATAAAAATTATGTTTCTTTGCCAACTTTCTTGTCCTGAGACAGTTTTCAGATTCTGAAGCCATTGATTGAAGAGGAGACTGGGCCTGTGGGAGGAAAGACTGTTAACACCATGGCAAAAATCCACAGTCATGATCTCTCCAGTCCTCACACAAAGGGATTTATAGCAATTTACTCAGGGACATTGTAAAACAGAATACCTAAATATTTCAAGACTGTTGGACACAGTCTTAGAGTTAATATTGATACTTGGAGACATGAAATGTTTTTCTGGTTTGTTAAGATAATATTATATAGGGCTTAGGTTAAACGTAAACTGTGAAAAAATGCAGCTCATGGGTTCATTTGGTTTGCGATTACCTGCGGTAATTTCCCCAGTACCCAAAAGTATAAATAAGCTAGAAATATCTGATAATTGTGGAACCTCCATATTTTGGTCCTTGGCCTGTGAGGTAAAAGCTATCTATCATAGTAGGCAATGGTCAAATGCAAGTGCCTGAACTTCCCTACCCCTAGACAAGATATTAAATAAAAAACAATACTGCATTCCATGGGAGAAGAGAAGTTAGTGCTACCATTAAGGATCTAAAGAAATCAGGAGTGGTAGTCCCCCTCCTATCTTCATTTAAATCACCAGTCTGGTCCCTGTAGAAAAACCAGACTGATCCCATCACAAACTTAAACAAGTTGTAATCTGTATTGCATCTGCCATGCCAGACGAGGAATCTCTTGTCAAAAAAGTTAACATGGCCTCAGGTACATGGAATGTACCCATTGACTTGGCAAATGTGTGGTTCCTTATTCTGGTTAGAAAAGAGGATCAGAAACAGTTTGCATTTCCATGGACCAGACAACAGTATATACATTTACACCCTCCACATCCCCAAACCCACTCAGTGCTAATCCTACTATCTTCTGTCATAATACAGTCTAAAGAGATTCAGGTCATGTGGATATCCCAAAGAATATCACATTGATACACTAAATCAAAGACGTTATGCTAATCATGTTGGGCAAATGAGAAGTGACTAGCATGTTTGAAGTCTTAGCATACAGACTCTGAAGAAGGTAGAAGATAAACTATGAAGATTCAGGGGCCCACAACATCAGTAAAATCTGAAGTCCAGTGATCAGGGGCATTTTACAACATCCTCTTCAAATAAATGCAAATTATGCATCTCGTTCCTCCTGTCACGAAGAAAACAATAAGCCTTTCAGACCTTGGAATCAGTATAATTCACACTTCTCATATATTACACGATACAAAAGGCTGCTAGCTTTGAATGGGGCTAGAATAGAAAAAGGTTCTTCAGCATGTCTACGCTATGGAACAAGCAGTCTGCCACTGGGGTCATATAAGATAGCACACCTTATAGTGTTAGAGATATAATTGGTGGGAAAAGATGCCATGTGGAGTTTATGGCAAACTCCAATAGGAAATCACATGGTGTCTTGGAGTTCTGGAGCAGGGTCATGCTATCTACAGTGAAGAATTATACCCTTTGAAAAACAGCACTTGGAATGCTACTAGGCCCTAGGAGAGACAGAGTAAAGACAGAGATCATGGAGCATCAAGTGGTTATGCATCTGGAACGTCTCATCAGGATCTAGATTTGGTCAGGCCTACCAAATTGCATGGTTGAGCAGGCCAAGAAACAATTCATTGTAAAACGTAGTTGTGCCTTGTACGTCTGGGATCAAGTACAAAAAGGACAAGAGGGCATAGGCAAGCAGGACAAACAGGTGGCCCAGATCCCATGTCATCCATCACTGTGTAGCAGCGCTCCCCTCTCAGTTCATACCAATGACCTGTGGGATTGCCTTACAACTGGCTAATGAAAGGAGAAAATTAACAGAGCTTTGTTTAAGGATGAGTTAGCTCTTTATGTGGGTGTGTGCTGAAAATGGATGATAGGTGCACTACATGGGCACTCAGGGGTGGACTTGAAAGATAGATTGTGGCAAACAATCTTCCAATAGGCAGAGCTTCAGGCTAAGCAGAGTCATACACTTTGCGTTGAGGAAAAAAAATGGCCCAAGGTTATAATTTACATAGACTCATGGGCAGTGGAGAATAACCCGGATGACTTATTAGGAGTCTGAAGAAAAAAAGATTTGGAGATTGAGAGCAAGAAACTATGGGGTTTGAGGCATGTTAGTAAATATACGGAAGTGGAGAGAAAATGTGAAAATTTTTGTACCACATGTTAATACTCATCAGAGAATACCCATCTTGAATGAAACTCTAAATTACCAAGTAGACAAAGTAACTTGGCCAATTGATTTCAATTAGCCTCTTCCGTTGGTCATCCCAGTGCTGATCTAATGTCACACAATGAAGTTTTGCTCATGATGGTACAGATGAAACCTACAAAGCACCCAAAATATTATGTATGGGCTCCTACTTTTCAAGGCTGATCTAGCTACTGCCACCACTGAATACCCAAACTGTCCACAAAGAAGACCAATGCTTAGCTTATAACATGGCACCAACTCTTAAGGAGACAAGTGGATACTTGGTGGCAAGCTAAATATATTGGTCCCATTTTATCCTGGAAAGGGGCATCATTTATCCAGAAAAGAATAGACATATGTTCTTACAATAGGCTTTCCTTTTCTTCCTCAGGCAATACCACTGTCCGAGGGCTTAGCGTATGACACTATATAACATCATATAAGAGCGGCAGACCAATTTTGCAGTAATTAGACTTTCATATGGTGTTCTGTTCCTATTAGTGAGACTACCTGAGTCTGTAAATCGGGTGAAAGCAGAAGTGCTCCAGTTACCAACATTTTTAATTGATCTACTTGAGGAATTTGTGTTTCTGGCATCCACAGATTTAAAGATTTTTGTCCCCAAATGGAAAACACATTATAAAGCAAGCATCCCATTGAAGTGAAAATTATAGTCACTACCTGGGAATTTAGAGTTATTTGTGTCCAACTACCAATAGGCATGAAAAAGCATAATCTAGGCAGGGGAAACTGATCCTGATCCAAGAGGAAATGTGATTGCTATTACCTAAGGAGTCTATTTGACATCCAGCTGATCTACTTGGGTACCTTTTGGTTCTCTGTTGCTTATTTTTAATAGCAAGTGGATGAGTGCAGAAAACTCAGCCTAATAAAGGCATTTGACCAGGAACTCAGACCACTCATGAGTTCCATTTCACACCATCAGGTAAGGTCACACCACCATATAAAATGAAAATCCATTTCACACCCATCAAGGTAAGCCACTGGGAACAGCAGAGGAACTAGATGAGGATGAGGGAATCTAGAATGATAGTGTAATAGGAAGATGATTAGTATTAGTTGTGGCTCTGAGATCAACTCCAGTTTATCCCAATAACTGGGGCCAGGACTAGAATGACGGGACAAGGTGCAAAATTTAGGGAGACATTCGAGGTCATGCAAATGCTGACCCTGCACCTGTATGATCCTGAGGATGAATACTTCCTTAAGAATGAAGCATCTGCAATCCATCAGAAAAACAAAACATTTATAACATATAGGAGCATAACAAAAGTTTTAAGCATATATGAACCGAACAACAGAGTTCCAAAATACATGACATAACAACTGATAGGATTGAAAGGAGAAACAGATAATTCGACAATAATAGTTTGAGACTTTAATACCTCATTTTAAATAATAGAACAATTAGGCACAAGGTTAACAAAGAAACAGAAGACATGAACAAGGTAGTATTCCAACAAGATCTGACATCTGTGGAATACTTCACTTAACAACAGTATAATACGCAGTCCTCTAAAGTACCCACCAAACATTCTTCAGAATATATCATATGTTAGGCCATAAAACAAGCTTCAATAAATTAAAAAATATGGAAATCCAATAAATTATGTTCTCCAACTATAATAAAATTAGAATCAGTAACAGAAGAAATTTGGGGATATTAAAAAATATACATAAATTAAACACACTCTCAAACAACCAATGAGTCAAGCTAAGGAAATTAAAAAATACTTTGAGATAAATAAAGACAGGAACACAACATACTGAAACTTATGACATACAGCTAAAACAGGAATTAGAGGGAAATTTATAGTGTAAATGCCCATTTTTTTCTTAAAAAAAAAAGAAAGACCTCAAATCCAGTAACCTAACTTCCCACCTTAAAAACTTAGAAAAGAAGAGCAGACTAAACCCAAAGCACACAGAAGAAAGGAAATGAAATAAAAAAGACAAGAGTAGAAATAAATAAAATAGAGAATAGAAAATCAATACAGAAAAATCAATAAAATAGAAAGCTGGAGAGCCAAATCAGGATTGCAATCCAGTCACAACTGCCACAAGAAGAATAAAATATCTAGGAATATAGCTAACAAGGGAGGTGAAAGATCTCTGCAATGAGAATTATAAAACACTGCTCCAAAAAATCAGAGATGACACATACAAATGGAAACTCCTTCCATGCTCATGGATAGAAAGAATCAATATAGTTAAAATAGCCATATTCCCAAAAACAATTTATAGATTCAAGGCTATTCCTATCAAACTACCAATAATATTCTTCATACAAATAGAAAAAACTATATTAAAATTCATATGGAACTGAAAAACAGCCTGAATAGCCAAAGCAAGCCTAAGCAAAAAGAACAAAGCAGGAAGCACTACATTACCGACTTCAAACTATACAACAGGTCTACAGTAACAAAAACAGCATGGTACTGATACAAAAACAGACACATAGACCAATGGAACAGAAAAGAGAACCCAGAAATAAGGCCGCACACCTACAACAATCTGACCTTTTACAAAGCTGACAAAAAGAAGCAGTGGGGAAAGGATTCGCCACTCAATAAATGGTGCTGGGATAGCTGGGTGGCCAGATGCAGAAGACTGAAACTCAAATCCTTCCTTACACTACATAAAAAAATCAACTCAAGGTGGATTAATGACTTAAACGTAAAACATAAATCTATGAAAAGCCTGGGAGATAACCTAGGAAATATTATTTTGGACATAGGACTTGGCAAAGATTTCACGATGAAGACGCCAAAAGCAATTGCAACACAAACAAAAATTGACAAATGGGACATAATTAAACTAAAGAGCTTCTGCATAGCAAAAGAATGTATCAACAGAGTAATCAGACAATCTACAGAATGGGAGAAAATAGTCACAAACTGTGCATCCAACAGAGGTCTAATATCCAGATCTATAAGGAACTTAAGCACATTTACGAGAAAAAAACAATCTCATTATAAACTGGGCAGAGGACAAGAACAGACACTTTTCAAAAGAAGACATATATGTGGCCAACAAGCATATGAAATAATGCTCAACATCACTAATCAATAGAGAAATGCAAATCCAAACCACAGTGAGATACCATCTCACAGCAGTCAGAATGGCTATATTAAAAAGTAAAAAATAACAGATGCTGGCAAGGTTGTGAAGAAAATGGAAGCTTATATACTGCTGGTGGGAGTGTAAATTAGTTCAGGCATTGCAGAAAGCAGTGTGGCAATTCCTCAAAGAACAGAATTACTATTCAACCCAGCAATCCTATTACTGGGCATATACTCAAAGAACTATAAATTGTTCTACCATAAAGACAGATACATGTGTATGTTTATTGCAGTACTATTCACAACAGCAAAGACATGGAATCAACCTAAATGTCCATCAGGCATAGACTGGATCAAGAAAATGTGGTACATATACACCATGGAATACTATGCAGACATAAAAAAGAATGAGATCACGTCCTTTGCAGCAACATAGATAGAGCTAGAGGCCATTATCCTAAGCAAACTGATGCAGGAACAGAAAAACAAATACCACATGTTGTCACTTAATGGTGGAAGCTAAACAATGAGAACACATGGATACTAGGAGAGAAACAACAGACACTGGGCCTACTTTAGGGTGGAGTGTGGAAGGAGGAAGATGATCAGGAAGAATGCCTATTGGGTACTATGCTTATTACCTGGGTGATAAAATTATCTCTACGCTAAACCCCCATGATATGCAGTTTACGTATATAAACCTGCACATGTACCCCTGAACCTAAAATAAAAGTTAAAACAAAGAAAGTTGATTTTTTGTAAAAGATTAACAACACTAACAAATCTTTATCTAGAATGACCAAGTGCAAAAGGGAGAAGACTTGAATTACTAAAATCAAGAATGATACAGAGGATATCACTACCAACTTCACAGAACTAAAAAGGATAGTATGAACAATTGTACACAACCGAATTAAATAACCTAGATGAAATGGATAAATTCCTAGAAAGATACACACTACTGAAACTAACTCAAGAAATAGAAAATATCAATAGACCTAAAACCAGTAAACAGATTGAATTTGTTTTAAACAAAATGCCCACAATAAAAGCTCAGACTCACATGGCTTTACTAGTGAATTCTAACAAATGTGTAAAAGAAGAATTAATACCAAACCTTCACGAACTCTTTCAAAACACAAATAGAAGAGGAGGGAACACCAATCAACTCATTCTGTGGAGCTGGCATTACTCTGATACAAAAGTTATCTCAAAATCAAGGAGATATCTAAATGCAAGAGCTAAAACTCTAAAACTCTTAGAACAAAACATAGGTGTAAATCATTATGATCATGGATTGGACAATGGTTCCTTAAATATAACACCAAAACAAAAGCTACAAAAGAAAAAAATAGATAGATTTCATCAAAATAAATTTTTGTGCTTCAAAGAACACCATAAAGAAAGTGAAAAGGCAACTCGTAGAATGGGAGAAAATATTTGCAAATCATATATCTGATAAGGATGTAGTGCCCAGAATATATAAAGAACGTTTGCAATTCAACAATAAAAAGACAACACGATTAAACAATGAAAAAAGGATTTGAACTGAAATTTCTCCAAAGACAAACAAGTGGCCAGTAAGCACATGAAATGATGCTTGACATCAATTAGTCATTAGGAAAATACCGAATCAAAATCATGAATAGATACCACTTTATACCCTGTAGGATGGCTATAATAATTATTATAATAAAAAGACAATAAGGAGGTTGACAGGGACATGGAAAAATCAAATCACTTGTACATTGTTTTGGGGAATGTAAAATGGTCGTTCTTCAAAAAGTTAAATTTAGAGTGACTTTACAATCCAGACATTCCACTCTTAGGTCAAAGAAAAATAAAAACATAATGTCCACACCAAAACTAAAAATGAAACACACAAAACTGAAAACCACTGGGCCATACACATTTAAAGGCTGGATTTTACAGTATGTAAATAAGTCAGTAAAGCTGTCCAAAATGTAAAAGAGTGAGGCACCCACGGTGCAGAATTTAAGGAGGCATTTATTCTCATGCAAGCACCTCCTTAAATTTTGTGCCATAGTTGTTCCATGTGCTTCACCCTAGTCCGGGACCTGCCACCAAACTTCCCTTCTAAGCTTCTCACAGGAAGAGAGGCCTACTGAAATCCCGGAGAAGCTGTGCCACAAAGGCCTATGTGAAAGCTGACCCAAGCGATACAAGGCTGGGGGACTATACTAGACATCGTTATGTGCCCTTCAGCTTTCCTTTGAGGAGTGACTTGATCCGCTAAGCGTGGTGAGTACTGCGAGCAGAATAGCCTTGATCTGTCAGTCTCTTCAGGGTTGCCTGAGCTGCACAAAGACACCTTGGTCAAGGTAGTGCCGTTTCTGAGTCAGTCTACCTGCAGCAATTGATAGAAGAAATAATCTAAAGGCTCAGCCATTTCATCCCAATGTGAGAAAACTCTCATGTGTCACTTTTAGCTGCACAGCGCCCTGTAGTGTAGGCTGAGGCTGTTGCCAGGCCACCAGCATAGCTCAATTTCTTCCTCTACCCAGTCATGTGTGCTTCCCTCCTTTAAACTGGTGCTATTAGGACTTTGACCTAAGAGTGGAATGTCTGGATCATAAAGTCACTTTAAGTTTAGCTTTTGGAAGAACTGCCAAGGGCACTTCCTAATAAACATTCTGTACACTGAACTCAGTCTCAAAGTTTGCTTTCCTGAGAACCTAATCTACCACAGGGTCTAGGGAAATTATAAGCAAACAAACACATGAACAAAAAAAACACACAAAACCGATTAGAAGTAACCACGACCTTCTTCAGGGATGTGCTACTCACTTACCAGATCCCAGAATGAAAAGATAATCCCACCTCAGCTTTTAGAAAAATCATTCATATGAATGGCCTAAATTCCTTTTCAGAATGAAATGGGATGCGGGGAGGGAGGCAATGAATAAGTAAATGATTATAAACACTGAGTGCAGCCACAGATGCTGGCAGCGGTGGTAGGGCATAGTGGGAGCAATGTGGTACAGGCTGGCTAAGAAAGGGATCCATCACATTTTTTCCCTCAAGGAGTTTACAGTCTTTTGGTAGATGTGGAAGATAACCTATATAACCATTTATCTTTGGGGCAGGGAAAATGGCTAGTCTGAAACTCTTTTTCTTTGAGTTTTTAGCTATCTTGTCCTGTTTCTTTTCTCCTTTACAATAGAGCCCCTGGTTCTTGCTGCACATATTCTTGCCCTGAAAGTCAAGGCAGCCTCCCAGAATATCTGTAGGACAGGCCACTGTATCACGGACTTAGATGCAGGCTCAGTGGGAAATCTTGTGAAGAGAAGCTGTTTTTGATGAGCAGGTCATGGACCTCAGGGCATCAGTCAAGATCCTGGTCAACATATAATGTGGTTTGACAAAGAATTTCCAACATGTCTTATTCCATGAACATTGCTTATAGAATAACTCACTAAATATGGAATCACAGAACCTAGACTGTATTTCCATCTTACCCTGGTCAGCCATAGGTGTACATGGCATTGTTATTTGGTGGGTCTAGAGAGGTCCTTTTGCCTATGATCTATCTTCATGATTAGTAATGCTTTTCTTTTAGGTTGAAGGTTTTTCTTATCCATCCAAGCACAATCTTTTGAAAAATAAAATGGAGGCCGGGCACGGTGGCTCACGCCTGTAATCCCAGCACTTTGGGAGGCCGAGGCGGGCGGATCACGAGGTCAGGAGATCGAGACCATCCAGGCTAACACAGTGAAACCCCGTCTCTACTAAAAAACACAAAAAAATTAGCCGGGCATGGTGGCGGGCGCCTGTAGTCCCAGCTACGCGGGAGGCTGAGGCAGGAGAATGGCGTGAACCCGGGAGGCGGAGCTTGCAGTGAGCCGAGATCGCGCCACTGCACTCCAGCCTGGGCGACAGAGCGAGACTCCGTCTCAAAAAAAAAAAAAAAAAAAAGAAAAATAAAATGGAAAAAATAAAAAGGTATCTGAAGTATTAATACTTATTTTTATGATCCTGGCAAAGTTGCAAAACATCTGTGAGCTGGAGTTTTCTTGGGTATAAAATGAAATGAGAATACCTATGTGGCCCACCTATGGTGATTGTTAGAAAGATTAAAGTAATGAAGGTGAGAGTTTAAAGCTACTATATAATTGTAAGGGATTACTCTTTTCAGCTGTCTTTACTTCATTATAAATATATCTGCTAATTTTATCTCTTTCTTTCAGGACAGGAGTTTTAAAGGGAAAAAAGGGAGGGATGATTTGGGAGAAGTTACATGATTTACTTGTCAAAGGCAGATCTGGCCATGTGTCTAACTGGGAGATACTGGGATAAACCAACAGACAGGGAAGGTAGAAAATCGCTGGTGACAATAAATTAATCACCTTGTAGCATTCCAAGAGAAAGCTCTGGGCCACATGGTGTCCAAAAAGTGCCAAATGCAGGTAACTTCACTCATTCATTCATCTATCCATCCATTCATTCAAAAAACATTTAACCAGCTTTCGCTTCATGCTCAACACTGGGAGGGTTGAATAAAACAGTCTCACAAAGTGGTAGCAGAGACAGCCTAATAGATCACCCATTTCAGCATAATGTGGCAAAGCTGTGATTGAGGTAGCAAGACTACTAGAGGAGCACAGAGGAGGAGCATCTATATTGGATTAGGAAGCTCGAGAAAGGTTTCTTGGAAGAGGTGATGCTTGAGCTGAATTTAGAAGGATGAGTAAGTCTTAGATGATGTGGGGGTGGAGAGAGCATTTTCCTGGAAGAGGGAACAATATGTGCAAAGACTTGGAAGCCTAAAGTGCCTGTCATATTTTAAGGAACAAGTAGTTTCAAATGACTGCTTTGAAGGTGTGTGATGGGTGGTGGGGGTAGGCAGGAGGAGAGGTGTGTGCAGAGGTGGGGATAACAGAGCAATAAGGGATGGTATAGCCAAAACTTCTGAACTTGATCCTGAAAGCTTTGTGAAATCTGAAAACAGGGTCACAGTGACACGGCCAGAATGACATTTTAGAAAGAGGGCAGAATTGATAGGAGGAGTTCGCCTGGAGGCAGGAAGCTCAGTCAGAGCCCAAGCAATAGCAGTAAGGGCATGAACTAAGGCATCCTGGCCAGCAGGATGGGAAGCAGTGGGAGAGCTAATAGAACCTGCAGAAGTTGAAAATACGAAGCTCTGTGACTGAGTATAATAAGTGTGACAAGTCAGAATGACTCCCAGAAACGAAAATGTATGGATAATTTGGGTTTAGTAACTTGCTACTTTTACTTAACTGTTTCTTTACCTCACTGGGAGGGTAGGTATCTGCTACTGGTCCAGCTACTTTCAGCTTCTGGGAGGGGAAACCTGGCATCATCTGCAGCTCCATTCAGGTAAATAGAGAACCAATCCCAACCCCAGTCATGCTCAGGCCATTATTTGCTTTAAGAAATTGAGCTCATTTAAATCAGACTTTCACAGCATGGAGGTCTCCAATTTCTCAGTCTTTGCAAGGCCTGGATTCCTTGGCATACCTTCCTCCCCCTAGCCTCCCAGAGCAGTCAATGGTGACCGAAAGCAGCCTTCTCCACAGGGTCATCCTCTCCAGCTTATATTCCCTCTCCTAGCCACACATGCCATCCTCTGTCGGAAGTGACAGATGATATTTTGGTCTTGGGATTTCCTCTTTGGAGTCTGTCTGTCACTTCTGCAGTCTGTGATGAATGCATTCTTAAGAGCTTAAAGGCTGTTTGACTAGAGCTGAGGCATCTATTTTAGGTTGAGAATTGCTGACATCCAGGAGCATTTTTTTTTTAAATAGAAAGAATGAGTATTAGAAAGAGATGCCCTGTTCTCCTTTGTGTAGCAATATTTCTGTGCTACCTAGTGATCAGGGGTGGCATGGTATACTTTAGAATCCATCAATTATGGCCCAGGGTTGATTACAAACATGGCCACAATTTCTTCCTCTCCCAGTATACATGTCCTTGCGATGTGACCTTGTAGTTTCTCCCATCAAGAGGGGAAGATTCTCTTTTTCTCAGGGCATTGCAAGAATGGGAGTTTTCAGAGGGAAGAAGGAAGGGATGATTTGGGAAAAGTAATGTGATTTACTTGGTATATCACTCAGGGAAGGCAGGTCTGGATATATGTTTAACTAAGGGGCAGACTGTACTGGATCAACTTCAAAGATGAGGAGAGTTGGGAAGTTGCTGGGAAAAATAAATTGTTTTGCAACTCTCTAGAAGACAGTCCTGTGCCACAAAATGTTCAAAAAGAACCAAGTGCAAATAACTTCATTTATTTATTCATTAACTCATTCAAAAACATTTAGCTAGATTTTAATTTGTGTCTCTTGGGCATTATAAGAGTTGAGGCAGGTTAATAGATCACCATTTTGAGTATAATGTGGCAACCCTAGCTGAGATTAACTGAACCCACCCCAGCCCAAGCCAGAAGAACTACCTATCAGAATAATGCATTAAATAAATAGTTATGTTTTTAAGCCTCTAAGTTTTGAGTGGTTGGTTGTATAGCAAAAGATAACTGCTGCCTAATCTAAGTCTAGATTATTTTGGTCTTTATTTACCTGGAAAGATCCTTAGGGCTCCCCTGAAGTGGGTTATACCAAATTTTAAGGTAAAAATGTTTCATGCAATAGAGTGGCAGAAGATTTCATGAAAGCAAAGAAAAATGCTTGGTTTATCACTGTTTGGAATATAGAACACAACCAGGATTAGTTAATTTTGTAAGGGTATACAAGGAAGGCGAGACCCCAATAACCTTTAGAATTTACAAGCTTATGAATATAATTAAAGATATTTCTTTAATTTTTTATTGCCTTAAGTAACAATTGATTTGGTGATTTTTCTGTTTCCTTTTTATTAAAAATTTTTAGCTCATAAAAACCTTACACTTAGCTTATTTATCATAGAAAAAAATTACCTTTCAGTTTCTCTTGGGTAATCTGCAAATTCTACACATTTTACCAAAATGAACCATGTTGTGCCCGGGACAATGTGAAACTTTCAAAGGTCCTTTTTGATAATAAAATATAAAATATGAGCATAAAACATCAACTATTATGATAAATCCACTATGGACCTAGGACTCTGCTTAAGGCTCAACATTCATTATCTCATTCAATTATTTCATCTACTCCCATGAGGTAAAAACTACCCTCATTAGTGATTTTCCTTATGAAGTAACTGAGGCTTAGAGACCCCCCACTAATGCGCAAGTCAGCAAAAGGCACCCGTGGCATCCGAGGGTGCTAGCCTTTGGATGCCTTCCTCCTAGCCATCACTTTGTAGTGCTGTGTTTGGCTGGGACTGAATCCACACTCTGCCATTGCTCTCCATTATTGCTTCTGGGCCAGCCATTCAAATTTTCTGCATTTCTGTTCCTTCTTCTATATCAAGAAGGTAACAATATACAGAAGCAGAAACGGTGGGCTGAAAATGCCATTTTATATTAATGTATTAATAGATATGAAAGCTCTTTGAGAAAGTAGAACACGACCTTATCCACAGCAGGAAGTTTGTTTTTGTTTCTACAAAGATTGTCAAAGCAGGAAGTTTGACGGCAGATCCTGGCAGGTCTCCGCATTCCTCTGTCTCTTCTGCCTCTCTCTACACTAAATTTGAAGGATATTCTATAAAGATGCATGTTTTAAACAATTCCTAGTCCTGGCCCACTAGACTGAGCCCGAAACACCTTCAACCCTAACAGAAAACAAACCTTTACCTAGAAGCTCAGGAACACTGAGTGATCTGTCATTGCCCTTTGAGAGAGGCAGAAGCTGGTAGCAACGAGGATGTTTTATGAGTGACAGGGAAGGCAAAATGTCTGTGAAGATAAATGGTATTTATTAGATGAGAACGTTTAGGAAATTCCCAAATATGGGCAGTGTATACAGCAGGAGGTAGTCACTGCCTTTGTGCTTCCTGAAGAATGCAAACCTGCTTCAGGATCACATTAGATAGGATGGTGTTTAGAGGAAATGATTTTTTTTCTTTTTTCTTTTTTTGGCTGTTGTTGTCTGGAAATGGGATTTGTTCCTTGTATGGTCCCAAGTAGTCCCAACCACACAGACACACAGACATGCAGACATACATAGAGATACAGGTACATAGGCACACACAAGTGCACACACAGACCCATGCCCAGATCACAAAAGATGCACTTAAGTAGTATTCTTCTATTTTAAAAAATATTTAACAAATGTTACAGAAGGAAAATAAATAGATAATATAAGGCAAAATGAATTCTTAATTCCTTAACAAGGAAGAAGGGAAAATGTATAAAATGTTGACATCAGGCCCAAGGCCAGTGATGAGGGTTGCCCCGCTGGTCCCATAAATCCCATGTAACAAGACAGAGATTACCGGTCCTACAGCATTTCATTCTCACATGGTGTCATTTCCATAAACACAGTATATAAAGAACACAATGATGAGTGCTAACTCAGGTCATTGGGGAAGAGTCAAATGTTAATAAAGAAGGTTTGGCTATCAAATTGAAGTTTTAAAACTTGTCTCAAAAGTATGTTACAAAACTGCTATAAATAAATAAATACACATATATGTATGTGTTTATAAATATATATATGAATAATTACTTTTCTTCCAGTATTTCTCCATCAGCAGGAATCTAGGCTGCTGAGTAAGGAGGGACATGATCCTTGCATTCACAGAGGCACTAACTGTTCTTTTGTGTGTCCTAAATGATGTCACTGACATGCCTTTTACCCAGCCACACCCAGGTGCTGCTGGTGTACAGTTCCGGCTTACTGGACAATTTTAGTTCAGGTCACCAAAGCCACCTTCTGGCAAATGAGTCTTTGTAATTGAGAGAATTTCCATCAGTATTCTATGCCCATAAATAAGAGGAAACCCTCTACTCTAAAGGGAAGTAAAGCTCATTTTCTAAGTCTGTTACCTGTGGGTGTTTTAACCCCTTGCCACCTCAGACAACTCCTAATATTCCAATCTCACTATCTCCTTGTGGCTATTTAAATTTGAACCCGCTCCTGGTTCTCTCTGAACTAGAAATACTGAAGCCGTGGTGACAACTTTATTAAACTCCTTCTCCTTCACCTGCAGAGGGCTGTCTGCTGAGCCCCATGGGCAGCTGCAGAATCATGAACATCATGCCAAGAACAGATTTCTTAAGAAACTTTTTCCTGTGGGAAGAAAGATCCCTCTTCCCTCCTTCCAA
Source organism: Homo sapiens (assembly GCF_000001405.40). Taxonomy (NCBI): domain Eukaryota; kingdom Metazoa; phylum Chordata; class Mammalia; order Primates; family Hominidae; genus Homo; species Homo sapiens. Next base: position 177,444,726 of record NC_000001.11, on the reverse strand, counting down.
AACCAAACAAAAAGCAAAACGGACTCTGCTTGCCTGCTTAACCTTCCCACCCATCTACCTAATCTGTTCTTTTACCATAAGTTCTGTGACAAGAACAGGCACCTGACTGTTAGCTGGCTCAGGGTGAGCTCTCATATTCCATAAGGGTCCCTTAAAATCAGTTGTAGCCGAGATTATAACCAAACTTGGATATTCAGGAGGTTTGGCAACAGACCTAAATCCCTCATGTAAACTTGCATTCCTCCTGCCCAATCCCATTCCCCAAACCTGCCATCACACACATAAAACACCTGCATATCACATGGAGACACCTAGGCACCCTAGGTCTCAATAAGAGTTCAAGACAGCTGAGGTTGCACATATTTACTAATTGATTCACTCATTAATTCAACAGAAATGTATCTCTGGCACTGTGTAAGGTGCTATGAAGCTTCAAAGATAAAAATGGTAATGTCTCTGCCCCCAGTGAGCTTTAAACTTTGACTGTGACTTGGGATTAGATTACACCTAAATTTTCCATGATGATATTTTCAGGGGCTCATTAAAAGGGGGGCACAGATGACTGATTTAAAGGAGGACAGATAAAATTGAAGGATTGGAAAATGAGGACTATTAGGAAAAGCTAGAAGAAGCACTATTATTTAGCACAGAAGGAAAAAGCTGAAGTGATAACTTAATGAGAGTATTTAAGTGTATAGAGGATGGACTCCATTATGGTTCTATCATCCATGAATTTATCTAAAACCCTTTTTGAACCAAATTATCTTTTTTAAGTTTGCGCTAGCTCTTGGAGTAATGAGTTCCTTATGTGGACTGCCTGCTGTGTGAAATAACACATCCTTTTGTGTTTTCTGAAATTTCTTCCTCTAAGCTTATAGGAACTCCCAGTAATTCTGAGTTTCCAGGATTTAGTGAGTAAGTCCCTCTGTCGTGTGCCCTCTACCTGTACACTGCTTGACTTAGCAGGCTTCTTTTATATCCTTCCTCGAGCCTCTGTTTTTCTGAAGATTCTTTGTTTTTCCTTATAGAGAAGACCATCAAAATTTGTTATCAGATTGGCTACACATTTTCCTGAGATTTCTCTATGTCTGGTGTGTCTTTTAGGGGGTGTGCTAAAACCAACACATCTGTCATTCAATACACTGTATTTAAATGATTTCAAAACACATTATTCCCCTCCCACATATTTTAACATCTCTAAAATGAAGATATGTCTTATAATCAAGTTAAGAAAGCAATGTATCAAAATTTAATTGGCAACATGTTTTCTCTCTTAGTGGTAAGGAAAGATAAAGGTGTGTCTTCACCTTCACTTTCAATCTCACAAAATACAGTATTGGTCTATTGTTGGTGTTCTTTAAGGAGCAGGAGGTGCTAAGGCATAATGGTAATACTTAGCGATGCCTCAGGATTTTGCTAATGTGTGCATTTGTTCAATGTTAATCAGGTGCTTTTTTTTCCCCACCAACATCTTTGTTGTCTAAGAGACTGAGGCAGTGTCTCTGTTATTTATAACTCTTAGTACAACACCAAATACCCGTCAGTGCTTAAATGATGCCAACCAACAAGACTGGCGAGGAAACACTTGTAACCTGGCTTCAATTCTTAACTTGCTTCCCAGGCAAAACCTTCAGGATTGTTTTCTGTATTGGTTCTGTCTAGAAGTTTAGTAAAAGAATATCTACCCCACATCCTACCAACCAGATTAGAGGATAAAAGCCAAGACAATGTGGGGATGGTACTCTGAACTCCTGGGGAAAAATTGTAGAAAGTAGCACAATATCATTATTATTGTCATGTTCACCATGTCCCCTGAAATCTAACCCATTCTGGAGAATGAATTTTCAACTAAAGTACAGTTCTGCAATCGGAGCTTAATTGGAGGCAGAGACTGTTCAGCAAGCTTCTCGGCATGATTCTCCTTTCTATGGCAGATTGTATTTCACTTTGCATAATGAGGCAATCTATCTATTTACTGATAATTTCCTTATGTAACTTGAGCGCCGAAAGGAAGTCACCACCAAGACCTCAAACTACGGACTAATAAACATGTTTCCAACTCCTGATGTGCAGAGCACTTAAGATACCTCTCTCGCTTGCAGACTGAATTTTGTACACAATATATGTCAGAGGTCATAGTTTGCCAGGAGGCAAAGTTTTCATTCTTGGCATTTTATTTAGGAAGCCAGAAGGAAAAGAATGAGGTAAAATCTCCATGGCTGGCATCTTGATGGTATGAGAAAGGATGTGAAATTCCTAGAGCTTCTCTAATAATCGCACAGCTAACATTTGTATAGTACTTTATAATTTCATATTTATTTGCTCCTCATTAGCACCATGATAGATATAGATAGAACAGGTATTATACCACTTTGTATATAAAAAAAATAATTGGGGCAGATGGCTTGCCCAAAATCACACAGTTAATAATTGAGAGAGCCAAGAATTGAATCCAAGTGTTTTTGATCCACAGCCCTAGGAAAATGATGCCCTTTTCTCTATTGTTTCTGTCTAAAAGTTTAGTAAAATAATATCTACCCCACATCCTCCCAACCAGGTTTGGAGATAAAAGTTGACAATATTCCAGGCCTTACCCCCAGCCTTGTGACAGCCAGGACTAGTGTCCACCTGCATTAGGTCCCTGATGGTTCAGACAAGGGTGCCAACGATGTTGCACCAGTTTCCTTAGATCATTTCCTTAACCATCCAATTTGTTTCAGCAGCATAGGCCTGGTGCACTTCACCCACTCTAATGGTAAAATTGACCTTCCAGAAACGTTGCCTTTCTCCCATTATTGTTATAACACCTCCTTTCTTGTTTCCTGCATCGAATTTATCCTATTATATACCTTTTGTTTATTTATGTCTATTTACTGTCCATCTACCCAGTAGAATATAAGATGCATATGGGCATATATTGTTATATACTCAGGGCTTAGCATGGTCCCTGACACAGAGTAGTCATCCAACAAATATTTGTTAAATGAGTGAGTGAATAAAAGGTGCCTGAAATGGCCAAATTTCCCAATCAACACCAAATTTAACAGCATGGACTTTTAAAAGTGACCCAGTTTACTATGTATTTCATTTCTTAGAGCAACCCTGTGTTCAAAGTAGTCATGGTGTTTGATAGTGTCAACCCAGAGTCTTGAATTGTACTGCCAGGAATAGCATATCATCTGCATTTAATTATACATTTACTGTATTATAAACTGTGGTTATCTTATTACAACTGGAGGCAAATTAAAAGGAATGCCAAATAGCACACTAGGGACCACTGTGGTGATATAGTCTAGACTTCAGAATAGCAGTGGCTGTATTTATGGTCTTCCTGGGTTCAACTACTTTCATAATTCTTCATACTAACTCAATGAACGCTCTAATTTTTCCAAACTTATGTAAGCAACCTTGGTTACCTGGTAAGAAAAAAAAAAACTCTATATTCAATGTAGCATATATCTTGTACATTCAGCAAATCTCTCCTTTGCCCATAAACTGTCTCTTGTAAAGCTCAGCAAAGTTTCAGGAAAAATCTCTAATTTCTCTCAATAGCATTGAGTTCCTCTGTGCAGATATTGTGTAGTGCTGGTCGATGTGCTTGTTAAATTGACCCAGTGCTTATGTTTTAGTTAGAACTGATGACACTGACATAAGTCAATATTACTTATCACTGTCCTTGATCTGCTCCTCGGGATAGGAACTGCATGCATTTGCTTCCAACAGGTTGGACGGACATCAGCAGTAAATAATAAATTATAAATATAGGTCACCTGCTGATCCACAGCGGCCACTGACAACTATAAGCTTGCTTCCAGGACATCTGAACCAATAATACCTCCTCCACACATCCTTCCAAACTGCTTCCTTTTTGAAATATATTATTAGGTTAGTGCAAAAGTAATTGTGGTTTTTGCCATAACTTTTAAATGGTGAGAACTGCAATTATAGAATCTCAGTTATCTCAGAGTAGAGAAACACAAAATCTAGACTTAACCAGGTCTGCCACCCAGGAATATAATCCTTACTTGCTGAGACACTTTGGGATATATAGACATGTTTTTGCTAAAAATAAAATGTCTTTGGGCTCTCAAATTGTATGAAAATGTATTAATTTATGAATCAACAAAATGAAAAAATATGCTTGTCTTAAAACCATAGTGTAGTATTTTGAGGAAGTGAAGTCCAACCTCATCTATGTAGTTTAAGAATCCAATATCTTCCCATTAGAGATGAAAAAAAATGGAGACCCAGAGAAGTAAAAGACTTGTCTGAAGTCACATGGTTACTTAGACACAGAAATGCTGTCTTTTCAATGTTCAAATCAATATGATTTGTGGATGCTAGAAAAGAGGATATGGCTGGGTTTGTAGGCTTACACATCAGGAGTAATGTTTCTAAAGTTTCTGAGTAGCTATTCTCAGTTTTTGTGAGGCTGTGGTTCACTTAACTACAACCCTGAAGCTGCCTGGAATTAAGACGGTCTTTGGGAACCCTTGAGGTCTTCATTGTCATCTTAGAATGTAGTTATCTTAGTACATTGCCTTGGGTTGGTGGTAGAGGGAGTAGTGGTGGCTGAGGGGAGGGAAAAGGCAAAAGGAAAATGACAAAAGTGCGAGTCCTCTCCATGGACCAGGGAGAATAAACCTTTAGTGGCAGAGGATACCTGTGCTTTGTCCCAGCTTTGCCAGGCATGAAGAAGAAGCCCTTTGTTATAGACCCTGTTTTGCCTGACCCAGGAATAGGAATGGGTTAAAAGGAATTAATTGCCTGTTACATTCTAGGATAGCCTTCTATTTCAGGTTAATTGCAGAGGTTTCATCTGCTGGTCAGTGCTCTTCATTTCAAAAAGCAGTTACTGTGGATGGGGGTAAAAATTTTTTTTGGACACATCTCAGCATAATTTGGTTAAGCCTTGAGATCACTTTTGAGAATTCAGTGAAAAACACTGTTTATCATATGATTAGCCAATTACAGTAAGATATTTAAAAGTTGTAGTATTCATTGTTTCACATGACAGGCCACCAGAAAAATTAAATTTCATTCTCCTATTTAAGATTTACTCTCATTCTTAGCTTCAAGGGCAGGGTACAGCTAAGGTTTGTGTGGTGGTAGGTCTATGAAGAAATTGAAGGGTGATGCTTCTGCACTTTGATTGGTTCATGTACACCTGGCTCTGGTCTTATTTCCTCAGAAGATTATGCCTCCTGTGCATTATGCTTCTAGAATGTTAGCTATTCTGTCTGATTCACATCCTAAACCACTTTACAGTGTCATGTGCCACTGAGCTGACTGTGTCATTGACTCTCTGAGGTCTCTTTAAATATGAGCATCTAGTGACTTTGGGCAGAATTATCATCAGTGAGGTGATAGAACTTGCCTGTAATCAATGACTGCAAATCTTCCTTAAAAAACAAAACAAAACAAAGCAAAACCCAACTAGTTCACCACCTGAAATGTAGTAACATTCCAAATTGTGATTATTCTGAGAAGACAAAAAGCATAGCCATGTCACCAATTAGTCTGTGTATATGAAAGGGCCAGAATGTACACAGTCCAAACTGACTGAGAATTTTCCACGGCTACTTTGCTGGAGATGAATGTCTAGGATGTGATGAATTGCTCTGGGAATATCCTTCTCCCTGGTGGTAGGGACTTTTGGTAGCCAAGAGCTATCCTAGTAGACTTCTAATAGAGGTGGATTTTGAAGAGAAAGAGTAGCAAAGTGGGTAAGAGCTCGGGCACTGAAACAAGACTGCCTGGATATGAAAGGTGGGGCCATCGCCTATTAGATATATGACTTTGGACATGTTGTTTGTGAACAAATTTCTCACCCATTGTCCATAAAATTGGAACAGTAATACCACTAACCTTATAGAGATGTTGAAATAATTACGTATATTAATACATATTAAGGATTAGAATAATGCCTGGCACATAATAAGTGCTCAGAAATGTTAAACTTACTATTAATGATAATTTGATTAAACTCCCTATCTACTAGTAATGTTGAAGAGGGACCAAACCATAAAAATTTATCAATTTCTTGGCCTTCATGAAAACTGCTACATAGTGCAATGGAAAAGTCATTGATTTAGGAATTACCTCTAGCTGTGCTACTTTGGGATCATTATCTTACCTCTCTAAGATCCAGTTTCTTATCTGTAAAATGAAGTAGTAATATCCACCTGATGGAGTTATTATGAGGATTCAATAACACCATACATAAGAAACATTGTGGCTGATACAGAGTAATGGTAATATATGTCACTCCTCTTCCCCTTCCCAGCCAAACTGAGTCAGCTGGGAGCTAATGTCATGTTTTTTAATCAGATTTTTTCAGAACAAGAAGGGAAATAAAAATTATGAATCCAATAAGTGTTAATTGAGAACCTAAGTGTGCCAGGCCCCATGCTAGGCACTTGGGATACCTCAGAGAATGGACCCTGCTCTCCCAGAGCATGCATTGTGCTGAAAAGATCAGCCTTGGTGGACAAGACATCCTCATTTTGGTATTCAAGAAGGTACAGGCTGGGCATAGTGGCTCATGCCTGTAATCCCAGCACTTTGGGAGGCTGATGTGAGCAGATGACCTGAGATCAGGAGTTCGAGACCAACATGGCGAAACCCCATCTCTACTAAAAGTACAAAAATTAGCCCAGCTGGTGGCAGGCACCTGTAATCTCAGCTACTTGGAAGGCTGAGGCAGAGAGAATTGTTTGAACCCAGTAGGTAGAGGTTGCAGTGAGCAGAGATTGGGCCACTGCACTCCAGCCTGGGTGACTGAGCAAGATACTGTCAAAATAAAAAAAAAAAAAAAAAAAAAAAAAAAAAAAAAAAACAGGTATAGAAGGAAACACTGGTAACTATTATTATTTTATGAAAGAGAGGATCCAAGGAAATTTTTGTTTGAGAAGGAAGTTGCCTTTGGATTCTTTTCTCTCCTTGAGTTGTTCTGCCAAGCCCTGTCACACCATGGCACCTGAGTTGGTGCTTCACTCACGGAGAAAATAGAAGTCTAAGGAAACTGCATGTCACTGGTTAGGTTAATTTCACTGTCCCATCTGTCTTCATGGCTCAAGATCTTCACATGCAGTTCCATAGTCCTTTGGAACTCGAGACCATATAAGCCACTATAAGCTTACTGGTGATTTAGCAGAAATTTGAAAAGGCGGCTACATGCAGATGTGCTTTGTGGAGCTCAAAATAATGAAGTGCTTCATTGGGAGCTTGCAGTTTTACCTCATCCAAGCTACCTAAAACAAAATGAAGACTTTACAAGAAGAAAAACTGTAGTCTGTGGAAGGGAGATGTGTGGTACAGTGGAAGAAGTATGAGCTTGGAATTGGATGGACCTAGAATCAAGAGAGAAAAGTAGTTATTTCTGGAGTCAGAAATACCTTGATTTCATCATCTTACTAGCTACACGTTTGAGGAAGTTACTCAACCATTCTATGCCTCAGTTTTTCAATCTGCAACATATGGGTAATAACATTAACAACTTTGTATAATTGAATATAATTAAAATTCTCCAGAAAATGTTCTGGGGGAAAGGAAGAAGGTGCTATCCCAGGATCATGCTGTGTATGACAAGTGGAGAGATTACTATAGGTAGGGGGATGGCAAGAAAAAACACATCCCATATTCTTTGCTTTGTGCTGGGGAAAGAGAAGATACAGGAAAAAAGAAAACATTAATTGAATATCTGAGTGCTAGATACTTTCCACACATTATTTAATGAAGTCTTCAGAAAAACCCTTAAGAAATGGTAGCTTACATGACCTACAGTTTGCAGATGAGAAAACAAATGGAAACTTCAAAAATTTATTGCCAATAAATGGCAGAGCTAAAAGTCAAGCTAGCTTATTCCCAAAACCTATCCTCCACCCACTCTTCAAAAGATGAACAAGACCTTTTTTCAAAGATGAACAAAATCTTTCTTTCAAGGAGCTCACAGTCTCACATAGTAGAAGAACACTATGATTATGTGGGATGGCATGACTTTCATAATTACAGACTCTTCTGTGCAAATGGAGCTTTCTTTACTTCCTTATATCTGAATTTACCTTAATTCCTAAATCTCAAATTCCACCAATGGGAAAAATTTTAATATTACCTCTTTAAGGTTAACACAGTCACTTCTACCATTTTACCCCTAATTTTTTTTTTTTTTTTTGGATATTCAGTCAGCTTAGGATTTTTTCCTCTGGTTCCTTAACCTAAAAGTGGTCTAAGTTCCAGGCACTCAAAAAGTATTCTGGCATTTAGTCTGTGGCAGTTCTGTGATCTTGCTCACCTCTGCAGAGGGGAAATCCATACATCTCCACCCCTACTGCTCCTATCCTGATTTTCACAGTCCCATCATGGTCCAAGCCCTATCCCACCATCATGAGACATCTCCTTCATGACACTCAAGTGAATGCCCTTTTCTCATTAGGCTCTCCACCACACTGCAGTCCTTCAGGACAATATTGGATTCACCACATAAGACGGTTGATGATTGAAAAACCTGAAAAACAGAGCTCTCCATATGCCTACTTCAAAGAATCATTTTACTGTCCTAGCACACTTAATGAATAGCATTCAAGTTCTCTCTTACATCTTGTTCTCCCCACAGAACCTTCAAGTCAAGGACTTTGAGTGTTCAGCACATAGCTCAGTTCCTGGTAGATGGTGAGCACTCAATAAATGTCTACTTTAAAACAATGTAATAAGAAATTCATGAACACAGAAAAAAATACTTAAAAACCAAAGACAGGTCTTCTTGAAGACCACCAAATGATATCCAGAGTTCTTCCTTGAGGATCTTGTTTGTATTTAGCCCAACCAAATGAGAAAATATAGGCGCTAAGTTAAGGAAGAAAGGTAGAAAGTCATATGGAGATTAATTGGGACAAGAAACAAGGAAACAAATACTGAGCACTATGCTTGAAATGCGTTAACTCCTCTGAGATAACTCTGTGAGGAAAGTCTTGCCAGTGTTGATCAAGTTATAATTAAACAAATGTGGCAGAAAACTTTTTATTCTCTTTTAGTTCAGACAAAATGGTTTTGGACTTCTTTTTAAATGTCTTTTACTAAAACTCAAGGGAAAACATAACGACAAACTATTTCACTTACATAAGGATATAAATTTTCCAGAAAGTAGGTGTTGAATCCAAATCTGGATGAGAACTAGCTACAAGCTGGCTTTGATGTGAATAGTTCCAAGCAACAGCACTTTGAAGAAAATTCACTAAATCCTGGAGCCCAAAGTGTTAACTCTGGCTTTTCTTTTTCCCCCTGGTGAATTGTGACTTTGGTAAGAAAGGATGTCAGACAGTTAGTATGAGCAACTCAGTTAGTATGAGTAACTATGCTTCAGCAGTAATCAAAGACCAGGTAGAAATTCTAGGAGAAATTTTAAAACAGGGATAATGTTTGATGAGTCCCTATTAAGTACCAGGCATCTTAAATCACGTTATTCTTACAACAACTTTATAAGATGGGTATTATTATACCTATTTTGTAGATGAGGAAAATCTCAGGATTTTCTTCCTCAGATTTTCTTCTCTGAGGAGATCTCATACCTTCTTTTGTGACACAAAAATGAGTTTGCTGAAATGTAGTAGCTTTAGTATTAGAAATGGAAATTGTCTCTAAGATAGGAAACAGAAATGTGGAGGTCAAAGATAGGGCAGGGTTTGCAAATCTGCCTAACAATAAAATGAGGAGAAGGAATTAGGTCAGTGACAGAACTCTTGCCTCAGACTCGGAAGTTTCAGGGGAGTTCAATGCAGGTGGGGTATGGGATATGATCCACCTGTTAGGTAACGAATAAAAGGGAATGTTTATACCTTGGATTTGAGAAGTGTTCTTAGTACCACCAGTAAAAGCCAATAACTCATATTGTTTCTCAAGGGTTGGTGGTTAAATGAGATCATCTATCATCTTCAGTGTGAACTAATTATAATATGGTGGAGAGTATTGTGATGTGGATCGGAGGTTATAGAAAAGACTAGATTTTGAGTTCAGATGCTCTCTTCATTCTTTGTTGTTGACATTGTAATTTGAGAGTGGCCTAGTTGTTATAAAAGTCTAAGTCCCCCAATTTTGCCTGTGGCTGTTCCTACATTTTCTCCTCTGAGAAATGAGATGGGGCTACATTTTCCTATACTCAGTAAACAGATACAATACAGGAAGCCCATCCACTAGGTAATTTTTAAAAAGCCACAACACATCCGCCTACAACAGGCTGACTTGGTGCCTTCTACACTTAGTGATGCTAGCATGAACTTTCCTTTAATGGCGGCAAAGCCAAGGAGAGCATACCTTGGCCTGAGGGTAGGATTTTCAATTTTCTATGAAATATCCAATTCACATCCCACAATTCAGTTTCTTTCTGATCCCTGGACTGGTGTGTTGATATTGGTTGGACTAGAGAAATGGTGTACTCCTCAGGTGGTGCCTGGAACTACTGGGCTGCCTTACTGAATACCAGCCAAAGCTGCCAGTCCCTGCTCTGTGTTTTTACACATCTACCACCGGCATCAGGTTTTATTAACAGGGGAGACAGGTTTCTAATGAAATATGGCCCTTAACTTCCTTTTATATTTGGTAATGTCCTGAACTCTTTATCCAAATGAAGCATAAAGCACTTACAACTGTGTTTTGCCATTGCACTGACCGAGGAATATATTCATTTGCAGTAACATGGGATTCAATGGAGTGGAAAATAAGCTCTGAAAATTGCTCTTGCCACGAAATTGTATCAATAAATAGGAAAAGCCCATTTAGATTTCACTGACCAATCTCCCCCCTGTGACAGAAATTAATATGGCCAAGTAGTGTGTATGGAAGGTAAGACGCCGGATGTGCCAGACGCTGAGTGAGCCATGTGTCAAGGCCTGCAGTGTAGCTAACTTATTTTACTGTTCACAGAGCCAGCTGAGGATGCCTTTGTGTGTATGTGGTGGGGGGAAAAGGAGTGTGAGAGGCAAAATCCTCTGAGGGGTGAAGGAGAGGTGCTGAGAGCACCCATCTATAGGTCACTTACCACACTCCTAACATTGCATCTCAGAGTCTGTGCAAACTGAAACTTTTCCCGAAAGGCATCCCACCTAAGTTATGAAAATAAAAAGCAGGCTCATATTGTGCTTCTTTGAGTCAGTGTGGCTTCTGGCTATTAATTTCAATATACTACATTCTCATAATAAAATCTTTGCAGACACATCTAAAAATAAACACATGGTTGATGTGTGGTTTATCCATGTGGAGATGAATAAAACATCAACTTCAGGTGTAGAGTAGTCAATTATGATGTTAAAAATGTGTGGAAAATACAAAGACTTGTGATTGATGATATAGGAGTAAAGTTAAACTAAGAGTCAGGACTGACAGTTTCTGCATGATTTAGGGCAAACGAGTATCTCTGAACTCAGTTGCCACATTTGTAAAATGGGCCTAGTGGTGGCTGTGCCATTTGCTTCTCGGAGTGGTTGCAATCAAATGAGGTTATGCAACTGAAAGTAATTATGATGATCTGTAAATGTTTAAGATGCTATTACTATTCTCCACTATCAACACTGATGCTGAAGAACAATAATTATGAAAGTAAATTATATCTTTAAGAACTACTTCTTTGTGCCACTAGAGGCAGAATTATGTGGTAAAAGATGGTGAATCTGGGACTCTGGGGAGCTGGAGCCCAGCACTGCATCAGCTCTTACAGCACAGTCAGCCCTTGTGCAGCTAATCTAACATCTGTAATCTGAGATGGCTGTACTGGATTATCACAAAATTCTTTTCTAGCACCAATGTTTTTTTTTATCAAAGAGGTATCATCATAATGGAAACCCAGATGGTAAGCTAGAAATGAAAGAACATATATTGTCATTTCTAACCAAGAAGATCACAATTCTCTTGTGATTTAATGTTAAAGGACAAGGTCATAGAGGAAATTTTGGAATTATTTTTAGAGCGCTATACTCTTTAGGGTAAAATTGTCTTGAACCAAAATCACCATACTTGTGCTGTTATCTCAAACCTTCAGATTTCTCTTTTTATTTCCCTTTTGAATCTTCTGTCCAATATCAATGAAGCTTGCTAGAGGTGGTAGACTCCTCTCCTTTCCAGATACCCACTGAGATTCTTAAGCCTTGGCAGAGATGCAAAAACTGAGTTTTCACATACCCAATGCCACCCTGGTAAAGGCTGGCTATATTACCTCCTCTCCTTGCCAATAGAGGTGTCTTGGGAACCTTCTCTTTTTCTGGATGTGCAGAATAACAACCAGGAGATAATCCGTGGCCTCTTGCTTGTTGGCTAAGCCCTTTCCCAGCCTTCTAAATGCTTGTTAGGAGGCCCTGACAAGTGGTAACTCCACGTGGTGCTCAGCGTGGCAACACATCACCACCTTCTCCCTCTGTATGCTCGTGTCAGACTGTCCCTCCCACCCTACAGAGTTTCAGCTGCTTTCATTAGTCAGAGTCTAGCAGATGATTACAGAGACTTATAGCAGGTGGAACATGGAAGGGAACATTGACTTGTCCCTATAGTCTGTGTCCCATTAGCAACGTGGGTAAAGGGAGTCTGTGCTGTGTTCTTTGGCTTCAATTAGTTGCCAGTTATACTCTTGGAGAAAGGGCAACTCCTCCATCAAACTTTGGGAAACCTTTATTAGTGCAGAGTCAATGGTACTTAGTACAATATAGTGGCCAGGATTGAGACTGCAACTTTGGTTGCCTTGATTAAAGCAGATATTATGATATCTCTAAGGGCCAGCCAATATTATTTTGAATTAATGGATGAAATATATAAAAACATTCTCTTTGTAAAAACTGAAACAATAAAAAGAAGCTAAAGCCCATTTACCACCATTCATCAACCCATGTCCCTCCCCAGAGGAGAACAATGTCAACCAATCCGTTTTTTAAATAAAGAGAGCTGCATGTAACAGGATGATGAATGAGGAGTCACTGAGCATCTCCTTGCAGGATTCTCTAGGAGACCCTCCTTCCCCCAATAATTCCCTTCTCAAAATGTGTAAGAAAGGAAGTGGAGTTATGATGTGTTGTATTAGGAAGGGGTGTTGTAGTTTTTCCTTTCTGTCTTCATGGGAAATCACAGGAGGTACTTCAGCCTAATGAGGGAGGCTCCAAGAGAAATACTTTTATATTTTGGGAGTGTCTTCAAGAAAGGGAGACTGGACCTTAATTCACTAATTGGACATCTGCTTAGAGAGTGGACCTGCTGATCTTCACTTAATAGGAGAGCAAAATGAAGCAGCTACACATTGCTTGGTTTGGGGAGAGTAAGGGTGTTTCCTATGTCTCAAGTGCACATGGAGGAAGGTAGTTTGAAGGCACTTGCTATTACCTGAGCGGGATGGCTGGCTTCTAGAAGAGGAGACCCTGTCAGCAAGACACTGTGGTTTTGAGCCACTAGGGGGGTAAGGCAGAAAAGATCAAATCAGAGCCTTTCATCTATTTCAGAAAGAACTCATCCATGTTTCCCAAAGAAAGGTGTTTGCCAAGTCAATAGTGCCAAAAGCCAGACAGTGTCAGCCAAGAGAGGACCCCACAGGCAGAGACCCCAGTCTCACCTCTACTGTAGTATAATGGAGAGAGAGAGGTGGAGAAGAGGGAACAGGAGGAAAAGAATCAAAAGAGCAGACCATCCTCTCTCCTTACTTCAAGTCCTCTAGCTGAGGCAGGCTGAACTGAGTGGGGAAAAAGGGTATATGATTGATTATTTAAACTGGGATAAATGGATAGGACTAAACTGGAGTGTTTAACATGTGAAAGTGATCAGAAAGCTATGGGATTTGCCCTGCATACTATTAAAGGGTTGAAAAGGGAGATTCAACACAGTTAAATGCAGTGAGTGAAAAAAAAAATCAATTCCATATTTTTAGCCCAGTAAATCAAACTTTTCAATACACTAGTTATGTACAGAAAGATACAGTCTCGTTTGTTTTTAACATTAATAATGTCATAATGTATATATCATACCATAGCTTGCTTTTTACACTCAGTAATATGTCTCAGAGATCTTTATATGTCAATACATTTGGATTTCATTGTTATTTATGACTGCTGCATAGTCTTCCACAGTACTGCACTCCTAGAGTTTAGTTAGCTGTTCTGGGGTGACAGGTTTTCAGCTGTGGAACAGCATAGACTGTGAAAGAGGGCAAGGTCTGGCATAGATCTCTAAAGTGTGGCCATGATGTCTGCATTGACTAAGAACTTGTCCAGGATTTCGGAATCCCTGGTGCTTTCTAAGGCTGGGCTATAAGGGTGTGAAGATGGGAGAAAATGGTGAATCAGATTGCAGAGGGATAGAAGTATCCTCTCCCCCTTGTCTTCCCTGTTATTGTTCCCCTAAATACCCATTTCACCAAGGTGGAAGCAAAGCCAGCGATTTCAGGTCAACACTGTTTTCTCACCTAAAAACTAGAGTGCATTTATTCCTTCTCTTTTCAAACCTTGCTTTTTTTGGCAACAAATAATGTCAGAAAAGTACTTTGAAAATATTGAAATGGGGCAAATTTATTACAAACTCAAAGATTTATTAAAATAAATTTCCATAGCAGTTGTAGTATTTCATATACATTTGTCAGATACATATATTTTAACCTTTAATTTATATTTTTGAAGGGATACATACTTATTGCCAGTAATTACTGAACAGATGTAAGGATATACAAATAACTATGTGCAATGTTAAACATATAATGCTGAGTACAGAGTATATTAATGATTTCACGTTTTGTAGGACTCTGGTTATCATGGTCAAAGATCCATAAACATATGTTAAAATTTAGTGAGCTTTTCATCCTAATTCTAAAAATTTGGGGTTTTTATTGTCTTTTTTTACAGCCTCCCTTACGGTGCTTTAAAGTGAGATTATCAGAATTTCACTCAATAGAACTCTAAAATATCTCTTGTTTTCCATTTTCTCCAAAGAGTAGAAGAATCTGGCATTGTCTTTTCTCCCCTTATGAGTATGGGCAGCTTTCATTGGTTTTCTCAGTGTTTTTTTGTATTCGATTCTGTCCACCTTTCAAAATCTTGGTGTTAAATTTTTAGCAACAAGTACATTATTGTTATTATCATATACTTGCTCAGGTTGGCTGATAGCATAAGGGGGTGTCCCTAGTCAACGTTAGGAAAAACAGCCACTCCGGATATATTCTCCTGATTTATAATTTGATTTTAGGGTTTCATTTGCAGCTGTCAGTCAAATACTACAAGGTGGCCACTGGGTATTGATAAAGGCCTAATTCCTCTGGAAAACTAAGTCCCCAGATGAGCCACCTGCTGGTGACTTGTGTGTGTGTGTGTGTGTGTGTGTGTACTCAGAGACAAAAATAAACATAAATCACTTGGTATGTCTGACAATATTTTTATTAGAAGGATTTATAGAATCACAAAGCCAGAGGAGAATCTAAGAGTCCATAGAGGCCATTTCCCTGCCTTTAGGTATGCCAACAATTGGCTTCTCAAGTAGATTGATTATCTTCTTTTTTATAGCTCTTTGGAATAAGAGATTGTATTCCTCATTTTGGACAAATCATTCTAGTATTTAATAATGCTTACATTTTTCTTTAAATGTCTCTGAGAAGTAGAGTTGAAAACTGTTGCTGGCTTCTCATCTGTATAGACCCATAGCTCCTGGTAATTTGCTACATTTGAAGACATTGTCTTCTTTTGATACAAATAAGTGTGTGTATGTATTTTAATCATCTTAGTGGTTTTTTTTTTCCTACACTTTGTCCGGTGTCCAAGATCAGATCTGGAATGGCTACCCCTGCTGTTTTACCATAAGCAGAGCAGGCCAAATGCTAAGAGGACCCTTAAGATTTCCTAACAATAGGTGTATGTGGAAAAGACAGATGGCTTCCTTTGTACCTGATAGATTCCCACTGATTGAACATCTGTGAGAGGAATGGAAGGTATTTACTTTGCGATTCTGTTTGTACCAGCTGAAAATCACATGTAAACTTTTGAACAGTTTCTACAGAGGTGAAGGCAGAAGGCTCTGCAAATCTGTTGCCGCATTCAGCCAGCCAGCCAGCCACCATTTCCTTCACCGCTTGATGTTAGGCAGAGCTTGCTTTATTGTCACATCCCTTGCAGTGATATTTGCCACCTAAAGCAGCCAGACAAACAGAACATCCTGGCAGGGTCCCATGATTTATATCCTGGGGTGGAGGAGATATGCCAAGGTTCAGGGAGTATCTTTTCCTTTGACATTTTAGCCCCTCACCTTCATCAGTTCATCTTGGTGGGGTGGGGGAAGCAATGCCAGAATTGATATATGATGAGTGATTATGCATAGAGTTTGATTGATATCTCAGATTTCAGCTCTTTATACAATAAAAATATGTATTAGAAATTATTACATCCTCTAGTTTAGATTTTCTTCCAATATCAAGGTAACAGGGTACAGAACAACTAATGTGAATTTGCTCAAAGAGTTCAGAATAAAAAGAAACTAAAAAGTTTTACAAGAAATGTCGCATACTTTACAAAAGAATTTTTAAATTGAATGTATTCCTGTTGAGCCATTAAGTAAGACGTTACTTATCATCAAGAGCCTTGTCAAGAGAGGGCCCTCACAGTATGTGATGTGTAATCAATAATGCTATAAGGAGATGTTCCAGATCAGGTCATGTCTGAGTGGAGTCTCAAGAGATGAGTGGAATCCACTTAGGTGACACAGGAGAGGAAGGGCTGGGGGAGACAGTGAGTTAATAGTGAGTAATTTCTCCAGGGAACTGCAAGTTGTCCAGTTTGGTGGAATTTAGAATGCAAGGATTGCCAGACTGAATGCAATAATGAATTATTGTTTTAAAAGTCATTTTGGGGTGAAGGGAGAGTTTTGAAGAAAAATGAATTGTTGGAAAGAAAGGTGGAAGCAGGGAGACCCTTTAGAAGACTGTTGAAATAATTCATGAAATAGACTGTGGTAGCCTGACCTCAGGTGGTAACATTGGAAATGAAGAGATAGGGACGAGTTTGAACTGTATTATGGGTGAAGAATTAACAGAATTTGGTTGATTAACTGCGACAGTTGAGGGAGAAGGAACTCCAAATTTTGTTCATTGAGGAGAAGACACTGAGTTCAGTTTTGGATTTATGAATTGTGAGACATCTATGAGTTACATAAGTGGCAATGTCTAACATTGGTGTGGAGCTTGATTTGAGAGTTATCTATCAGTCTATCTATCTATCTATCTATCTATAATCTAACTTTCTATGTAAATGAAGCCATAAGAGTAAAAAAAAAAATGCCCAGGAAATGTGCAGAGAAGCTATACATACTGTCCTTGCTCTATGCTAGAGCACAGGTCTTCAGGCACTAAATACAGTGTTCAGTATTTACAATGTTGTTTTATCTTGGACAGTGGTGGACAAACACTCTTACATCCCTGCTCTGTTTTCTGGACACTATGAACTTTCTATTATTACAATCTCATCAATATTTCATAATCCATTTTCATTTTCAGGATGTTTTGGACAAATGCCTTTTAGACAGCATAAATAGATGTCTTAACGTGGATATTAGCTATGCTCATACACCAGAGTAAAATGAGATTAAAGAAAAGCCTTCTCACTGTATGTTGATGCCTCTGAGGCAGCTTCACCAAGTGACAGTTTTTTGCCTTGTTACCAGATGTGGAGGCGGATTGTTTTACTTTTAATTCTATTCCTTGACTACCAGAACTAGATT